>NC_000018.10:48823910-49124577 GCF_000001405.40 Homo sapiens | reverse complement strand
GAGTCATGCAAAGTAAAAACTAATGTAGAACATGCTTATTAATATAAAGTTTCTTTTTTTTTTTTTTTTGAGACAGGGTCTCACTCTGTTGCCCAGGCTGGAGTGCAGTGGCATGATCATAGCTCACTGCAGCCTCAAACCCCTGAACTCAGGCAATCCTCCTGCCTCAGCCTCTTGAGTAACTGGGACTACAGGCATGCACCACCACATCACTCCTAGCTAATTTTTAAGTTTTTTATAGAGATGGGGTCTTGCTCAGTTGCCCAAACTGCTTTTGACTCCTGGCCTCAAGTGATCCTCCTGCCTCAGTCTCCCCAAATGCTAGAATTACAGATGTGAGCTGCTGTACCCAGCCTCAAGTTTCTATTTTATACTTTCCCTGACTTGGGAATAAAATAAATAGTCAGTATTTTAGCCTGGGTTTAAAGTAGCAGGTGCCTAGTTAGGAGTTGGGTGTATCACCCTGTTTGTTTCAGCAAATTACTTATTTAAACATTGAGAACAAACTCTCAATGTGTTTGAAAGCAGAAATTGTAAGCTATCTGCAGATAATTTTTGAAGTATAAGTTTCATATATCAGCACTTATACTTAGCATAAGTGAGTGTATAAAATATACATGAACATAAAATTCTACAGAAAGCTAATATTTTGACTTGATTATATTTCTAAAGTAGTCATACCATTTCATTGGGTTGCCCTTAAATGACCGTGAGAGAGAATTCTGAAGCTTGAAGTCTCTTCCTTCTATACTAATTCAAATACCAAAATGAGAAGCAAATATAATTCAGAGGACTTCTGGTCAAGATTATCTTGTTAGTTCCAAATTTGAAGTCTCATCTCCTCCCCTTTGCTTCAAAAACATAACAATAATAGATGAATCATAAAAAGAAAACATTTTAAACACATAGCCAAATCCCAAAATGAGACAGCTATTTCTTGATGGAACAGAAGCAGAAAAAGCAGTCAGAACAGTGAGCCTGCTGAGCTGGAAGGAGGAGAAGTGGTTGGGAGCTCAGCTACTGTAGGCCAGACACTAGTGCCAGATTCCCTGCTAGAAATTAGGAGCTGGAATAGATGCTTTATTGAAATAAAGAGCCTGAATGAATGTGCTAATAATAACAGTTAAATTATATGTCTAGGGAGGCAAGAGTACACAGAAACAGCCTCACCATGGGATCTTGAAACAAACTGATACTGGTATGGTGATAAACCCGGCCAGTACTGTCTTTAGTATGATTGCAGGGCAGGAGCACCGAGGCACCAATTATGAGACCTGGTTTCAGTCTGAGACTCTAGGAAGCCACCACATAACCTATAGATTTGGAAGTATTAAGCCATATTAGATAAGCTTGCATAACAAAATACATGCGGAAATTAACAATAGAAAGATAGCAGTCATGATCATAATTAAGGTAAATTTATCCAAATAAAATTAAAAACTAATAGAATAATTTTGAAAATACTTTGAGTAGCCTCAAAGATAAATGAAGGAACAATATTCATAAAAAAGAATAAATAGGAAATAAAAACAGAAATAAGTAAGAACATGACTGTGAGAGAGAACTAGTTAACTAGAAAGCTTAAAATGAAAAATATAGTCATTAAAATTCAAAGCTCAGTAAGCAACAGTGATCTATACTGGACACTATCAAAGAGAGTTAATAAATTGGAAGATAATAATTAGAAAAGATTATCCAAGTTATCTTTATGGAAGAGACTAGGTTGTCAGGTCAAAATGCACTCCGAATATACTGAGCAAGATGAATAAAAATAAGCCAATACCTAGACTTGTGGTTGTGATGCTGAAGAATATAAAGCAGCGGTCCCCAGCCTTTTTGGCACCAGGGACCCGGTTTTGTGGAAGACAGTTTTTCCATGGACTGGTTGGTGGTTTCAGGATGATTCAAGTGCATAACATTTATTGTGCACTTTGTTTCTATTATTATTACATTGTAATATATAATGAAATAATTATACAACTCACTATAATGTAGAAACGAGGGGAGCACTGAGCTTGTTAATCTGTATTTGCAGCTGCTCCCCAGCATTAGCATCACCTCCTCAGTTCCACCTCAGATCATCAGGCATTAGATTCCTGTAAGGAGTGTGCAACCCAGATCCCTCACACGTGCAGTTCACAAGAGGGTTTGCACTCCCATTCAGGGAGATGGTCACTAAGGTAGTAACAGTGTATTTCTCTGTATCTTTCAGGTAGTGAGTTTTAAAAAGAACAAGTATACCTGCTGTTGGTGAGAAAATGGTAGAAGGCCTTCCTACATTGCTAGTTTAAGTGTATTGTCATCACCGTAAACAATCTGATGGCATCTATTAACTTTACAAATACAGCCTTTTCAGCAATCCCTCTCCTGGAATCTATCCCAGAGACGTAAAAGTACCCATATATAACACATCTACCAGGAGACTTATCAGCCTTATTCATAGAAACAAGGAAACTAGATATATATTGGATGTCCATCAGCAGAATGTTATGATATATTTTACATGTTTTACATATATATGCTATAAACCTATAATACATCTCTACTATTTTTACTTTATAAGTCAGCTCTCTTTTAGAATGATTAAAAATAAAAATATCTCGCTTCCCTTGTGGACATCTACATTTCTGTCTGGCTTCATATTTCTTCTGCCTGAAGAAATACCTTTAATATTTTGTATAGTGCAGGTAATAAATTATCTCAACTTATTTTTATCTGAAAAAGTCTTTTTTTGACCTTCATATTTGAAAGATATTTTTGCTGTGTATAGGATACTTGGCTGTTATTTCAGTGCTTTAATGATGCCACTACATTTAGGTTGGACTGCATCGGTTCTCCTAAGTCAGCTGTGATTCTTATCTTTGTGCCTCTGTATTTAATGTGTGTGGGTTTTTTTGTTTTGTTTTGGTTTTAGCTGTCCTCAAGATTTTCTCTTTGTCTTGGTCTTTAATAATTTGAATTTGATGGATCTAAGTACATGGGTTCTTTTGGTTTTTGTTTGGGGGTGGAGTGACCATGGGTATTTTCTGACGTGCTTGAATCTGTTTGATTTTTTTTCATTATTTATAGGAAATGCTCAGTCATTATCTCTTTGAATATCTCTTTTGTCCCATTCTTTCTCTCTTTTCCTTCTGGGAGTCAATTAGATGTATATTAATGCATTTCTTATTATTTTACAGCCCTTGTTGGATTCTCTGTCTTGTTTTCTTACTCTTTTTTTCTCTTTGTAGGGTTAGTTTGTGCAATTTCTGTTAACCTGCCTTCAAGTTTGCAATTCATTCCCAAGCTCTGTCCAGTCTATTATTGAAACCTATTTAAGGCATTCTTCACTGCAGTCACCACATTTTACAAAATTTCTAGCATTACCATTTGTCTCTTTCTTATAGTTTTTAACTCTGCTGAAATTCCCAATCAATTCAAACAAATTTTGTAGATCACAGTTCTTTTATATTCCCTCTTTGATATTTTCAGAATGTTTTATCTCTGTGTCATATTCTGCTGATGACTTTGTTCAACATGGATTCTTTTACTTACTTTTTTGTGTGTTTCATACATTTCAGTTGAATGTTAGACATTGTATTTAAGAAAACAGAGGCAGAGGCTGGGTTCAGTGGCTCACCTATAAAATCCCAGCACTTTGGGAGGCTTAGATGGGAGAATTGCTTGAATCCAGGAATTCAAGGCTGCAGTGAGCTAGGGTTGCACCACTGCACTCCAGCCTAGGTGACAGAGTGAGACCCTGAGTCAAAAAAAAATTAAGAAAGACAGAGGTAAATTGTATGGAAATAGGCATACCTTTTCATCTCTTAAGCAGGGGAAGTAAACTTTTTCTGTAAAGAGCCAGATAGTCAATATTTTTTATTTTGTAGGCCAGATAGTCTCTGAAGTCTACTTTACCTGATACTAATATAAGTCAGTCCTCCATATTTTGAGTGACACATGCACAGATTCAACCAACGCAGATTGAAAGTACATACAGTTGGCCCTTCATATCCTCAGATTCCACATCCACAGATTTAAAAAATCTGTGGATGGAGTGAGCAACTGTAGTATGCCACTTTGTATAAGGGACTTGAGCATCTGCAGATTTTTGGTATTTCCGAGGCAGGGGGATGTCCTGGAACCAATCCCTTAAAGGTATGGTATACTGTATAGCCACTCCTGCTTTCTTTTGACTTACGTTTGTGTAGGTATCTTTTTCCATCCTTTTACTTTCAACCTAACTATATTAGAAGTTTCTCATAGATAGCATATAGTTGGGTGGTGTGCTTTTAATCCACTCTGCCAATCCTCAGATTTTAACTATTGTGGACTATTTGCAATTAATGTAGTTATTAATGTGTAACTACCATTTTACTTTCTGTTTTTAGTTGGTTTCCCTTTTTCATTTGCATTTTTTCTGCCTTCCTGTATGGAAATTTTTTTAGAATCCCATTTTGATATATCTCTGGTTCTTTTTTTCTTTTTCTTTTCTTTTTTTTCTTTTTTTTTTTTTTTTTGAGACAGGATCTGGCTCTGTCACTCAGGCTGGAATGCAGTGGAGCAATCTCAACTCACTGCAACCTCCACCTCTCAGGCTTAAGCCATCCTCCCCCCTCAGCCTCCCAAGTAGCTGAGGCTACAGATGTGTGCCACCACGCCTGGCTAATTTTTGTGTACATGGGGTTTCGTCATGTTGCCCAGGCTGGTCTCGAACTCCTGAGCTCAAGTGATCTGCCCACCTTGGCCTCCCAAAGTGCTGGGATTACAGGCATGAGCCACCACAGCCAGCCTTGATATATCTATAGTATTTTTTTTTCCTCAGGCAGATTTGCTCTAGACATTACATTATATGTACATAGCTTATCGCAGTCTAGTAGTGTTGATATTTTACCAGTTCAAGTGAGTTGTAGAAACCTTTGTCCTTTTAAATCCCTTAACCACCTTTGTTGATAATTGTTTTAGATATTCCTTTACATACATTGAGAACCACATCAATGTTATAATTTTTGCTTCAACTGTCAAATATATTATGGAAAACTGAAGAGGAGAGGAAAGTCTGTTGTATATACCCATGTGCTTGCTCTTTCCATTGCCCTTTTCTTCCAAGAGGTTTGCTGATTGCTTACTTTGAGCTTTACTGTTTGGCAACTATTTTATGTTCAGATTCCCAAAGACTATTCATTATGAGGAAACAGTGACAAAATCATAGTCTGTTTATCTGAAATATAAAGACTGAAATGACAGTGTAGAGAAATGAAGTCATCTTCTGAATTAGGCATTTTTCTTGGAATGGGTACAACCCTACCACTACTCTACATCATGGAAGTCTTAACGATTTAGGGTAATACGATAATGAGAATACCAATATGGATCTATTAAATGAGGAGCTGAGTAAGCTCCAAATTTCCCTCTAGATTGGTAAGTCTATAATTTATTATATGAAATTCCTAATTATTACCATACTAAGTTCAAAAGATTTTAACCCAAATCCTTTAGTAACTGATAAACCTCATTCTTAAGATTCTTGACAGAAATAATCTTGATGAGCTTCTTCTCTTCATGATCTTTCCAATGCTGTTATAATTTTGAGGGAATTACTCTTATTTTCATTAATTCTGTTGCAAGGAGGAAAAGACTGACTCTGTGTTGGGGTTTCTTTTCTCTATAAGGCACAAGACCTAAATGTCATTGAAGAAGTGATTCGAATGATGTTAGAGATCATCAACTCCTGCCTGACAAATTCCCTTCACCACAACCCAAACTTGGTATACGCCCTGCTTTACAAACGCGATCTCTTTGAACAATTTCGAACTCATCCTTCATTTCAGGATATAATGCAAAATATTGATCTGGTGAGTGTAAATGAAGACATTTATTATGATTCTTTTTTAAGTATTAAAGCAGAGAATGTTTAATAAGCCTTGGTAAGAACTATAATAGTAAGAGTTTCTTCTTTCAACATTAACTGTATTTGCAGTCTATTTTACTATAATAGTTGTGGTAATCTGTGTGTGTGTTGTATATACACACACATACATATTTAATACAATTGAAGTCATACTTCATACAGTTTTTTATTCTGACTTTTTTACTTTACACTTAGACCATGAGCATTTTTCTGTGGTATTATCAATTCTTTGAAAGTCTCACATTTTAATTTCTATCTAGCCCATGTTTGTGTCCTAAAATATATATAACTATTATCCCATTTTTGCTCATTTATTTCCAGTATTTTATATCAATTCATAATGAATGAAAAGTTTATAAATAAGTCTTATCTCAAATTTTAAAATTATATTTTTGATATGGTTTTAAAGCTGGAATTTTACTAGTTTTTACTGTCAAAAGATATCTTTATTTTCAAGATTCAACACAGGTTGCCAAATTGCTTTCCAGAAAAACTGTAGAATTTATGCCTGTGGGCCGGGTGTGGTGGCTGATGCCTATAATCCCAGCTACTTGAGAGGCTGAGGCAGGAGAATCGCTTGAACCCAGGAAATAGAGGTTGCAGTGAGCCGAGATCACACCATTGTACTCTGGCCTGAGCAACGAGAGTAAAACTCCGTCTCACACACAAAAAAAAAAAAAAAAAAAAAAAAGGCTGGGCACAGTGGCTTATGCCTGTAATCCCAGCACTTTGGGAGGCCGAGATGGGCAGATCACGAGGTCGGGAGATCGAGACCATCCTGGCTAACACAGTGAAACCAACCCCATCTCTGCTAAAGCTACTATAATATATGTTCCATCAACACAAAGTAGTAAACAAAGAAAGACGAAGACAAAGGAGCCAGGCTTAACCAAAGGAGAGCACTGAAGGCAGTTCCCAAGAATACACTGTAGTGTGTAGAACCAGTGCACAGTGGGTGTGGCAGGTAGCAGGTCTCCATAGAAAGAGCAGATTTGAGAATGTTACTTGATCTGTTTGACTATTTAGAGAGGAGTTTTAGAGTTCTGTTAAAAAGTTTGTAGCTGTGTTAGAGATTGGATATTTGCAACATACAACCAAGAAAAGTCTAGAATCTAGAATATAACAATAAAATATATATTAATAATAGATAAATAACTCAATAGAAAAACTAACAAGAATCGAACAGGCACTCCCAAAAGAGGAACTCTAAATGGCTAATAAAGATATGAAACACATAGGATGTATTAACTGCTGGATACTCTGGAATCTACACAATTAAATGTGAGTTTAACCTACAGTTGAGTATACTGTTGCAAATCCATTCATTGATTTTCATGGCTTTTTCATGATTGCTGGTAAACAGAAATTAATATTAAAACTCTTCTGTCAGCTTAATTTCATTGGCTTTCGTTAAGCTGCTTCAACTATATACCTAACGGTTGCAGCTATAGCAAAATATTTTGCCATGGACACTCTTGTCACTTTCCTAAACTTATATCGACATCATTTAGGTATCATTAACAGAATCGGGGAATTTGGGTATAGTTGCCATCAGTGCAATCAAGATAAAGCAGAAACACCATTTCACACAAGGATGTTTATTTTAAGAATCAAACTTTGACATTTTAAGGGAAATCTTTATGAACCAGGACTCCATGTAGCTTCACTGATATTTAGGATGTGTGTGAGAGCATCCTTAGCAACTTCTCGATTATTTCATCTCTGGCCACATGTCCTTCTTGTTAACTCTGAGTTTTAATTAAGAAGTATTGGTGTTAATAAGATCTCTTTAAAATTGAGAAGTGTCAGTGTTAATAAGATTATGAAACAAAGTTTTGCCTAAGGAACACCTATCACGAGTTAACTCCGTCTTCTTTTATGGGATAGATTATTTTTGACAACATGGTAAATTGTGGTTTATAGTCTAAGAATTCCTGTTAGTTTTATGCTTTGATAGAAGATGATAATGCAAAAGTACCAGTTATTAAGGAAAGTAAAGAGTCCATGGGGGCTGAGGGGTATCTCATGGGAGAATGCCATCCCTGCTGTCATCTCAGCTCTCAAAGAAACTATCTGGAACTCAAGCAGGGCCTTTATCCATTCCTCTTAACAGTTATTCCTGCAAGCAGTCTTAAGGATTATAACATTCAGTAGAAATCGTTCTCTGTATGAAGGCAACTTTATAGGCTAGCTGTTTACTTACTTCTGAAAAGCTTTTTCTAACCATGTTATTCATGAATTTGTCCAAATTCATTTCTATTTCTTCCCAGTAGTATTTTTGGAGGTAAAATACTGAGTTTAAGACTCATTATGCTTGTGGGTAAAGGTTTCACAAAACTCTTTCCCCTTTTACATGAGAAATTGGCCTTGGGTTAAGATGCTTCTAGCTCAGTTCTCTAGAAATCTAATGGAGGTAGAATGTCAGTTGTGTTACCAAGCAACACTGCTATGATAAAATGATGATGTGATAAAATGACATTTGATTGGTAAGCTGAGTCATTACTTGGAGGACTACGAATGAACTACAAATACTTGATGAGAAGCCATCACTTTGGGCTTCTCCGAATGAGAGAATTCTTATAACTGGGCATGTCCTTTACAAGGACGTAGAAGCTGAGACTGTCACAAGGATATTGGTTTCTATTTGAGACATGGTTTCTAAGGTAGGGTGGCTATTGCATCTACCTACAGTAGTCTCATTCTCTTGCATCTGAGCTGTCATTTGAAGGGTCAAAGACTAGCCCAAAAACTGCTATAAGGATTCCCAAGGAAAACAAAAACCTGTGAGACTATGCTGTTGGCATGCTGCTTTTCCTATCCTTCTATCTTTTTAAAATTAATCTGATGCAAAGTGTGGCCTTTTATAGTCTTGAGACTCTTGATGTCTAATATTTCGTCTAAGAATATCACCCAAGAATGGGCACTGTAATATTAAAATAGTATTTTCTTACATTTGTTTATTAATGTATCTCTTTCAAGCTCCAGGAGATATTCCTGGTTTTCCAAGATTTATTCAGATCTTTACATTCTAGAAATATCCAACATGTCCATTTTCAGTCTTCATGTTTCTAAACTGTGTCATCCCATTCATTTCAGTCTGCCCTTGTGGCAGTCCTCTATCCCATCTGTTCTAACTTTTACCTTTCTCTGGACCTCCCTCATTCCAATTTCTTTTTTCATTCCTTCCTATCTTTCTTTTTTCCTTTAAAAAAATGTTTAAAGATAGTCACCTGAACTATGGACTATGTATGTCTGCTAATATACACCTGCAGTAAATGGGAGAGAAATAATCTCTAATTCCCAGTACCTTTCATTGTGATAGGCAATATTTTCTTTGTATTCCTGACAAAAGACTAAACCAGAGATTTTTTTTTTTCCCTGTGGTCATAGCTGCAGTAGCTGCAATATTACACATCATTTGGAGTATTTAGCTTTAACATTTTATTTAAACCACATCAAAAGCCATTTGCTTCTTTTCTAATCATCACTAGCTTTTATTGCATACTTGCTAAGCACTTACGTGCAATAACTTACTTAATCCTCATTAAAAAATAAACCATGAGGTATATTTCATTTTAGCCCTCAATTTACAGATAAAGAAACCAAGTTAGAAAGATTAATTAACTTGTTTACTGTCACACATTCAGCAAGTGATACAGCGAGAACTTAAACCCAGAGTTTGATGATAAGGCCTTTGTTTGTAATAATTCTGCCTAACCACTATACACATTCACTAAATGCTCCCACAGTTGCCTATGAAACCATCTGATCATATCCACAAACCTAATTACTTTCTCTTTCAAAATCAGTTCTAATAATGTCAAATCAGTCTTTATTCCATCAGTGGTGCAATGAGGAACGTTCTTAGTAACCAGGCAATTGATATCCTTAAAAATGTCTCTGAGAGCCAGGCGTGGTGGTACACTGTTATCCCAGCTGCTCAGGAGACTGAGTCAGGAGAATCTCTTGAGCCCAGAAATTCAAGACCATCTCTTAAACACACACACACACACACACGAAAGAAAAAGAAAAAAAAAGTCTCTGAAAGACCATATTAATTTTTTTTAATCAGGACACACAGAACCATGCAAAGAATTTAAACTACATCCATTTGAAACACATTCTCCTTTGGAAGAAGTGAAAAGCAGAGTGGAGGTGAGGAAGTAGAAAGGACCTCACTGTAAGTACACAGTATAGAACCATATAGAAGTAAAAGCAGGATGTTAAGTTGGACTTATACCCAGTGCTCACTTTTCTGTCATTGTCGGAATAATGGGCCACTTATTTACACTTCACCTGTATGCAGTGAAAACTGCATTCTCAGGCTAAACATTTGACTATATGCTGTTATGCAGTTCTTAAAACCACATAAACAAATGCCTAAACATTTTTAAGTACACCTTCTAAATGATGGGAATGAAGCTTGAGTGCCTCATGTATATGACCTCTTTTACCATTCTTAATCCATGTGAGCTAGGATTATTATCCCACTTTACAGATAAGAAAATAAAGATGCTGAGAGGTTTCTCAGATGCTATTAATATACATTCCTGCCTAAGGATCATTGTCTTGGATAGTTATCACATGTTATTGCAGGGGGCTTTATGTCATTGGCCCTTTCGCCATCCCTAGGAGGAAGGGAGAGCAGGGCTAGAGAAGGGAAATAGTAGGCTTGAGATCACTTAGCTAGCAAGTCAGTCAACCAGGCCCTGAATCCAGGTTCTCATTCTATTAAATCCCGTGTTTTCAGCATTCACTTGGATAAACCTAATTAAGATTCCAAATGAGCAGGTTTTCCAACAACTTTTTGTTGAATACTATCATCCAAAATAGTGCTGGGCACACTGGAAATTCATTTAAAAAACATTTTAAACTCCTTTTACATATTTTGAAAAGATGCTGTGATAAAGATATAAATAACATCTCTACTGTGTGCCTTTTTCAGTACTTTACCTTCCCCATCTATCCCCCAAAGATCCCTGAAATTTTGGCTTAAACAAGCTTTTGCTACTTTCTTCTTTCATAGAGTTAACCTTCAGAAGTTAACTCTGTGAAAGACTGTAGAAGAAAAAAGTTGGTGGAGGAGACGAATCTACTGTTATTTTTAGTGGGCAGGGAGTTGAGAGTTGATTATTTTTGGTTAAGACATTTAGCAGCACTCAGTATCTCAGAAGACAGAAGTGGCTAACCTTGGAGCACTTTTAACGTCTGCAGAAGGAATTAGATAGATGTTTTTCAAGTGCCTACATTTTTATTACACACTGGTGCCTATCTCGCCCATCTAAAACATAAGGTGATATGATCAGGCTGAATTAAGCAGCAAGACAAGGTAGAATATAACACCAAACAAGAGAGAACATAAAATAAATTGTCTGGTTACCTAAGAAATGGCTGAATATGAGTAGAGGACAGATGCAATGAACTATAACCATTGTATAGTAAGGTACAGGCAAGAAATCTTGTTATCTCTGGACATTAGATCTTGTGTATTTCCAGACCTGACCATCCTTATCAAGCTCTAAACTAGCACTTTAGGCTACTGACTTGACAGTCCCACAATTGTTAAACAAGGTTAAATCATAATTCTTGATTTTCTGCAAAAACCAATGCAATATAAAATATTTTCTTCTATAGTCTTTCTTATCCCAATATATGACATCAATATCTACCCAGTTGCTTAAGGAAAAAAAAAAGAGTAAGAAAGGAGAATAATGAGAGCTCGTTAGAATACCGGTAGGAGATTGCAGATTTAAAGAATGTAATCAGGTGCGTTTGAGCCAAAACTTGAAGCAGGTAGAGAGTGAGCTATGCAGCTATCTGGGGACAGAGCACTCTAGGCACAGAGAATAGTGGGTGGGACGGAGTTATGGGGAACTGGCTGGGAAGGTGGAGTGAACATTCTGTGATAATGAGGGGCAGATGGTTACAGGGTATGCATATTTGTCAAAACTGGTTGAACTGTACCATTAAAATGAGTATGTTTATTTTATTGTATGAAATTGTACCTCAGTAAATTTACTACTAAAAAATAAATTCCCTACAGTGGACTTCTGCTTAGGATATAGAAAGCTAGGAAGAGTTCTACCCTAACAAAGAGAAAAAGAGGTAAACTACAAAATCATAACTTTTCTTGAACCTATCAATGAGCTGAGGTCACAGGACAACCAAATAGTCTAGATCCCAAGGAGGGGTCATCGGCCCACCCACCCCTCAAGTTGAGGTGAGACACCAGGACTGGATCACCTGTGGCAGAGCACAGGGGTAGGTAGCCACCATACAAGTGGGTAAAAAGAAATCAGATGCAATTTTAATAACTTGCTAAAGGTTGAGTGTGGAGTAGCATGACATTACAGAACACCCAGGAGACCCAAGCACCAGAGGAATTTGCACTCACAGGCTGTTTTCCACTGAGACTGGGGGCACAGCAGGAAGCCAGAGAGCCTCCCAAGGTGATGTACCAATAGAAAAATGCGTAGCATCATTCCCCTGCCAGACCTTTCTTTCATATGGTGCAAAAGCCTTAGATTGCTGGCAGGGGTGGGGGTGCGGAGGGGAGGGGGGTGCGGAGAGGAGGCGGGTGCAGAGGCAGGCACCAAACCTTGTTGCCCTCGGGGCATAGGTAGAGACCCATTATTGCACGTAAAAGATAAAACAAAAAAACTCTCTACTTCTGGGTAAAGGGCAGGAAACTGTCGCAGCCCCAGGGTTCTATAAGAGTACCATTAGAGGTATCCTACCAACAACTCATCACAGATACAGGGCAAAGTCTGGCTGCCATCGGAAGAAAGGGAAGAGAAAGCTAAGAAAGCCTTATGCCCTAGGCCCAGGCATAGAGAGCCCCATTTAAGACTGAGGTCTTAGGACAGCACGTAGAGAATCCCCTACCTTCTGCCACCAGCCTAGCAAGTACTGAGTAACAAGCAGCAGCATCTGCTGCTGGGAAAGATCAAGGGCATGGATACACACCCTGCTCTGGGACCCAGGTATGCAGAACTCACTGAAAGCAGAACGTGGAGCATGAACGTTGAAAAACCTGTGGCACTTCAGATCCCAGCAAAGCACAAGGCATCATTAGAGGATGTGGTACACTGAAGGTAGCCACAGCAACAGCAAAACTCAAATTTAGCTCACCTTCTGAGTGAATCAGCTCAACCTCCAAGCCTGACCTAAGAAGAGATGTGCCCTAATTTATCATAAATAGTATTTCTGTCAGTCTCTACAGTTCTACACATGATGTCTAACATTCAGCCAAGCATTATGAGACATAAAAAGGCAAGAAAAATGTAATGGTGGCAACAGACCCAGACTCAGTGATGACTCAGATGTTGGAACTGTCAGGCTGGGACTGTAATTATGATTTATCAGTTTCAAAGATCTGGTGTGAAGGTCAACTAAGTGGGACCCATCAGGCAAATGCAGCCCACAGCTTGCCTTTGTACAGCCTGTGAAATACGTATGTTTTTTACATTTTTAAAGGGTTGTTTAAAAAAAAAAAAGAAGAATATGTTACAGAAACTATATTGGGACCCACAAAACTTAAAATATTTACTACCTGGTTCTTTATAGAAGACATATACCAACCTTTGTCCTGGGGGAAAAGGTGACAACATATATAAACAGTTCCAGAGAGAGATGGGAACTGTAAGAAAAAATAAAATGGGAATGCTAGAAGTAAAAAACATGTGACAGACAAAGAATTGCTATGACTGGCTCATTAGTGGGCTTGTGAAAAAAATCTGTGATCTTGAAGATAGGTCAGTAGAAATTATGCAAATAAATACAATAAGAAAAACATGTGAAAAATGAGAACCTATCATCCAAGAGCTATAGGACGATATCAGATGATTCAATATACATATAATTGGAGTCTCACAAGGAGAAGAGAGAAAGAACAGGTCAGAAGAAATATTTAAAGAGATAATAGCTGAGAATTTTCCAAAAATACTGACATCAAACCACAGATCCAGGAAGCCCAGAGAACCCCAATCAGGATAAATCCATTTTTTTAAAAGACATTATATTTAAACATCTGAAAATCAAAGATAAAAGAAAAAACACAGTCTTGAATTCAGCCAGAGAAAAAAGAAACATTATATACAGAGGAACAAAGATAGTAACAGCAGTTTACTTGGCAGAACCTAGCTAGGCAAGTCAGATAATGAAGTGACATCTTTATAAGGCTAAAATGAAAAAAAAACAAAATCTTACCCTCAAAAATGTCTTTAAAAACTGAATACAAAATAATGACATTTCAAACAAAACTGAGAGAACTTACTGCTAGTGTGTACTATAGACTAGTTAATGGAAGTTATTCAAACAGAAGAACTATCATATCTGATAGAAACTTGGATCTACAAAAAGAAATTAAGAGCTCCAAAAATAGCAAAAATAAAGGTAAACATAAAAAGCTTTTTCTTATGTTGATTCACTGTATAAAATAATTGACTGTTGGAAGAAGAGGTCCTCAAACTTTTTCTGTAAGTGAGCAGATTGTAAATATTTTAGTCTTCACAGGCCACATAGTCCCTATCACAATTATTCTACTCAACAATTGTAATTCAATGGCAGCCATAGACTATGTGTAAACAAGTGGGTATGGCTATGTTCCAATAAAACTTTATTTACAAAAACAGACAACAGGCCAGATTTGGCCCACAGGCTATAGGTTGCCAACCCATTTTGTCTAAAATAAAGATAGTAACAATGTATTGTGGGGTTTATAACATATAAAAGTAAGATGTGTGTCAGCAGTAGCACAAAGGATGAGAGGGAAGAATTGGAAGTTGACACATGTGTGTTGGGAGATAATTTTCCACAGATTTCATCTTGTGAGCAAAGGCACTGACTGTCCTTTGCTCTAGATTATCTTTTCAAAGATATTTGTATCTCCTTCTGGAGTAAAAGATAGGCATGGTTACTGACCACTCTAAGAGATTCGGGTTCCCTAAGCTCAGGGTTCTGTCCTTTAACATAATTTACTGCATGTGCAGGTGTTGTCTGACCCTTGTCACATAACCCTAAGCAAACTGGGGCTTGGGGAGCCAGTGTGGTAATGCAGATGCTCTGATCACTGCTATTGCTGTGACTAACAAACTTCCCTCCGTCTCTGACCCAGAAATATCTCTTCTTCCAGGATCCATGAACTATAGACTGGATAACTTGTTAACTCACAAGTAGGGTACCATATCACTTTTCACAGTTCTTCACAGTGTCAAGTAGTATAATATTATTTGAAGATAGACTGTGATAATTAAAGGTGTATAGTATAAACTCTAGGGCAACCACTAAAGAAAACATTAAAATAGAAATATAAGTAGTAAGTAAAAGATGAAGATAAAATAGAAATCATAAAATTATACCCAGTCCAAAGGCAGGCAGGAAAAGCAGAATAAATAATAGTGGAACAACAACAACAAAATAGTGGAACAACAACAACAAAAATCCATCCATGTATTTAAATCCTACATGCCAATAATTAAATCAAATGCAAATAATCCTGATGCCTCAATTAAAAGACAGAAATTTTCAGATTGGATAAAAAGCAAGACCTAACTATGTGCTGTCTATAAGAAACCCACCTTAAACATAAAGAAATAGATTGGTTAAAAGCAAAAGGATAAAATAACTTTTACTACGTAAGCATTAATAAAAAAAAAAAGGGGTAGGATGACTATATTAATAGCAGACAAAGTAGACTTCAACACAGGGAGCATTACCAGGGATAAAGAGGGACTCCATGTAATGATAAAGAAGTCAATTCACCAAGGAGACGTAACAACCATAAATGTGTATACAACAGAGCTTCGAAATGCATGAAATAAAAACTGATAGAATGGCAAGAAGACACAAACAAACCCATAATTGGAGAAGTCAACACTTCTTTCTCAGTAATTGATACAGCAAATAAACAGAAAATTTGTGATGATACAGAAGACCCAAACAATACTAACCACCAACTTGATGAGTTCACATTTATAGAACATACCACCCAACAACATCAGTGCACGTGAACCATTCTCTAAGAGAGACCATGTATGGGGCCGTAAAACAAACCTCAGCAAATTTAAATGAGATGAGATCACCTAGAGTATATTCTTTGACCACAGTGAAATTAAACTATTGAATAGAAATCAGTAAGAAGAGCCAAGATGGCCGAATAGGAACAGCTCCAGTCTACAGCTCCCAGTGTGAGCGATGCAGAAGACGGGTGATTTCTGCATTTCCAACTGAGATACCGGGTTCATCTCATTGGGGAGTGCCGGAAAGTGGGTGTAGGACAGTAGGTGCAGCGCACTGCGCGTGAGCCGAAGCAGGGCGAGGCATTGCCTCACCCGGGAAGCACAAGGGGTCAGTGAATTCCCTTTCCTAGTCAAAGAAAGGGGTGACAGACGGCACCTGGAAAATCGGGTCACTCCCACCCTAATACTGTGCTTTTCCAACGGTCTTAGCAAATGGCACACCAGGAGATTATATCCCGTGCCTGGCTCGGAGGGTCCTACACCCATGGAGCCTCGCTCATTGCTAGCACAGTAGTCTGAGATCAAACTGCAAGGTGGCAGTGAGGCTGGGGGAGGGGCATCCGCCATTGCCAAGGCTTGAGTAGGTAAACAAAGTGGCCAGGAAGCTCGAACTGGGTGGAGCCCACCACAGCTCAAGGAGGCCTGCCTGCCTCTGTAGACTCCACGTCTTGGGGCAGGGCATTGCCAAACAAAAGGCAGCAGAATCCTCTGCAGACTTAAATGTCCCTGTCTGACAGCTTTGAAGAGAGTAGTGGTTCTCCCAGCATGCAGCTGGAGATCTGAGAATGGACAGACTGCCTTCTCAAGTGGGTCCCTGACCCCTGAGTAGCCTAACTGGGAGGCACCCCCCAGTAGGGGCAGACTGACACTTCACACGGCCGGGTACTCGTCTCAGACAAAACTTCTAGAGGAACAATCAGGCAGCAACATTTGCTGCTCACCAATATCCGCTGTTCTGTAGCCTCCGCTGCTGATACCCAGGCAAACAGCGTCTGGAGTGGACCTCCAGCAAACTCCAACAGACCTGCAGCTGAGGGTCCTGACTGTTAGAAGGAAAACTAACAAACAGAAAGGACATCCACACCAAAACCCCATCTGTACATGACCATCATCAAAGACCAAAGGTAGATAAAATCACAAAGATGGGGAAAAAACAGAGCAGAAAACCTGGAAACTCTAAAAATCAGAGTGCCTCTCCTCCTCCAAAGGAACGCAGCTCCTCACCAGCAACGGAACAAAGCTGGACGGAGAATGACTTTGAAGAGTTGAGAGAAGAAGGCTTCAGATGATCAAATTACTCCTAGCTAAAGGAGGAAGTTTGAACCCATGGCAAAGAAGTTAAAAATCGTGAAAAAAAATTAGACGAATGGCTAACTAGAATAACCAATGCACAGAAGTCCTTAAAGGACCTAATGGAGCTGAAAACCAAGGAACGAGAACTACGTGACGAATGCACAAGCCTCAGTAGCCACTTCGATCAACTGGAAGAAAGAGTATCAGTGATGGAAGATCAAATGAATGAAATGAAGCGAGAAGAGAAGTTTAGAGAAAAAAGAATAAAAAGAAATGAACAAAGCCTCCAAGAAATATGGGACTATGTGAAAAGACCGAATCTACGTCTGATTGGTGTACCTGAAAGTGACGGGGAGAATGGAACCAAGTTGGAAAACATTCTGCAGGATATTATCCAGGAGAACTTCCCCAATCTAGCAAGGCAGGCCAACATTCAAATTCAGGAAATACAGAGAACGCCACAAAGATACTCCTCGAGAAGAGCAACTCCAAGACACGTAATTGTCAGATTCACTAAAGTTGCAATGAAGGAAAAAATGTTAAGGGCAGCCAGAGACAAAGGTCGGGTTACCCACAAAGGGAAGCCCATCAGACTAACAGCTGATCTCTCGGCAGAAACTCTCCAAGCCAGAAGAGAGTGGGGGCCAATATTCAACATTCTTAAAGAAAAGAATTTTCAACCCAGAATTTCATATCCAGCCAAACTAAGCTTCGTAAGTGAAGGAGAAATAAAATCCTTTACAGACAAGCAAATGCTGAGAGATTTTCTCACCACCAGGCCTGCCCTAAAAGAGCTCCTGAAGGAAGCACTAAACATAGAAAGGAACAACCGGTACCAGCCACTGCAAAAACTTGCCAAATTGTAAAGACCATTGAGGCTGGGAAGAAACTGCATCGACTAACAAGCAAAATAACCAACTAACATCATAATGACAGGATCAAATTCACACATAACAATATTAACCTTAAATGTAAATGGGCTAAATGCTCCAATTAAAAGACACAGACTGGCAAATTGGATAAAGAGTCAAGACCCATCAGTGTGCTGTGTTCAGGAAACCCATCTCACATGCAGAGACACAAATAGGCTCAGAATAAAGGGATGGAGGAAGATCTACCAAGCAAATGGAAAACAAAAGGCAGGGGTTGCAATCCTAGTCTCTGATAAAACAGACTTTAAACCAACAAAGGTCAAAAGAGAGAAAGAAGGCCATTACATAATGGTAAAGGGTTCAATTCAACAAGAAGAGCTAACTATCCTAAATATATATGCACCCAATACAGGAGCACCCAGATTCATAAAGCAAGTCCTTAGAGACCTACAAAGAGACTTAGACTCCCACACAATAATAATGGGAGACTCTAACACCCCACTGTCAACATTAGACAGATCAACAAGACAGAAAGTTAACAAGGATATCCAGGAACTGAGCTCAGCTCTTAACCAAGCAGACCTAATTGACATCTACAGAACTCTCCACCCCAAATCAGCAGAATATACATTCTTCTCAGCACCACACCACACTTATTCCAAAATTGACCACTTACTTGGAAGTAAAGCTCTCCTCAGCAAATGTAAAAGAACAGAAATTATAACAAACTGTCTCTCAGACCACAGTGCAGTCAAACTAGAACTCAGGATTAAGAAACTCACTCAAAACCGCTCAACTACATGGAAACTGAACAACCTGCTCCTGAATAACTACTGGATACATAACGAAATGAAGGCAGAAATAAAGATATTCTTTGAAACCAAAGAGAACAAAGACACAACATACCAGAATCTCTGGGACACATTCAAAGCAGTGTGTAGAGGGAAATTTATGGCACTAAATGCCCACAAGAGAAAGCAGGACAGATCTAAAATTGACACCCTAACATCACAATTAAAAGAACTAGAGAAGCAAGAGCAAACACATTCAAAAGCTAGCAGAAGGCAAGAAATAACTAAGAGCAGAGCAGAACTGAAGGAGATAGAGACACAAAAAACCCTTCAAAAAATCAATGAATCCAGGAGCTGGTTTTTTGAAAAGATCAACAAAATTGATAGACTGCTAGCAAGACTAATAAAGAAGAAAAGAGACAAGAATCAAATAGACGCAATAAAAAATGATAAGGGAGATATTACCACCGATCCCACAGAAATACAAACTGCCATCAGAGAATGCTATAAGCACCTCTACGCAAATAAACTAGAAAATCTAGAAGAAATGGATAAATTCCTGGACACACACCCTCCCAAGACTAAACCAGGAAGAAGTTGAATCTCTGAATAGACCAATAACAGGCTCTGAAATTGAGGCAATAATTAATAGCTTACCAACCAAAAAAAGTCCAGGACCAGATGGATTCACAGCTGAATTCTACCAGAGGTACAAAGAGGAGCTGGTACTATTCCTTCTGAAACTATTCCAATCAATAGAAAAAGAGGGAATCCTCCCTAACTCATTTTATGAGGCCAGCATCATCCTGATACCAAAGCCTGGCGGAGACACAACAAAAAAAGAGAATTTTAGACCAATATCCCTGATGAACATTGGTGCAAAAATCCTGATAAAATACTGGCAAACCAAATCCAGCAGCACATCAAAAACCTTATCCACCATGATCAAGTGGGCTTCATCCCTAGGATGCAAGGCTGGTTCAACATACCAAATCAATAAACATAATCCAGCATATAAACAGAACCAATGACAAAAACCATATGATTATCTCAATAGATGCATAAAAGGCCTTTGACAAAATTCAACAACACTTCATGCTAAAAACTCAATAAATTCAGTATTGATGGGACGTATCTCAAAATAATAAGAGCTATCTATGAAAGACCCACAGCCAGTATCATACTGAATGGGCAAAAACTGGAAGCATTCCCTTTGAAAACTGGCACACGACAGGGATGCCTTCTCTCACCACTCCTATTCAACATAGTATTGGAAGTTCAGGCCAGGGCAATCAGGCAGGGGAAGGAAATAAAGGATATTCAATTAGGAAAAGAGGAAGTCAAATTGTCCCTTTTTGCAGATGACATGATTGTATATCTAGAAAACCCCGTCATCTCAGCCCAAAATCTCCTCAAGCTGATAGGCAACTTCAGCAAAGTCTCAGGTTACAAAATCAATGTGCAAAAATCACAAGCATTCTTATACACCAATAACAGACAAACAGAGAGCCAAATCATGAGTGAACTCCCATTCACAATTGCTTCAAAGAGAATAAAATACCTAGGAATCCAACTTACAAGGGATGTGAAGGATCTCTTCAAGGAGAACTACAAACCACTGCTTAATGAAATAAAAGAGGATACAAACAAATGGAAGAACATTCCATGCTCATGGGTAGGAAGAATCAATATCGTGATAATGGCCATACTGCCCAAGGTAATTTAGAGATTCAATGCCATCCCCATCAAGCTACCAATGACCTTCTTCACAGAATTGGAAAAAACTACTTTGAAGTTCATATGGAACCAAAAAAGAGCCCGCATCGCCAAGTCAATCCTAAGCCAAAAGAACAAAGCTGGAGGCATCACGCTACCTGACTTCAAACTATACTACAAGGCTACAGTAACCAAAACAGCATGGTACTGGTACCAAAACAGAGACATAGACCAATGGAACAGAACAGAGCCCTCAGAAATAACGCCGCATATCTACAACCATCTGATCTTTGACAAACCTGACAAAAACAAGAAATGGGGAAAGGATTCCCTATTTAATAAATGGTGCTGGGAAACTGGCTAGCCATATGTAGAAAGCTGAAACTGGATCCCTTCCTTACACCTTATACAAAAATTAATTCAAGATGGATTAAAGACTTACATGTTAGACCTAAAACCATAAAAACCCTAGAAGAAAACCTAGGCAATACCATTCAGGACATAGACATAGGCAAGGACTTCATGTCTAAAACACCAAAAGCAATGGCAACAAAAGCTAAAATTGACAAATGGGATGTAATTAAACTAAAGAGCTTCTGCACAGCAAAAGAAACTACCATCAGAGTGAACAGGCAACCTACAGAATGGGAGAAAATTTTTGCCATCTACCCATCTGACAAGGGGCTAATATCCAGAATCTACAATGAACTCAAACAAATTTACAAGAAAAAAACAACCCCACCAAAAAGTGAGTGAAGGATATGAACAGACACTTCTCAAAAGAAGACATTTATGCAGCCAAAAGACACATGAAAAAATGCTCATCATCACTGGCCATCAGAGAAATGCAAATCAAAACCACAATGAGATACCATCTCACACCAGTTAGAATGGCAATCATTAAAAAGTCAGGAAACAACAGGTGCTGGGGAGGGTGTGGAGAAATAGGAACACTCTTACACTGTTGGTGGGACTGTAAACTAGTTCAACCATTGTGGAAGTCAGTGTGGCGATTCCTCAAGGATCTAGAACTAGAAATACCATTTGACCCAGCAATCCCATTACTGGATATATACCCAAAGGATTATAAATGATGCTGCTATAAAGACACATGCACACGTGTGTTTATTGCAGCACTATTCACAATAGCAAAGACTTGGAACCAAGCCAAATGTCCATCAATGATAGACTGGATTAAGAAAATGTGGCACATATACACCATGGAATACTATGCAGCCATAAAAAAGGATGAGTTCATGTCCTTTGTAGGGACATGGATGAAGCTGGAAACCATCATTTTCAGCAAACTATCGCAAGGACAAAAAAACCAAACACCACAAGTTCTCACTCAGGTGGGAATTGAACAATGAGAACACATGGACACAGGAAGGGGAACGTCACACACTGGGGCCTGTTGTGGGGTTGGGGGAGAGGGGACGGATAGCATTTGGAGATATACCTAATGTTAAATGACGAGTTAGTGGGTGCAGCACACAAACATGGCACATGTATACATATGTAACTAACCTGCACATTGTGCACGTGTACCCTAAAACTGAAAGTATTAAAAAAAAGAAATAAGATATCTGGAAAATCTCCAAATACTTGGAAATTGAACAATACACCCATGTGTCAAAAAGAAGTTTACAAGGGAAATAGAACAAATTTAAGGTGAACATAAATGAAACTGTAACATGTCAAAATTTGTGGGACCCAGCAAAAGCCCAGAGAGAAATTTACAGCCTTAAATAAGTTAATGTCTGCACAGCGCAAAGTGCTTTGCGCATGGTAAGTGCTCACAGAGCGTTAGCTCTTACTGTTATTAGGTGTGTATCAGTACCCTCATTTACAAAATGACAAAGTTGCCACATTATCATTATTGGTTCCTATGCAGTAGATGCTGCAACTTTGTCACTTTGAAGATATTATAAGAAGAGGTGGGATTTAAACCCAAGCAGTCCGACACCAGGTAAGTTCTCTAAACCACTGCATCATGCTACATCTAGATGTTGAGTGTTTTACAAGTCACATTGCTAGTATCAGAGGCAAGACTCAAATGTAAGCCTTCTTTGAGTAGTTCATTATCCACTTTACCATGATGTCTATTCTAATTATACAGGTTTGATCTGTCTTATCTCACAAATTACACTGTGTCTTTCTTCAAGAGAGAAAATGGTATCATCTATTTATTTCCCTGGTAAATCCTCGGGAGAGCTCCTCTGCTGAATGGATTGTCAATATATGTATTGATTAAAATACAGTAACTTGAGGGGAAACTCAAGTCAATGAGGAAATATATATGTATTTTACATGTTTATCGTTGTCTTAAAAAATAAAAATAAAATAAAATAAAACTTAGCTGTCTACTTCTACCTCTTAGGAGAGTGGCCATTTTTAGCAAGCAAGCATTTTGCCTGAGGAGCACATACTAGCTCCTTTTTATTCTCCTCTACTCCAGAAAAGCTTCTCATTTCTATTAATCTGTGATCTATTAATAATAATCATTCACTTGTTTCATGACAGGTGGTTAAATGTGATTTGACATTACTCAAAGTAAACAACTGATTAATCAGTATATGACAGTGGGCAATCACTGTTCAAAGCTAATAGCATAATGGAAGGTAATATGCTGTACTTGGATTTCATGAGTTACAGCCAAATATTGTAGGTAGAGGAGGGTTGTAAAACATGCGCTTTGGAAAAGTACCTTCCTTTGAAAGGTTGTCTTTGAATTACACTGACAAAGCATTCATCCCCACTTTCACTAAAGGTTTTACTTGAATGTTTTCTGTTATTGGCTGTGTCTCATGCAGAGATTTTCAGAGGAATAAAAGTTCATCTATTTTAATAGTTTTAATGGTTGCTATACAAATGGATAAAAGCCACACATCTGTTGTAGTCATCATCACTAAAAGTACTATTATATGCAAAATTATAACCTGGGAGTAGGAAATAGAAGCTCTTATCTTTGAATGAATTGTTTCACGTTCTTTGCTGGTGTTGCAGTCAGACAACATCTGAAAGGTTTGGCTGAACAACTTACACCTTTCACTTAGATATCTCCTATTTGAAAAACTAAGCTAATGCTCCATTTTGCTACATAGGAATTGCCGGAGACATGATAAAGTAGGAAGAAATACCTGAGCTGGAGTCCTACTCCTCCCACTTGCCTGGGCCACCCCAGTCTAGTTTGTCTCTGATCCTTTTTACAATTCTGTAGGACAGAGATTTTTATCAGCCTCATGGGATTGTCATGAGAATTAAACAAATAGTATATGTACAGCACACAGTCCATGATAAACATTCAGGATAGATTTGTTTCCTTCGGTTTTGACACATAAATTATACTTCCCTTCTGCAAGTGGTTGTTTTATCATTTTCTAAAATCATGTGAGTTTGAATGCAAAAACATGAGAATGTCAGCTTTAAAACATACAAATGAGAACCAGTTTGAAAAAGGAATTTAGTTGGAAACCCAGCTTCATGCCTCCTCTGCAGCTCTCCCAGTGGAAATGGAAATTCCTTGTGGCTTAGAGGAAAGCCAGTATAGGCCGCAGAGTCAACAAAGCAAAACTGTCATTGCATTACTTTGTTCTTGGTGGTGTGACACATAAGTACACTCCCTTTTGTTGGTTTGTCGTGTCTTTGAGTAGTAAGTGAATACTGTGAGTTCCCTTTAACTCTGATTATGTGCCTTTTGTTATCTCGATTAGTGATTATCAAAGCGGATGGCTCCACATGCCCCAGAGATTGCACTAACAGTTCATCCGTAGAAGCATGGAAAGAAAATATTAGAGCTGTTATTTATTCATCTAAAAATAAGGAGATTTAGTTTTACTAATAGTATTGGCCTTTACAACCTTCCAGGGTCTGTGTCAGCCTCAGTACTCCAGATATCCCGAGGGAGGAGATAGGAGTTCCTCAACTTGTAGGGCTTGGCATACATGCGCTCACCTGTTCATTCACGTAAAGCTTAGTGTAGTATATGTGTTCCTGGTTACAGTATCTAGATTTAGTTAAACCCTCACGAAATAGCGTGTTTCCCCACACACTGAAGGTGATAGAAAAATATAAGCACATATGACAAAAGATAATGGCAGAGCTGGCATCCCCCTCCTCCTGGAACAAGTGCCACATTACAAGGGAAAAACAGTGATGAACCAGTCTAATCTCACAGAAAATGGATCCATAAAAGTTATCAGGAAGACTTTTAGGCACTATGGATTTAATATTCACTGTAATAAACGATGCATCTTACCGTGGGTGAATACTGTGCTTGCTGATGGTCATGTGAAATTGCTGTGATTAGTAATCTGTAATTACCCAGATTATTTTCAATGACATTTTAATGAGTACAAAAAACATGTTTTGTATCATTGGTTTTTTTAATCTAATTGATTTTATCTTTATCTCATTCTTTTAAATTTATTTTATGAACATTTTATAATATGTAAAACATCAGTGCTGTAGTATATTGCATGATTTATAAAGAACTAGAACATATATTGCAAGCACATCCTCATTTTTTTACTTGTAGATGTGTACAACTTGAAAAGTTTGGAAACCTCTGGTCTGGATTCTGACTGATCATCAAAATCACCTGGAGAGCCTGATGTATAATAGAAGGTCCCTGACTAGGCCCTGGGATCAGAATTTCACAAGGCTTCTCAGCTACTTCTGATGATCAGCCATGCTTGAGAACTACTCCTTGTCTGTATGATCTACTGCTATAAACAAAACAAAAATCCAGTAGTGAAATATCAGCTTTCAGCATGTTAGAAAGAAAAAAAAAATTCAGTAAGCCTAAAGCATATGTAACATCTATCTACTTTTTAATTACCATTTTTTTATTTTTTAGAATGTGTTTTTAACAGATATGCTCCTACTTTTTAAATATTTTTTGGTCAAAGAAGATAATATGCATAGGTGTTAGATTGACCCATATGAAATTTCTAACATTAAACCATTTTTTTACCAACAAAATTGGCATTTCATATGGTTAACCAATTCTTTTCTCAGAAAAACTATGCTCAGTTTACAACCTGTGAAGATATTTACACAAAAGGAAAGCATTTATTTTGTGTATTCATTGTTGCATATTTTAAAAATAGGATTTTAATCTATTACAATATGTTTTGCTATCTGTGTTGTGTCTTTTTTCAGATATTTATTCACTATATTATAAAAATCAATTTTTGGACCTGCTGTGTCTAAACTCTGTGAACAAAATATTAATCCCAGAAACTCAAAAAGAACTTAAAATCCGACATGGGGAAGAACAAGGCCCACAGGCACGTAGCGAAAAGCCCACTTGTGGACAAAATAAGCAGCTTGCAAAGTAGCTGGTGGTGCCAGCAAACTGCTTGAGAAAGAAATGGTTTATCTGGAATCACAAGCAGTGTCACCAGCCATGAGCTGCCTTTGTTCTCACTCATTGCCACAGAATTGTGAGGCACATGCTTGTTAATGGCTGTGGCGCCAGCTAAGTCTCTTTACCTTCCAGAACAAATGCATTTAGTGGCATTTATGTAATATAGTGTACTTTCCACTAGAATGGATAAGACAAAAGTTATTGTACTCTTAAACAATTAGCATTTAGGAGAGTAATTCTGAAAGAAAATGCATAAAAACGTTTGTGAAGGATTGTTTGTAACTTAATATATTTTACCTATAAAATAGAAGACATAAAAGGTAATGCTCAACTTTACAAAAACACAATAATTTTTTATATTTTTGCATGTCTGACTATAAACACCTAAATGTTATTCTCTTGAATTTAAAAGGGATCTGCAGTCTTCTTGATTTATGAACATTGTGGTTTTAAAAATAATTTGCTGAAAAATGATGTTTTGTTTTCATTTTTTAGTGACAAATATTTAGGGACCGTGTATTTCCAGAATGCTACTGTGTTAATATCTTGCTGCATACTTTGGGCTGTGCTATAACATGAAGCAAAAGTAATTATAGGTTGCTATTTGTTATCCCTGGTGATCATGATAAGGGAAATGTGGCTAAATTCATAGATAATCCCCAAAACATCATTTTAGCCATTAGTTTCAAATTCTTTCCTGTTAAGCCCTTTTGAGAGAGAGAGAGAGAGAGAGAGAGAGAGAGAGAGAGAGCTAATATTAAGCTTCAAAAGTGATAGGCTTTAGGGTTTAGCTTTCTCTCCCGACTTTCTGTTGGATACTGCTCTATAAACGAAATATAAATGCAAGGTCAGGCAGCACAAGAAAGAGTAGAATTCAGGAGGCTACTTAATTCACAGAATGAATAATCAGCCCTGGATATTGAGGGGTTGCCTCTGATTCGGCTATCAAACCCAACGGAGAGCAAACTGCGTTTAGGAGGGCTAGTGAATTAAAAGCCGGGTCACTGTAGGAATGGAATCATGATAGTTTGACTACCATGTGAGAAAGGCGGCTACTAAAAATACATTTCATACCTCTTCTTGTTTAAAAAATAACACTTTACATTACAGGTGATCTCCTTCTTTAGCTCAAGGTTGCTGCAAGCTGGAGCTGAGCTGTCAGTGGAACGGGTCCTGGAAATCATTAAGCAAGGCGTCGTTGCGCTGCCCAAAGACAGACTGAAGGTAAGAAGGCTAAAGAAATGTCCACTTGACACTGCCGTGTCCCTTGATGTAAATGTTAGTGTCTTAGCAGACCCTATCCAGAATCATGCTGCTTATCCAGTACATAGACTAGAAGGGCTCCTCAGAACTGTGACAAAGGTTTCTGACAGCTTTTCAAAAGAAGCATTAATACTTTCATGCCACTGCATATCCTACAAGTAGCCATGGCATGCACTATAATTCATATACTGTTAATAAAAGGACACCTTATTTTTTTAACCCAGTGAAACAAATTCGGCCTTAAGAGTATCATCAAGAGTTAATGGGAAGGTGATGATGAAGATGATCACAAGAGTAGCTAATATTTCCATAGTGTGACTCAGTGCCACACAGGTTCTAAATGTGTTATATCAAGCTCATTCAGTCCCTACCACAGCCCTTTGCGGTGGGTAGTGGTATCATCCTAATTTTTCAGATGAGGAAACTGATGTACAGTGAGGTTAAGAAACTTAGCCAAAGCCATACAACTGGAAAATGATGGAGCCTGCAGATTGAAACCCAGGAAGTCTATCTCCAGTGCCCACATTCATAATTGCTGCACTGTTTACTGTGTGCCTGGGATGTAATAGTGGAAAGAGATGCACTTCGTGGAGAAGGTGGGGGAAGTGCTGTATTTGAAGAAGGCATTTACATCTGTTTGATAGATGTATTCCTGAAGCAGTCTCACAATATAAAACTCATACTTCAAGACTAATTATCCCATAAGAAAAAGATGTAAAGAAGATCCTTTGGGGAATGCATGAATGTACAGCATTGCAGCTTACTTTTACTTTACTGTTCTTTTTAGTTTTTTCTTCATTAGCTCTAATTTTTTAGAGTGCTTTCACCTAAATTACCAACACAGGAGGTCATAGTGGATATTTGGCCTTCATAGTGTTTTGTCACAGTTCACGTCTGTTCCAGTGTTGTTACTGTTTTTGGGGGCTATGTTTTTCAGCACTATCACTAGAACCACTGCTTAATGAATGCTTGAGAGATATTGTTGTAGGATATAAAAATATTTTCAATTATAATAACAGAGTTTGTAAAATAACAGCACATTAGTCATCATAATCATTTACTGAAGTTCCACTGTACATAAACAACAGGGAGATTCACACGGTACTGTGCAAAGATGGCAAATGTTCTGTTTATCAGCCAAAGTGGCACCACCATGTGGTAATAGCATAAAAACAGGTTAGAGTTCACTGGGCCCTCCAGCTTGGATGTGTTCCTATTCCAGATAATTTTTTTAAATATAGAGAATTCATATTGTTTCCATTTTTACATAAAGTAAGACCTTGGTTTGTTGGTTGGTTTGGGGGTATTTTTGTGGGATTTTTTTGAACTATTTCAAATTTATGTAAACTATACCATGTGAACCAGTACAAAAAAATCTATGAAGATTAAAGTGGCTACTCCCAGGAAGTGATGGATCTTGGTGTGTAAGCTCAGTCAAGAACAAAGTAGAAATATCGAGGCTGCCAAAAAAGGACACTGCAATGGAGTCTGGGGAAGGTTAATCTTGTAGTTCACTGTAATACTTACCTTAAAGCAAAATGAATTACAGTGTGCAGGCTAAGTGCTGGAATGTTAATATTTGTTCATTTATTATACTATATTCAAAAATAAAATGTCATTTATATTTGAGACAGTGACATATAAACAAAAATGTAACTCTTTTCGTTTTTCAGAATTATGGCTAAATAGAGAAAATAATTGATCTATGGTGGGTCCCAGGCAAGTTGACTCTGATTTAGAGCAAGATCCTATTGAGGCCAAGGTCATGGGTAAATTTCTTAAGAGGGCCAGTTAATTTGGTTCTGGAACATAGCAAGAAGTTGTACTCCTGACCTCAGCTTGCCAACTCACTTCATGGTTGCAAAAGGATAGAAGATGGATGATTCAGTTTAAAAACAAAACAAAAAAAAAAAAACACTATCACCAGTACTAGAAAAGATTACATTTACTAAAATTACATTTACCCACAGATGGTGAGTCATCCTAGTTGGTTTAAATGATAGCATATTATTACCACAGATGTTACTAGAAATAAAAGGCTGTTTATCCTTACAATCAAGCCTTATCTCAATTATTTTAATCATCTTTTTGGATTGAGTGTTTATAATAAAATGAGTCACTTAAAATCTCTAGAGTTTAATTCACAGAATACCACGGTATCTAAAGTTGATTCAAAATTCAAGCTGTGTTGAGTAATGTTTACATGATACTACATGACAGCACATTATAGTCTTTGGAGTAGTTTACTAATATATACTGATAAAATAATTGTCGGGTGTGTAATAATAGTTTCATACATGATATTGATGTAAAAGAGTTGGTTTCAAATTGGAAATGCTGTCTTAATAAGCCCTCTATGAAAATGTGGAATAATATATACTAATTGATTTGTTGTTTCTTAAAATATATAAATTAAACACTTAGAAACTCAGAATTCTTTACTACTACCTTCTGGGTTGTTAAGAGGATCACAGCGCCCCTTACTCATGAAAAATTCACCAGCTAATGTCAGCTGAAGCCGATGAGCCAAAAGTTTTAGAACTTTCCCTTGCATTGTAGAATTGAAGCCAACTTTGTAGAAGTAGTATTCTTCCAATTTTGGGCAAGTAAACAGTAAGATCTGGAAGCCCATGGAAGAGTAATTGACTTCCAACCAAATAAAATATTTTTCAATCAAATATTATTTGACATAGCCTTCTAAAATATTTGTGTAATATCCTATGTGGGAATGCATACTATTTGGATAAATCTGTCTATATAGTTAAACAACTTGGCTGTTCAGAGTAAATAGTATTAATATCATTCTAAACATTCTCTTCTTACTGGTATTCTGTGAAGTCTGGGAAAGGCAATACCAGGTAATTATTTTTTCCGGAGCCTCCTGCTTAAACAGAGACCTAAAGAACAGGCTCTGAAATCCTGAGTCACTTATTTCTCCTTTAGGATTTGGAAGGAAATAAATAAAGTTAGTATGTCCTCTGGGAGCCGACTTAGAAGCCGCAGCTCAAAGCTCTCACTGTCTGTATCCACAACAGGGCATGTTCCTGGCTCGCATTTTGCTTACTGTGGAGCAATTTGAATGTCATGGTGATGGGTCAGAATTCTTCCAGATCCGTGCGTGTTCTCATACCACTACCACCTCAGATTTTATTATGTTGGGCTCTCAAGTCCCCTCTTTTCTTCAGTTTAGTGAATTATCTATGTCATTTGAGGATTAAGAATTTTACTGTATTTAGTGTTTGAAAACTAGGTAGTGCTTTTCAAGGGGAATTAACCAGAAGATAACTTATCTTTTAGTGTAAATAAGAAAGTGTGGAATAATATGTTATTGACATTAACCAAACTTCATTTACTCAAGACACTTGATAAGTCATAGGAATTAAAAGTAATTACCAGTTTCACACTAAATGATTTTTAAAGCCTTTATTTTATATCCACTTTTTAGAATACTTTCATGGTTGTTTTTAGTTGCATAAAGAAAAATATAAAAAATCATATCAACTAACTTGCTTAAAACCTTTCACTTTGCTCCTATTCAGGGGTCTCTTCCCTATCTCACCCTAAGCATCTTTCGTTTCTTTGTCAGTTCTCTATCCCCAGAGCAGATTCCTGAGTGCTGTACTGGGAGGGCCCCTTGGGGTCCCACAGGAACAACCCCCATGTGTCCACAGTCACTCTCTTCTGCCTCCCCACACATCCACACTCCTCGTGTATCTCTACCTGTGGAAATATGAATAGCCAGCATCCTCCCTCTAACTCAAAAGTACTGTTAGATCCCAAACCCTAGAAATTCTCATTTCTCAAGTCATTCCTTTCCCTCCACGTTGCCGCCCTCCCATGTGGCTGCTCCACATTTCTCCCACAGTCTATTGCTATAAACTCCTAATTGGGGTCTCCACTTCCACATCCTTCTTCCTCCCCAGGTGTTCTTAGCCCTGTTGCCACCCTTACACCCTGCTCTGATCCAGCACACAAGGCACTTCATGGCCTAACTCCTGACTTAAGTTGTGTTCTTTTTCCTCCTACGGATCCTGTGCTCCAACGCTGTCAGCCGCTGGCCGATCGTCAGGTGGACAGAGTCCTTGCATGCCAGGCCTTTGTGTATGCAGCTTCTGGGTTCTCACAGTTTCATGGCTTGTCTGTCAGGTGAGCCGATCATGCTCCCCGCTTTCTATGAAGCCCACTCTGATTCACCCACGCACACTCGGTGGTTTTCTCCACATTCCTATGGCACACGTATGTCCCTCCATTATAGCAAAACCATCCCCCAGCACACCCATCTCATTCAATACATATTCGTGGGGTAAATTAACTTCACCCTGCCTCTGGATTCCTATTTCTCTCCTTCTTCTCAGCCAAAATCTTGATTTCTCCTTTGGTCCTTCAACTCTCCTTATTCACTGCACAGCATTAGTGCAGAACATTAAAGGAGGGACTCCCAGTGAGGAGTGAGGCTTTTCTCCATGGCTTGCTGTCCCAAGGACCTCTCAGCCCAGGCTCTCTGGTGGAAGACTAAGGGTCTCTTACCGCTAAGCTTTCCCTGCTAGTTGGTTTTCCTGTATTTGGCCCTTCTCCTTCTACCACCCTTCTCCTTCTGTCCCCAGATTTGCTTCTCAGGATGTATGCACCCACCTGTCCCTTTACATTAATTTGCATCATCATCATCATCACCGATATCACCTATAATATACAAGCAAAGCATCTCTTACAAATGTGGTTTGTTTCTTCCTACTGCAGCTCGTTATTTTACCCCCACTTTGACCACAACATTGCTAGGACGTTGGGGAAACAGAAGTGTGTAAGACACCACCTCTGCCCTCAGAAAAATGTATCATCTTTCAGGAGAGAAAGGCACCCCCTTGCGTTGCAGAGCTGAGTAGAGCAGGGCACTTTACGCTGCGTGTAAAATGAATGGTGTAGAAGTTAAGTTCTGGAAGAAGGAGTGGAGACACTGCTGGGAAGAACTAGTCAGGGAACACTGAAGAGAAACCTGGACTTGACCTTCTCTGTCTTAAAGGGATGGTAAGGTTTCCATAAAGCTGGGATGAAAGAGAAATCCAGATGGGGAAATCTGTGTGTGAGTACAAGAGAAGGCCCAAGGCAAGTTCAGCTTAGTGTCCAACTGGAACAATAGGACTCCCCTATTTCTCTCTGCTGTATTAATGTGGCTTGTATTATTTAATGGTACAGTAAAGTAATTAGTGGTTTTCAAACTCTTTAGACTGCCACCCACAGCAAAAAATACATTTTACATCATGATACAATTCACACATTTATATACAACTGAAATGAAAGTTTGATAAAACAGTACTTACCATCATTAAATGTGATGGGCTCCGATATTGCCTATTCTGTTTTCTTTTTTTAAAATTGCTAGTCAGACCCATTAAATTGATTTAATGATCCAGTATTATTTAGTAACTCAGAGAGTTTTAAAAATAATGTGTCAAGGCTGGGCGCAGTGGCTCACACCTGTAATCCCAGCACTTTGGGAGCTGGAGGCGGGCAGATCACGAGGACAGGAGTTTGAGACCAGCCTGACCAATGTGATGAAACCGAGATCATGCCACTGCACTCCAGCCTAGGGGACAGAGCGAGACTCCATCTCAAAATAAATAAATAAATAAATAAATATTAAATCACTGTTTTTCAAAGTGTGATCCTCATAGCATCATCAGCATCCCCTAGGAACTTGCTAGAAATGGAGGTTCTCAGGCCCTACCCCAGACCCATGGAATTAGAATCTATGGGGCTGGGGCAGTCAGCGCTTTAACATCAGCCGCTGTGTGAACTGATGCCTGCTCCAGTTTGAGAAGCACAGTACTAGGTAATTGCTCCAAACACACCAGCCCTCTCCACTCGTAGAGCCTTGCCTGGCTCACTCTCCCTGCTCCAGATATCTGCTGGCCTCATTCCTGCATGTCCTTCAAGTCTTTACTCTCATGAGCAAATGAAATCTCTCTCTCCATCATGCCTGCCCGACCTTCCAGGTAACATTTCTGCACTCCCAGCCCCCCAATCCTACTGTATGTTTTCTTGTTCCGCAGCATTGTCATCTAGCATACTGTATAATTATTTATTATTATCCTCCTAGATAATGTAAGCTCCAGGAGGCCAGGGGTCTTCATATTTTGTTTACTGGGGTATCTGAAGTGTACCTGGTACATACTGGGCACTTTAATATTTGCTGAATGGGAGGGAGGGAGGAAATGAGAAAGAGAGGGATACCAACGAACAATGGGCCTGTTGACCATAAAGTGCTGCTTCAAGAAAACATTCTTTGAAGAACAGCTCTCCATAGACTCTTAAAAGGTCAGCTTTTATTCCAAAATATTATAAAGAAGCTCAGTTAAGACTGGAGGTCTTGGTCACTTTGTTGGAATAGTTGCTTTTTAAAAGTCTACATTATTCCACATTTATGCATTCTTATAGCTACAAAACCCTACTGTGAAGACCTCCACTTTAGTAGTTCTCATCAATAAGCTAATTCCTATGTAAATTGGCCTAACTAAATTTTCAATAGTTTCTCAGTGGTTCTCTTCTTGACTGTCACCTGCAGTGATTTCATAGTTCAAGCAGAGTAAAATATTCTGATTTATGGTATTAGGATAAATTTTTCCAGTGATCTCATTTTTTCCTATTTCTGAACCTTTCTCAGAGGGTGAAGAGCATGGAGGGCCTGTCAGGCTCTATGAGAGTCCAATAAAGAGCCACTGTTTGCTTTTTCTGGTTCATTCTCTCTACTTTCCCTGATCCATGTAGAGCATGTGTATGTTCAGGGCCTGACAGAAAGTCGAGGAGACCGAGTGCCTGACACCGTCCACCAGCCCAACAGCAAAACCTCTTCTTCAGACTAAATCTGCTTCTAGCTTATAGCTACTTTAATTGTACAAATGACGTCATTTGACTTTTTTCTCCTGTTTTTATTTTTATCACTTTAGACTTTTAAAAAATTGTTTTCTCTCTTTCCTGAAATATTGTTACCTTTTTGCTGGGGGATGAGAGCTAGGAAGCATTCAGCATAAAGGAGATAGCTCTGTGCTGGGCTTCTATCCTCAAAGGAGAGATGACATTTCTGCCATTTCACCGGGCCCAAAATGTTCTCTGCAGAATTCAACAATCACAGTGGCTCTCCCTCCCATTCTGACTCTCCTTGAGTTTCTTGTCCAATAAAGACAAAGATCAAGTCTTATAAGTTACTTCTGCCTCCCATGGAATAGTAAACACAGGCTTATAAATGGATCCGGAAACTGCTAGAATAATGTAATACCTGATTCTTAGAACCATTTAGTCCTCATATGAGAAATTTTATGTTATGAACTCCATGGTCTGACATGCACACGTGCACACACACACACATTTGCAGGATGTTGGTACAGCTTTCCAAGTCACCAGTTCTACATATTGAGAAGGAAGCAAATGGGAAATCTTAGCCAAGGCCAGTCCCTCAGTTGAATCCCTCCAGAGTCATTTTGCAGGACAAGGACTGTAGAAAGGCATAATAGAACACCCATAATGTTGATACTAGAATCTCTTCTGTATTGGGGTTATCTAAGAAGGAATCTGGTCACATTGATTCTCCCTCCATCAAAATGAGGATTTCAAGAGAATTCTCTTAATTAATGAACAGTCACCTGGAGCACTCTTTTCATATGCAGGTTCCGGATCCCACCTGAGATTCTAACCTAGTAGACTGGTGATGAACTCAGGAATCTGTCTGGTTAAACAGTTCTTTGAGCAGTGCTGATAACCTGCCAGATTTGGGAACCACTACTGTATGGACCAGTTTTCTTCAATTCCCTGCCCTCACAAAAACTAAGGAGATGATGGCTAGGATTAACAGTTGGCCTTGATAAGGTTGGAGCTGTTTTCTCCAACTTCCCTACAAAAGACAGAGAACTTTCACTTTGTGATCCTTAAAGTAGATTCCTTTAAAGTAGAAAATATTTTACATGTAACCCAAATATAAGATGAGAATTACTTTAAAATGAGACAGAGTAGTAAAATTCCATTAATAAAGTCTGTGGCCTTTTAAATGTTGCATATGCTTTTCAGTCTGACATAAGTATCCCTCTTTTGACTCAACTTCCTTTTTCTTTGTTGTTTACTATTCAGTTAACATTAATTGAGCACTTGCTCTATACCAGGTGCTCTGGTAGGTATTTTTATATAGGTGATCTCATTTAGTCTCCCTAGCAATTCTATGAGGTGTAAGCATAATTTCCATTCTGCAAGTGAGGAAACTGAGGCTAAGGAGTTCTTTGGAGCCAGGTGCAGTGACTCATACCTGTAATCCCAGCAGTTTGAGAGGCTGAGGCAGGAGGATCACTTGATCTCAGGAGTTTGAGACCAGCCTGGAAAACATAACAAGACCTCATCTCTACTAAAACGCCCCCCTAAAATATTAGCCAGGTGTGGTGGTGCACACCTGTAGTCCCAACTATTCAGGGGGCTAAGGCAGGAGGATCGCTTGTGCCCTGGAAATTGAGGCTGCAGTGAGCCCTGATCCTACCACTGTACTCCACCCTGGGTGACAGACAAGATTATTTTAGTCCCTCTTATCTTTGAGCCATGAATTTCAGCTATTCCTTCTTTCAGATCCTAAATTTTTGCTTCCTCTTAACCCATTTGCTTATTAGACCAATTTGTGTAACTGAAAGCATACATAATACACCAAATTAAGTCCTTGAGTTTGACAATATTTGTACTCAGTGTTGTAGAGTAACCTTTGAAATGTTTGAAAGTTATGTCCATTGCTGCTTTATGGAGTACTGTTTAAAAAAGGCTGTTAGGCCTTTTTTTTTTTTTTTTTAAGTTCTAGGGTACATGTGCACAATGTGCAGGTTTGTTACATATGTATACATGCACCATGTTGGTGTGCTGCACCCATTAACTTGTCATTTACATTAGGCATATCTCCTAATGCTATCCCTTCCCCCTCCCCCTACCCCACAACAGGCCCTGGTGTGTGATGTGAAATGGGGAAAGGATTCCCTATTTAATAAATGGTGCTGGGAAAACTGGCTAGCCTTATGTAGAAAACTGAAACTGGATCCCTTCCTTACACCTTATACAAAAATTAATTCAAGATGGATTAAAGACTTAGGTGTTAGACCTAAAACCATAAAAACCCTAGAAGAAAACCTAGGCAATACCATTCAGGACATAGGCATGGGCAAGGACTTCACATCTAAACACCAAAAGCAATGGCAACAAAAGCCAAAATTGACAAATGGGATCTAATTAAACTAAAGAGCTTCTGCACAGCAAAAGAAACTACCATCAGAGTGAACAGGCAACCTACAGAATGGGAGAAAATTTTTGCAATCTACTCATCTGACAAAGGGCTAATATACAGAATCTACAAAGAACTCAAACAAATTTACAAGAAAAAAACAACCCCATCAAAAAGCAGGCACAGGATATGAACAGATATTTCTCAAAAGAAGACATTTATGCAGCCAAAAGACACATGAAAAAATGCTCATCATCACTGGCCATCAGAGAAATGCAAATCAAAACCACAATGAGATACCATCTCACACCAGTTAGAATGGCAATCATTAAAAAGTCAGGAAACAACAGGTGCTGGAGAGGATGTGGAGAAATAGGAACACTTTTACACTGTTGGTGGGACTGTAAACTAGTTCAACCATTGTGGAAGTCAGTGTGGCGATTCCTCAAGGATCTAGAACTAGAAATACCATTTGACCCAGCAATCCCATTACTGGGTATATACCCAAAGCATTATAAATCATGCTGCTATAAAGGCCTTTCTTGTACATAATATTGAAATTGCAGTAAACATACAATGGCTTAATGTCATATTTACTTTTGGCTAATCATTCTTGATAAACAGGCTAGCCCATGATATTCATTATAATGTCTTACATTATTTTTGTTTAATTAAATATGTGGTAGATGTGTAAGCAATTTTTAAGCAGTTTTATTCTTTGCAATGGATAAGCAAATTAAGCATAGTTTTTACTTTGTAATCCTAGAGTAGAAAAATTTAGTCTTTATTATTATTGCATCTTGAATGTAGTCATAAACTAAAACACTTAATTGAAAAGTGATAAATATCTAATTTTTTTGGTAGCAAAATAAATCTTGCCCAGTATTTTAGTTTGTTCAGGCTGCTATAACAAAATACTTTAAACTGGGTAGTGTGTAAATAACAGAAATTTGTTTCTCAGAGTTCTGGAGACTGGGAAGTCTAAGATCAACATGTCAGCAGATTTAGTGTCTGGTAAGGGACTGCTTCCTGGTTTATAGATGGCCATCTTCCTGCTTTATCTTCCACATGGCAGAAGGGGTAAGGGAGCTTTCTGGAGTCTCTTTTATTTTTATGTATTTTTTTTTTATTTTTATTTTTTGACATGAGCTTCACTCTGTTACCCGGGCTAGAGTGCGGTGGCATGATCTCAGCTCACTGCAACCTCCACCTCCTGGGTTCAAGCAATTCTCCTACCTCAGTCTCCCGAGTCGCTGGGATTACAGCTACGCACCACCATGCCTGGCTAATTTTTGTATTTTTAGTAGTGATGGGGTTTTCCTATGTTGGCCAGGCTGATCTCGAACTCCTGACCTCAGGTGATCCACCCACCTTAGCCTCCCAAAGTGCTGGGATTACAGAGCCACCGCGCCCAGCCCTGCAGTCTCTCTTTTGAGGGCACTAATCCCCTTCATGAGGCTCCACCTTCATGCCCTAATTATTTCCCCAAAGCCTCACCTCCAAATACTATCACACTGGAGATTAGGATTCCACATATTAACTTTAGGGGAACACATTCAATCTATGGCACCTAGTTCTCCAGACCATGGTGCTGTGGTTTGAATGTCCCCTCCAAACGTATGTTGAGACTTAATTCCCCAGTGCAGCCGTATTGAGAGGTGGGGCCTTTAAAGTGTGATTGGATCATGAGGGCTCTGCTCTTGTGACTAGATTAATCCATTCATGGAGTAACGGCTAATGGATTAATGGGTATCATGGGAGGGGGACTTGTGGCTTTATAAGAGGAGAAAGAGAGGCCTGAGCTAGCACATTTAGCCCCCTCCCCATGTGATGCCCTGCACTGCCTTGGGACTCTGCAGAGGGTCTCCACCAGCAAGAACACCCTCACCAGATGCAGCCCAACCTGGGACTTCTAAGCCTCCATATCTGGAAGAAATTCCTTTCTTAAAATAATTACCCAGTTTCAGGTATTCTCTTATAAGCAGCAGAAAATGGACTAGGACACATGATTTCCAATGACTGCAGGACCCAAGTTCACAATGCAAGGGCAGTTCTGGAAAAGGCTGGCATTCTTCAGTAGGAAAGGAAACATTAAGCTGTGTGATTTTACCTTGAAATCCCCGCTATTAGTTTTGATAGAATTTTCTTTGGTCAGAAATGTGTCATTCACAAACTAAAATTTCCTAAAAAGATAACTGTGGTGCTTAAAAAAATAGAACCAGTTGCCAGGAGCAGTGGCTCATGCCTGTAATCCCAGCACTTTGGGAGGCCAAGGCGGGTGGATCACCAGTCAGACGTTCAAGAGCAGCCTGGCCAAGATGGTGAAACCCCGTCTCTACTAAAAATACAAAAATTAGCCAGGCGCGGTGGCAGGTGCCTATAATCCCAGCTACTTGGGAGGCCGAGGCAGGAGAATCACTTGAACCCGGGCAGCAGAGGTTGCAGTGAGCTGAGATCACACCACTGCACTCCAGCCTGGGTGACAGAGTGAGACTCCATCAAAAAAAAAAAAAAAAAAAAAGGACCAGTTGTCCTTATTCATCTGCCTCAATTTTGACTCTTCTGTTAGATTTGTCCAAATGTTGGACCAGTATTTCAGGGAACTTCCTAATCTCTGACTAATATAATGTCAGTTACTGGATTGTGAAAATCACTCCCAGCATGTTCTACTTGCCCCACTTGAAGAATATCCACTATTTTTAAAAACCCTAACATTAAAAATGGTAAGTTGGAGACGATTTGTGTCTAGAAATGATCTTTGCACATCAAAGCATGTTCTTTCAAATAGAAATTACCCTATTAGATTTAAAATATGAAATAGTTCACTTAAAGTCACCTTTTCTTTAGCATTAGATAAGTTAAACTTGAGATGGGTTTGGTATTAAATTATATTGTTGCTCACTAGTCTCACAGTGAGATTGGAGGGAACATATTTTATACCCAATTTCGGAAGTTTATTGAGTCATAAGAGTAATCCCTGTTTTTGGTCATACATTGTATCTAGAACATAGTCAAGGTCTCATCTACTAATAAAGCTACACCCCTTCTTCTTTTTCAGTGTAAATTGAGAGATCATATATACAAATAAACTATAGATGTATACTGTAAAATAATAGTTAGAAAGTGAGTATCCATATAATGGCTTTTCATATCAAGAAATGGTCATTGCCAACAGCCCAGAAGTCCCAATATACCCTCTGGAACTAAAAACTGTCCTGACTTTGGGTATAACTGTCATCGTCTTCATAATTTTACCATCTGCGTGTATATTTCTAAACAATGTGGTTTCCAATTCTGACCTTTTCATAAATGAAACCATGCACTATATTTTCCTTTGCAACTTTCTTCTTCCAGTCAACATTTTGTTGATGAGAGCCATTTATGTTGTTAGACAACATTTGTTCCTGTCCACTGATGTATTAGTATTACATTACATAAATAGTTCACAGTTTCTCCATTCTATTGGTGGACATCTAGATTATTTCAAATTTTGAGCTACTAAAAAAATTCCCCAAAATAAATGAAACAAAACTTGACAGAACTGAAAAGAAGTAGAGACAATTCAAAAATAATAGTTGGAGACTAATGCCCCAGTAGTAGAACAACTAGATAGAAAGACAGCAAGAATATAGGTTTAAACAGCACTATCAACCAACATGATCTAACTAACATCTATAGAGCATTCTACCCAATGGCAGCAGAATACATATTCTTTTCAAGTACACATGGAACACTCTCCAGGATAGACCATGTGCTGGGTCACAAAACAAGTCTCAGATTTGAAAGGATTGAAATCAAACAGATATGTTTATTGACCACAACATAATTAAATTAGAAATAAACAAAAGAAAGGTATTTGGAAAAGCTTCTAATATTTGGAAATTAAGCAGCATACTTTTAATAGGTCATAAGGAAAATTTAAAGACAGTTTGAACTAAATGAAAATATAAATACAGCATATCAAAATTTGTGAGATGCGGCTCAAGTGGTGCTTACAGGAAAATTTATAACTTTAAATCCTACATTAGAATAAAAGAAAACATCAGATAATCTAAGCTTCTACCTTAAGAAACTAAAAAGAAAAGCAAATTAAACCTCAAATAAGCAAAAGGGCAGAAATCATAAAGATCAGAGCACAAATCAATGAAGAGAAAACAATAGATAATATCAGTGAAACTAAAAGCTGATTCTTTGAAAAGATCAATAAAATGGATAAGACTTTACCTAGAATGAGCAAGAAAAAAAGAAGAGACACAGATTACCAAAGTGAAGAATGAAAAAAGAGCACCGTTATTGACCCTGTAGAAATTAAATATAAAGGAATACAATATTAGAAACAAATTGAAATGAACAAATTAAACATTGTAGATGAAATGAGCAATTCTTAGAAATATACAAATTATCAAAACTGACTTAAAAAGAAATATTAAAAACTGAATAGACCTATCACTATTTTTTAAATGAATTAGTAATTAAAATCTTCCCATAAAGAAGAACACAGGCTCATATGTCTTCACTGGTAAATAGTTTTTGCAAAGAAATAATGTGAATCCTACACAGACTCTTTCAGAAACTAGAGTAAGAAAAAGGAATGCTACCCAGCTCATTCAGGGAGGCCAGTATGACCTTGATAACAAAATCAGACAGAGACATCACAGGAAAAGAACAGACCAGTATCTCTCATGAACAGAGACACAAAAAAATCCTTTACAAAATATTAGCAAACTGACACCAGCAGTGTACAGAAAGGATTGTACACCATAACCAAGTCAGATTTATCCCAGGAATACAAAATTAGTTTAATATCCAAAACTGAAATAGTATAATATGCCATATTAGTAGACTAAAGGACAAACCACATGATCATTTTAATAGACCAAGAATCAACAAACCACAACCCACAGGCCAAATCCTGCCTGCCACCTATGTTTGTAAGTACAGTTTTCTTGGAACACAGCTACACCCACTTATTTATGTATTGTCTGTGTCTCCTTTCACACGACAGTAGCAGAGTCAAGTAGTTGTGACAAAGATCATATTGGCTCACAAAGCCTAAAATGTTTATTACTGGGCCCTTTATAGAAAATGTTTGCTGACCCCCACAATACACACAGACAAAACCTAACATCTGTTCATGATAAAAATTCTCACACAACTAGGAATATAAGGTAAATTCCTCACCTGACAATGGGCACTTGGAAAAAACCTACGGCTAACGTCACACATAATGATGAAAGACTAAATTCTTTTTCCACTGATCAGGGACAAAGCAAGAATGTCGGCTCCCAGCACATGTATTCAGCATTGTGCTTGAGGCCCTAGAAGAGCATACAACAAGATAAAGAAATCAAATGTATACACATTAAAAAATGAATAAGTAAAACTGTCTGTATTTGGCCAATCATGCCACTTCCTGTCTTTCTTTGAAATTCTACCCATGTTTCCAAAAGCATTGCCAAAACCCTCTCTCCAAGTTCTTCTTTACCATTCTGTACTGTTTTTATCTCCTGCTACCTTGTGTATTAATATGTATGTGTATACTTTAATCTCATTTCATTTTTAAGTTAATTGTTGTGTTTTCTATGTTTATGTCACCCTATAGCATATTGACATAATACACTACCTTGCACAGAATAGCTACTTGTTAAATATTTCTGAATAAAATAATGCAGTGTGGTTGAAAGTTGGCTTGGGAATTAAGTTTTTGCTTCTAGGTATCAAGACCCTACCAGATAATACACCCTACAGAAAACAACTAGAAAGTCTGAACATATAATATGAAACACAACTACTTGAAGATACTGGAGAATGAATAGAAGCAAACCATTTCAGGCTGTTTATGCTCATTTAGAGGAGAGGAAACAGGAAGCTATATACATACATTTCTATTTCCATGGCTTTTAGCCTGGGACCAAGTACAGTCCATGTAGTTCGTGGCATGGTGGCAAGCACCTCACATGGAAGACTCTTGATATTTCTGGCCTGGGAAATCACAGAAGAGAAACTGGGAAAGCATGAATGCTGAAGAGAGTAGAAGAATCCTAGAAGGGAAAGAGCTGGAAGGGAATTCCCAAACTGCCTGTCTACATCTCTGAATCATAGCAGCTCAGCTAGAAACCAAAACTCTGAACTAAGACCAGCTCTGAAGATACCGAAGAGTGAGCAGATGCAGAGACTCTCATGAAGAGGGTGCATTCTTCACTTGGAGGATGGAAAATAACAAACCTACTTCCTGACACTTTCAGCCTTGGGCTGACTGCAGTGACAGCATCACACTGCACACAGAGCAGAGGTGGGGCACATGTGGAAAAGTAGCAGAGCCTTTCTGGCCTGAAAACCAGAAAAGAGAAGTTGAGAATCCATAAACTCTGAAAATAGTGGAGGAATCCCAGAAGAGAAAGAGTCAGAGAAAGGAATCCTTAAACTCTGCCAGTCCACATCTTTGACTAAACCTTGAACCACACATCTGCAGAACAAACTTTAAACAGCCTGGCTAAAAACAAAAGATCAAAATACAGAGTTTTCAGTTCTAGCCCAGACAAGAATCTCTACAGCTCCCCTCTCCCCTCTCCCCTCTCCCCTCTCCCCTCTCCCCTCTCCCCTCTCCCTCTCGGTCTCCCTCTCCCTCTCTTTCCACGGTCTCCCTCTGATGCCGAGCCAAAGCTGGACTGTACTGCTGCCATCTCGGCTCACGGCGACCTCCCTGCCTGATTCTCCTGCCTCAGCCTGCTGAGTGCCTGCGATTGCAGGCACGCGCCACCACGCCTGACTGGTTTTCGTACTTTTTTGGTGGAGACGGGGTTTCGCTGTGTTGGCCGGGCTGGTCTCCAGCTCCTAACCATGAGTGATCCGCCAGCCTCGGCCTCCCGAGGTGCCGGGATTGCAGACGGAGTCTGGTTCACTCAGTGCTCAATGGTGCCCAGGCTGGAGTGCACTGGCGTGATCTCAGCTCGCTACAACCTCCATCTCCCAGCCGCCTGCCTTGGCCTCCCAAAGTGCCGAGATTGCAGCCTCTGCCCGGCCGCCACCCCGTCTGGGAAGTGAGGAGCGTCTCTGCCTGGCCGCCCATCGTCTGGGACGTGAGGAGCCCCTCTGCCTGGCTGCCCAGTCTGGAAAGTGAGGAGCGTCTCTGCCCGGCCGCCATCCCATCTAGGAAGTGAGGAGCACCTCTTCCCCGCAGCCATCCCATCTGGGAAGTGAGGAGCGTCTCTGCTCGGCCGCCCATCGTCTGAGATGTGGGGAGCGCCTCTGCCCGGCCGCCACCCCGTCTGGGAGGTGAGGAGCGTCTCTGCCCAGCCGCCCCGTCTGAGAAGTGAGGAGACCCTCCGCCCGGCATCCGCCCCGTCTGAGAAGTGAGGAGCCCCTCCGCCCGGAGCTGCCCCGTCTGAGAAGTGAGGAGCCCCTCTGCCCGGCAGCCACCCCGTCTGGGAAGTGAGGAGCGTCTCTGCCCGGCAGCCGCCCCGTCCGGGAGGGAGGTGGGGGGGGTCAGCCCCCCGCCCGGCCAGCCGCCCCGTCCAGGAGGGAGGTGGGGGGGTCAGCCCCCGCCCGGCCAGCCGCCCCGTCCGGGAGGTGAGGGGCGCCTCTGCCCGGCCGCCCCTACTGGGAAGTGAGGAGCCCCTCTGCCCGGCCAGCCGCCCCGTCCGGGAGGTGAGGGGCGCCTCTGCCCAGCCGCCCCTACTGGGAAGTGAGGAGCCCCTCTGCCGGGCCAGCCACCCCGTCCGGGAGGGAGGTGGGGGGCTCAGCCCCTCGCCCGGCCAGCCACCCCGTCCGGGAGGGAGTTGGGGGGGGTCAGCCCCCCGCCCGGCCAGCCACCCCGTCCGGGAGGTGAGGGGCGCCTCTGCCCCGCCGCCCCTACTGGGAAGTGAGGAGCCCCTCTGCCCGGCCAGCCGCCCCGTCCGAGAGGGAGGTTGGGGGGTCAGCCCCCCACCCGGCCAGACGCCCCGTCCGGGAGGGAGGTGGGGGGGTCAGCCCCCCCCCGGCCAGCCGCCCCGTCCGGGAGGGAGGTGGGGGGGTCAGCCCCCCGCCCGGCCAGCCGCCCCGTCCGGGAGGTGAGGGGCGCCTCTGCCCGGCCACCCCTACTAGGAAGTGAGGCACCCCTCTGCCCAGCCAGCCGCCCCGTCCGGGAGGTGAGGGGCGCCTCTGCCCGGCCGCCCCTACTGGGAAGTGAGGAGCCCCTCTGCCCGGCCACCACCCCGTCTGGGAGGTGTACCCAACAGCTCATTGAGAACGGGCCGGGATGACAATGGCGGTTTTGTGGAATAGAAAGGGGGGGAAGGTGGGGAAAAGATTGAGAAATCGGATGGTTGCCGTGTTTGTGTAGAAAGAAGTAGACATGGGAGACTTTTCATTTTGTTCTGTACTAAGATAAATTCTTCTGCCTTGGGATCCTGTTGATCGGTGACCTTACCCCCAACCCTGTGCTCTCTGAAACATGTGCTGTGTCCACTCAGGGTTAAATGGATTAAGGGCGGTGCAAGATGTGCTTTGTTAAACAGATGCTTGAAGGCAGCATGCTCGTTAAGAGTCATCACCACTCCCTAATCTCAAGTACCCAGGGACACAAACACTGCGGAAGGCCGCAGGGTCCTCTGCCTAGGAAAACCAGAGACCTTTGTTCACTTGTTTATCTGCCCACCTTCCCTCCACTATTGTCCTATGACCCTGCCAAATCCCCCTCTGCGAGAAACTCCCAAGAATGATCAATAAAAAAAATAAAAATAAAAAAAAAAAAAAAGAATCTCTACAATGTAACATTAATATTATTCAGGATACAACCCAAAATGTCCCGACATCCACAGAATCAAGAAAATGGAACACATTTTCTGCACACAGCAATCAAGTTTTCTACCCCAAGACGAACCAGATGTTAGAACCAACAAAGATTTTGAAGTAACTACTATGGCTTTCCTCATTTTTTTTCTTTGCATGAAACATGTTTTTAATGCATGAACATTCCAGCAGAGAAAGGAGATGTCTCAGCCGAGAAATAGAAACAATTAAAAAGGGCCAAATGGAAAAAAGACAGACAGTTGCAGATATGAGATGCTGACACCAAACAGAATAAACACAAAGAATCTCATGTCAAGGCATTGTAGCATCAAAGCTGTTGAAAGCCAATGACAAAAACCAAGAGAAAAACAACAAAGTATAACATAGTACCAAATTCCCTTATGCGGGAACAACTCAATTAACCTTGCACTTCTCATTAGAAGTCAGAGAGTCTCAAAGAGAATGGAACAGTGCTAAAGGAAGTTCTTCAGGCTGAGCAAAAATGATGCCGGATGGAAACTCAGGCTTTCAGAGAGGAAGGAAAAATATTTACAAGAAGTAGTAAATATCTAAGTAAATATATAACATTCATATTTATATTTTCCATTCTCTTTGCCTTCTTCCCTTCCTCCCTTTCCTCCCTTCTTTCTCTTTAATTTTTAAATAAACTAAAATTCCTAAATGACATGGTGGCAAGCACCTCACATGGGAAACTCTTGATATTTCTGACCTAGAAAAGCACAGGAGAGAAGCTGGGAAAGCATAAATGCTGAAGAGAGTAGAAGAATCCCAGAAGGGAAAGAGCCGGAAGGGAATAACCAAAATTATCACATTGGTTTTTAGGATTTATAATCTATGTAGATGTATATATAACAACTATAGTATATAGGAGAGGAGAGGAGGGATATGGCCCTGTATGGTTGTGACAGTTGTATAGTTTACATGAAGTAGTATATATATATATATATTTTAATTTTTGTGGGTGCATAGGTATATTTATGGGGTACATGAGATGTTTTGATACAGGCATGCAACGTGAAATAAGCACATCATGGAGAATGGGGTATCCATCCCCTCAAGCATTTATCCTTTGAGTTACAGACAATCCAGTTATTCTCTAAGTTATTTTAAAATATGCAATTCAGTTTTTACTGACTATGGTCACCCTAAGTAATATATTATTATCTGTAAGTTGACTGAGAAAAGTTAAGAGTGTATATTGTCATCTCTAGGGCAACCACTGTAAAAGTAATAAAAAAATGAATAGCTCAAAAGCCAACAGAAAAATTAGAATTCTTAAAAACATTCAAATAATTTTTTCCCCAAAGCAGGAAAGGAGGAACAAAACAAGAGAGGATTTGAGTAGAAAGCAAAATATGATATTGGCAGATGCAAACCTAACCATATCAATAATTACATGGAATGTTAATGGACCAAACACTCATTAAAAAGCAAGAATTGTCAGAATGGATAAAATAAGACCCAACTATATACTGTCTGCAAAGGATATGCTTTAACTATAAAAATACAGGTTGAAAGCAAATCAGAAAAAGAGGTACCATGCAAACAGTAAGCATAACATGGCTTTACTAATGTCACATAATACAGATTTCAAAACAAAACCAAAGGTGAATGAGGATACTTCATAATGATCACAGGGACAATTCAAGAGGAAGACATAACAGGCACAAATGTGCATGTGCCAATAGCAAAGCTTCAATATCATGAAACAAAAAGCTGACAGACAACTCCACTGTGTTGGAGACTTAACCCTCCCTCAGCAACTGGTAGAACGTCTAGACCAGAAAAATTCACTGAAGACATAGAAAATCTGAAAAAGACTATCAACTACCTCACCTTGATTGATATTCCCAGAACATTTCACTGGACAGTGGCAGAAATTCACATTATTTTCGAATGTATATAACACCCTTACCAAGATAAATCCTATTTTGAGCCATAGAACAGATCTCAATAAGTTTAAAAAATTAGAATTGTCAAAGTTAAATTGATGAAATCAATAAAAGCTAGAAAAGGCAAAACTGAGAGAGAAAGCAGATCTGTGGCTTCCTTGGGCCCAGGGGGACAGCACAGAAAATCATGTGCAAAGGCACAGGAAGGGGCTTTCTACTCTGCATCTTAATTGTGGTGTGGTCACACAATTGTATACAAACGACGAAATTTATGAAATTGAACACTTAAAATTAGTAAATTTTATCTTGTGATCATCTCAAGAAGCAAAAAATAGGGGAACAGTCAGTTTGGTCATTTTCATCTAACAAATGCCAGAGTTCAATTTTAAATTGTAATTGGAGACCAGAAAAACATTGCCAAAAGGGAAAAAAGTCCTCCTGTGAAGCTCCCGTGTTGTGCAGGGCACCATATGTTTCACCACCTGAGACAAGAGCTAATTTATGGTTAGAGCGTTTAAAGAGTCCAGGTTTTTTGGAAAAAGGAACTATATACGAGTTAAGCTTCTGAGGAAGACTTAAGAGCATTCTTTCTCCACATTCCTTCTCGCACAGCCCAGAACTAGTCTTGTAACAGAAGAAAAGCTATGAAAGAATCACCCTGAAAAACCAGGCTTCTTTATGTGCAATGAGAAGATTTTTCATCTAAATATATTATCTGTTAAAAAGTGATCAGGGCTGACAGCAGCAGTCTGTTCTGTGGCATCCACAGCCTCTCTATGGTGTTCCCACGGAGAATTCTGGTAATAACAGATACCATATTTTTGCAGTACCTTCAAGGGTTGTTTTAAAGCAGAATGTACAATTCACCTCTTCCCAGGTGTCATCAGGATGTGAACATGCAGCACTTTATACTGTTATTACATTTTACATGATAACTCTTTATATAAAACATAAAATGGCTCCAGAAAAATGATTTTATATGGTACCTACTCTGAAAACCTAAACAAAATGGTGCTTGTTATTACATTGGTGTTGTGAATTACTTGAACTATTACGATAGCATGTTTCACTAAAACATATTTCAGTAGTTTACTTTTGGCATAATATCTGCAGCATGGAGAATAAGTGTCATCTCAAAGTAGAAAGGCATGGCATTTTTCTTAATGTGTCTTTCAGACTCAAAGTTTAAAACATCATAATATTTTTCCTGTGATTGCTACTATTTTTATATTCATATATCTCTACACACACATACACATACAGAGACACACAGATACATACAGAGAAAGATTATTCCCCAAATGAAAATATTTACTTTGAGCAATAAAATTAAGGGTGAGTTGGTTGGTTGATCCGTTTTGCTTTGCTTTTTTGAAATTTACTTTAATGTTGTTATACTGCCTGTACAGTAACAGGGTGCCCCTGCTAACACATTTCTGACATTGCCCTATCAAAATGGAGGATAAACATTGCCACAGCCCCAATGAAAGAAAAAATGTGTTATCAAGCTTTTAAGTGTATGGGGTTTAAACTCTTCTCATGTTACATCAGATCTTTACTGTAAACTAGCCAGAATATTTCCCAGCAGAAAATAGTAAGTGTGTCTTCAACTGCAAAGAGCACTTCATAAAACTCGTTTCACTACAAAACAGAGTAAACAGTCTTTTGATCCCTTCTTTTTCCCCACCTCAAAAGTTAAACTGCCATTCCTTGTTTCCAAGACTCACAGTAGTAAATGTTTTGAATTTTCCGTGTTGGAAAAATTCTGACATGGCATTATCTACTACCCCCACCATCAAAATGAAGATGGGACTATGTGTCTATAGTTTTCCTCGTACCAGTGGCCATTTTCCCAAGCAAGGATCCAGAAATGTGTATTTTCCTCTTGACTCTGCCATCGATTCCCTGTTTATCCTTCACTGAATCCTTCTTTCCCTACATTTCCTTGGCTCCATAATGGACATATTGGCTCACTTTAATTAAAGATTCCTGAGTGACCCTGATCCTTGGATGAAAATCTGAAGAGAGGGATAAGGAGTAATGGGATGGGAGTAGGGGAGTATCCCACAGCAGTATTCAGGAAACAAACCTTCAGCATTCAGGCTTTGTCTGTCCCCAACCAAGCCAGCACAACCTCCTCCTCAGGGGCTGCACACTCGGCCCTCAAATGGGATGGTATTGAGACTCATGTTGATGGACAGAAACCAAGAAGGAAGAGAAAGCAACTGAAAGAGGGAATGTCCCTGGCTTCTCATCATCATAAGTACTTGAGGTCCTTAGGGTTATGGGTCCTTACTGATTGTCTAGCTGTAAAATCTATGCTGTTCGTCTCTGTTCAGCAAGGAGACACAGGTGAAAGCTAGGTTTCCTGGCCTCCTGATTCTGGGGTTGATGAGCATCAGAGGAGACACCCAGCCTGTCTGTCTCCCCCATTGCTTATCAGCAGCCCCTTCCTCAGGACTCTGTGAGTCCATTGCATCCAGCCTTTTCCATAGTAGTCTCAACATTAGTGAACTTTTAAGCCTTCTCTGTCTTCTGTGCAACTCCTACCCACATCTGGCTTCTGAATTTGAGACGATCTGAAAGCAACCACATTCAAAAGAAAACAGAAAAACATTTTAGTTCTCTTGGAACTTACTGTATAAGAAACTCATGTGCTTTGCGGAATATTTACAAGTAACGGTTCTTCAGATTAAGTAGAGGTCTCAGCTTTGCTTTTGGCCGTTAAACTCGGTAGTCATTTGTAGCTCTGTTCTACAAAGCACAGATGAGTATCCTCTAAATAACTCAGCTTTCATGTTATGAAGCAGACTAATTCTCATACCACAGGTAATGAGCCCTAGTTTTGAATCAAACGTTTTGATTTTTCCAGTTTGGCTTATTTTCTGAATTTAAAAGTACCATGCACAATTATATGTAGACAATTAAAGTTTGAAATGGTTCCTAAGCACAATACAGTTATCTCTCTGTATCCATGGGAGATTGGTTCCAGGACCCCACCCCCAAAACACCCGCCATAGATACCAAAATCCACAGATGCTCAAGTCCATAATATAAAATAGTGTATTTGTATATAACCTGTGTACATCCTCCTGTATACTTTAAATCATCTCTAGATTACTTACAATACCTAATATAATGTAAATGCCATATAAGTAGTTGTTATACTGTATCATTTAGGGATAATGGCAAGAAAAAACAGTCTGTAATGTTCAGTGCAGATGCAACTATCCTTGTTTTTTCCTCAGAATATTTTAAATCCATGGTTGGTTGAATCCAGGGATGCGAAACCTATGGATACAGAGAGCCAACTGTGTAAATTTAGTTTTGCTTTTTATTTATAAGCTGTGGAGGCCAAAAGAACCTAGCTGTTAAAGTGGTCATCTTTTTCAATTCATATGACTGATCAGAATCACAACTCGGATAGTTTTAAAATAAGCTGGGAGACTCCCTTTCCCTTCCATCTTAACGTTTTGATACCAAATTATTTTACCTTAATAAAGCGAGTGTAACACTGCCTCCCTATAGTGAATGCACAGACTTCTCTACTTATCCTGGGCCTGGACACAACCCAACTCAGTGTCACCAAGAATCCAAAATTGAAGTCAAAAAAAGAATGTGTCTTGTGGTTCCAAAACCATGGAAGAAGAAAAAATGGATTAAATGGTTAAAGAGGAAGCTTAGGGCTCATTGGCATTCCCCCATTCCTTGTTTTAGACGTGGTTATTATCGGTGGGTGAAATTAGCCTCAGCCTCTCTGTAGACCTCCAGCATGTCCTTGTTGCTGCTGTGACGTGGGTTTGCAGGGTGAATTTAATCAACTCCAGGCTTCCTTACTGCCAGGCCAAGGCTGCCAGCCTCTTGAAAGCTCACTCGTTTCAGATTTTGTTTTTTTGGGTTTTCTAATTTTTTCTAATTGAGGGCCTGAAGCCATTATTTAAGACTTTTCCAAACTTCTCTTGCCTTCAAGTGTTCATTTGACTATTTTATGGGGGTGGGGGGAGGTGGTATTGTTTGTGTTTTCTAAGCAAACCAAAATTACATATTTTTTAATCTGTCAAGTTAACCTTTGACAAAAGTTTACCTTAATTCAGTAAACATATTTGTACTTTGGCCAATTCTGAATTAACTTGAAAAGTGTTAAGATATTTTTAAATTTTTAGGCATAAATATAGCACATATAGAGTTATGAGAATTGCCTTTTAGTTTACTTAAACATAAAGATACTCATTTCAAGTTTAAAATGTAAATGATCTTGTGACGAATGAGGCTATTCACATTTCAGATGAACTTGTTTCAATACTTTGAGGCACTTTCTATTTGTCATAACTTCCCTGAGATTGAGTCACTATGTTTTACTCTTATTTATCCACGTATGTGTTCATTTTTATACATTACATTTTCCCAACTCTAAATCAAAACTGAATGCCAAGGATATTTTGTTTTTGGTTGGACGAGGGGAGTTACATTTAAATGAGAAGACTATTAAACCTGCTCTTCTGAAATAATTTTAATAGGCATATGTTTCCAGCCCTGCAGGTTTAAGAGCCTAGTCTAATGGAAGGGGCACACGATAGCAATGTCCTTTCTTAAAGGGATATCACATGTTTGTGAAGCCCTATCAGTTGTGCTTCAGCAAGGGCTCTAAATGGAGTCTGGCAGCTCTCCTATTTGCACGGCGCTGTCTGTCTCAGCAATGATAAGCAAAGACAGGCTGACTCCTTCAAGGAGCCTTTCATAAAGTCTCAGCTCTCAAACGTTCCGAAACTCACTGGTGGACTTTCCCCTGTGGACCATTCATTTATCAGGAAATGAAATTGGTTACAGGGTTTCTCACGTTGCCAAACCTCACTGACGAAATCTGGTTTCTTCCAAAGTTCAGGAAAAGCATTTACTCTATTTTGCTGTTCACTACTTCTTGTCTTTGTGGGAACCACAGTCAATACAAGGGTTTGAGAACTCCACAGGGGAAAGGTTGGAGTGGGAGGTGGCCAGGGAGTGAGTCTGGGGGCTACTTTCATAGATATCAAATCCCATCCCTTTTGAATGGGATTTTTTTTTTATGTTGGCATTTTCGTCTTTCAAACTACAGTGTCAGTTTCACAGGAGTGATTTTTTCCACTTCAAAAATGAAATCCTTTAAACATGACACGAATCACCTTATTGGCAGCATAGCTTTGTAACTTAGACCAGAGATCATTGTTTAAACTTCGTGAAACTAGAAGGAACAAAAATAAAGAGAAACATGTAGTTGTATGGCACAGAGAATGTTTGGATAAGTGAAGGTTAAATTATTACAAAGTATGTAATCTAGTTCATATGTTTAAGGAATGGAACTAGGCTAAATTATCTAAAATATTCTGACGTACTGAATCATTTCATTTTGTAAAACAAAATCTGACTAGCAGGGCATTCTGTTGTAGGCCAGTCTGTTGAGTGCAGTGTGCAACCTCCTGTGTTTGGAATTAGCAGGCCCAGGGGTAAGGCGCAGCGTGCATGTGGCAGTTATTATGGCTGTGGAAGTGGTTGCTAGCTAATTGATAGCAGTAGCAGTAGAAACAACCTTATTTAATTTTCAATAGTCCCTATGACAAGACGCTATACATGGGATCCTTTGTAGTCTTACCATTATTGTCCTTTCTCTCCCTGCCATTAAATATATGGTAGTTAATATATACACTTGATGATATTAAGAAATGAATTCCTTTTACTCTTTTTTCCCCCTTTGGAGCGGCTTCACATTTGACTTCTAACCCTGATTATTTTAGGCCCCCAAGTAAGTAGTGATTTACTATCAGTGAGCCTGTTACCCTTGACTGTTGTAGCTCCGATTTGCTAAAAATGTACTTGTGGTCACAAAGCCACCTCTTAGCCTATGCTGGCTGGTGGTTTTGCTCATAATCTGAACCCCAAAGAGACACACTGGTTCCATAAAGGGAAAATGAATGAATCGTCTTCTCTGTTCATCACGGGGAGATAAGCTTTTGTGAACTTGAATTGCCTTTAGAGCATTGTGTCCGTGGTTTCAATTGTATCACAGAATGTTACACAGACTGAAGTTAAGTGGTTACTTTTTGTCAGGGGTTATCTTATTTTTCTCCATTCAGTTTAACATGTGTACTGCAAAAGACAGTATTTTTGGAAATGAAGGCATAGTCTTTCATTTAAACATGCATCAGAGGGATTTCACTAATGAAAGCATTCAAATCATGTGCCTAGTTCTTGTTTCTAGCAGCCTCTGCCATTAAATAAATATCAGTCTTATCAAATTCATGCATTCAACATTTTTCCTGTTGATACAGGCATGAAAAATAAAAGCAGGTAGGCACTATAAAAGATTTGCCTTCATCTTTGGTGATCTGTATCCCAGCCCTAACCTACAGGAACTGAAAATGAAAAATCAGTGATTATTTTTGTCCTTTATAAATGGTCTGCACATTCCACCATACAGCCTCTCATTGCTAACAGTCCCTATTGAAGAGAAAACACCAAACCCAATATTGAGAGTTTTTCAAATCAGGGCACAATGGGGTATAAGGAACCATGTGGACTCTTGATCATTATATTTATTTATGGTGTTCTCACAGTCTTTAGGCCTCTGAGTCTTTGAATAAATATCTCCAACATCCAGCGGCTAACATTCCTTTTCCTACAAAGCTACTATTTGCAATAGAGATTTTCTTGTCTTTCATTTATTTGTTCAACTAGTATTGATTGAGCAACTCCTGCCTGCACAGCACTCTGCTAGTGGTTGTCCCTTAAAGAACCTTACTGTTTAGGGGGGCACAGTTTCTAAAGTAGCATTCAAAGAAACGGCTTCTCTACTCCCTTCCTTTTCAAATGTGAGGAACTTAAGAAAATTAGAGAACACAAATGGGCAAAGGGGGCTTGGGAGGCAAAAGAAGACTGTTCACACTCAGAGGACTTTGAGCTGCAGTGGTTTCCTTGAGTGTGAAATGAAGAATGGCCGTGGACAGAATGCAGATTCTGAAGCACATAAGTGGAGAGGCAGGTGGGATGCTGGAGGGCTGAGAGTGAGTCCCCAGTCCTGCAGTCTGGGGCAAGTTATTTCACCTTCACTGTGCATCAGTTTCTCACCTCAAGGACAGGTCTAACTCATCACCTTACCTACATCCTGGAATAGTTGGAGAAATCAAAAGAAACAATGCACGTAAACTCCCTAGCACAAAGCAAGCTCTCAGTAACTGTTAGCCAATGTTAGTTTCTCACATATCTATCAACCTCACTTTTCCAGAACAAAGCCAAAAACTAGAGTTGTAGATTCTGAACAATCAAAATGGATGGCTCGGAGCTCTTGTCTTGTACTTTATTAATCAGGGAGCCTCTTGCTCACAGCCATACTCTTTGCTTGATACAAGTTTTGTTTGTTTATTTGTCTGTTTTTGAGACAGAGTCTCGCTCTGTTGCCCAGGCGGGAGTGCTGTGGCGCGATCTTGGCTCACCACAACCTGCACCCCCCGGGTTCAGGCAATTCTCCTGCCTCAGCCTCCCGAGTAGCTGGGATTACGGGCATGCGCCACCACACCCAGCTAATTTTTGTATTTTTAGTAGAGATGGGGTTTCACCATGTTGGTCAGGCCGGTCTCAAACTCCTGACCTCATGATCCACCTGCCTTGGCCTCCCAAAGTGCTGGGATTACAGGCGTGAGCCACCATGCCTGGCCCAATACACAGTTTTAATAAGCTTAGCCATCTGGTTCCCAAGTCCATAATAGACTAGAAGCCACAACTTAAAAGAACTGCTACAGGTTAGTACACTAACAGTTATGAAAATCAAGGGCCACTTGTTCTGATTAGCAAGGGAGCAAAACAACACACATGAGTCTTACTTTTATAAGTATATGTGTTGTTTTATAAACTAAACAACACACAAGCCTTACTTTTCAGTATCTTATAAGAACTTTTACATGCTACTCATGAAAATATACCAAAAAGAGTTGTGAGTCTGTGGCAGTCATGACCCTGAAGAAAAGTTGGGATGATACAGGACATAGAGCTGGTATCATCTCTACCCTTGAGAAACACAAAGCCCTGTCTTTGAGAATAGCGAGTGGGTGACCTAAGCCCAAAGAAGGCTCAAGGTGCCAGTCTGAACTTTCAGAATAGATAAATTGCTGAATGATTTTCTTTAGCAGGTTAGTTTTCTTTTTATTTTACTTTGGGAGGGATCATAGCAAGATTCTTGTAAATGCTGACTTTAATGTATGATTTGGTGTATAACAATTTAGTTTATTCACTATTTTCCATGAACACGTTAGTATCTCTGTCAAGACTAAGTTGTCTAATTTAACTCACGCATCATCCCATCTATGTAGGTAATTATTTTACTAATGTGTTGTCAAATGAGGGTAAACTAGGCTAACTCCAAAGATCCCTTCTTCCATAATCAATTTATTATACTTCTTTTGTTTTGCCTGTGTCTCCTCAATATACATTCTATTCTCACAATAAGCAAAAACTGAAAACTTGACATTGTAAACTTTCTCCTGGTTCCAGTGTTTGTATTTATGAAAAAACATCAATTCCATGCAGATGTGTTCATGTGAACTATTTAGAATTGACCCTGATTCCGAATCCCATAAGTGACACTTTCCAGTAGAATAAAAAAGATGGCTTGGAATGTAATCACTTCTGGAGAGGAAATAGGAGAAGCTGTTTCCTTCTTTTAGATTTCCACTCTTTTATTCTGCTGAGAGAGGGCATAGAAAAAGGGAAAAAAAGGAATTTCTCCTCATCCTCAGCATATGAGAGCTGTATGTGGCTTTTTAAGTTTTTAAAAAAGCAGCCAAGTGTCAGGGTACCCAGTTCATTTTTGGAGTTGTTCTGGCTTGTCATATACTCCTCACCTCCAGCAGTCCAGCCTAACAAAAGCTGTTACAATGACTTAAAAACAATATTCTCTGGAGCTCCTTTCATTTCTAAGGAGCAGCATCAAACTGTGCCCCTTCTCCATTGTAAGCCTTAGGATTTGTGGGAAATGCTTTTGTTTAAAGAAAGGTATGAAGGAACCAGTCATGAATCTTCTGTTCCTAAGGAAGTGGACCAAAAAATATCCTTTCTCTCAGCATTAGTTGTTAGAATGGAGAAAGAAGAGATACTTGAGAAACCCTCTTTTCAACCCCCTTATTTTGGGGAAATGAGAATTGCCTCATCCAAGGTCACCAGGCTGGTGGGGGCAGATCCAGGCTCCTATCCTGGACTTCCTGACTGCACCTGGTCATGTCCCTTTGTACTACACATGGCTTTTCTCTGCATTCAAGGGACACTGTAACTGTTAATATCAGTCCACAGTCCCCTCTCAAAGCAGCCTCAAAAAAGCTTGAAAGTCCAACTATTACTAGTCATTGCCCCTGTGCTATTCTTTGTGTAGAAGGATGATGCCATGAGTTTTGGCTTGATGTTTATGATGTATTTATGTTAACTCAAATTCTCTTTCATTGACCTATCCTCTTTGTGACTAATGAAACGCCTTTGCAAAAGGGCCAGTTTTGGAGGGGTGGGTGTTCTGTCAGCAGTAACATCTCAGATCTGTTTATGCCTTGGAGGGACCATGTCCTCAGGCTAGATCTCGGGGGCTCAGTATTCTAGTACCATAAATATTTTTAGAACTGTCTTTTTGAGTTCTACTTTCATGCACATTTGTGACTAAATTTAATATTTTTAACTGGCATACTTTATTTTGTTGTGTGTTATTTAACTGCAAGTTGATCTTTAACTGGCCATTTGAGAGGCAGATTCTTCTGCTCTGCCCCTGCATGTGGCATGGACAATTGTTTCAGGATAACGTTGATCCCTCCCAGTTCTCTGAACATGGCATGCACGCTCCCAGCCTCAGCCTGTGCTTGTTTCCCACGAGGGCCAGCGAAGGCCAGAGATTCTCCCCAAGATTTTCACACATCACCCCACTCCTTCCCTACTAAACTTCCGTAACACTCACATCACCCCACTCCTTCTCCTACCAAACTTCCATAGTGCTCACATCACCCTACTCCTTCCTCTACTGAACCTCCATAACACTCACATCACCCTACTCCTTCCCCTACTGAACCTCCATAACACATCACCCCACTCCTTCCCCTACTGAATCTCCATAACACATCACCCCACTCCTTCCTCTACTGAACCTCCATAGTGCTCACATCACCCCATTCCTTCCCCTACTGAACCTCCATAACATGTCACCCCACTCCTTCCTCTACTGAACCTGCATAGTGCTCACATCACCCCACTCCTTCCTCTACTGAACCTCCATAGTGCTCACATCACCCCACTCCTTCCCCTACTGAACCTCCATAACACTCACATCACCCCACTCCTTCCTCTACTGAACTTCCATAGTGCTCATTATCTACACCATTTATTAGCTGTTTAGTATATGCTGCTTCTGGTAAGATCTTAACTATATTTCCTTTTTCCAAACTCGGTTGTAACACCTGATGTCAAGGACCTGCTATCTGCCTTTTTATATCCCCAGTAATCAGCCTGGGACCCTGTATACAATAGACACACACTGCATGTATCTTCATTGTGATGGGATGAAGAGGTATGAGTGGCCAAAGTACAGGAGGCTATGTTGGCCAAGATGCAAGTATGATAGCCACCTTGTAAGCTGTAACAATATCCAGGGAAGGTTTGATATAGGGCAAGATCAGGGATAAGAAAAGCAGTAAAGAAGGTATGATGTGGTCATGAAAACCTTAAAAAAAAAAAGAATCCAAATTGTACAGATACTTTGGAAACCAGTTTGGCTTATCTGCTAAAGTCGAACAGATGTATATGCATACTCTCTCCCACTCCTAGGTAAGCATCTAACCTAAATGCCTGCCCTTGCACACGAGGAGATGTGTAAGAATGTTCATAGCACAATTGTTCATAACAGTCCAACCCTGGAAACAACCCAGTGTCCATCAGTGGTAGAATTAATTAATAAGTTGTGGTACATTCAGGCAACAGAATACAGCAATGACCGTGAATGAATCACAGCCAAACCCAACATGTTTCAATCTCACATGCATAATGGTAAGTGAAAGAATCCAAATACAGAAGGTTATACACTGTGTAATTCCATTAACATAAAATTCACAGATAGAACTCGCCGAGAGGGCTATGGAATGCAGGTATAGGTGGTAAAAGTAAGTATAAGAAAGAGCAGGGAGCGCCTACCACAAAAATCAGGGTGGTGATGGCCAGGGAGATGGGAGAGAGTTCCCTGATCAGGCTGGAGCAGTAATTCCATAAGTGTTCACCTTCTGCTATAGGTTGGTGCAAAAGTAATCGTGGTTTTTGCTATATGGCAAAAAACGCGATTACTTTTGCACCAACCTATTTAGTTGTTACACTTTTACACTTGGGAACTTTTCGGTATGCATATTATATTTCACAAAATAAAAGTTGTTTTTATAAAGTGGGGAGGAGCGGTCCATGAAGGCTCCTTTACTTAAAAAGTGAACAAACTATGGTAAGTGATAGAAATGTTAAAGGGATTCCAATGAAGGTAAAAATCACCTATGGAAAATTATTCTCCCTCTTTCCATTTGCATATAAAAATCAAATGATTTCACCCGTTTTTGCTCTCCTAAGATGTGATCTATGCCCCTCACTAAAAGGACTAGAAAGAGATACATCAAAGTATTTCATAGTTGTTATATGTTTGGATTGTGGAACTAATTTTAGTGATAATTTTATAAGCCCTGTTTTTAATTTTTTTTCAGTGAATAATATATTTGATTTTACTACAAGCATGTAGTTAAAAAAAAAAATTGAGGCCGGGTGCAGTGGCTCATGCCTGTAATCCCAGCATTTTGGGAGGCCAAGGTGGGCAGATCACCTGAGGTCAGGAGTTTGAGACCAGCTTGACCAATATGGAGAAACCCTGTCTCTACTAAAAATACAAAATTAGCCAGGCATGGTGGTGCATCCCTGTAATCCCAGCTACTCGGGAGGGTGAGGCAGGAGAATTGCTTGAACACAGGAGGCGGAGGTTGCGGTGAGCCAAGATCGCACCATTGCACTTCAGCCTGGGCAACAAGAGCGAAATTCCGTCTCAAAAAGAAAAAAATTAACTGTTTCACTAGAAAAAGGAAAACATGGCCTAGGCAATATGAGTTAGAGGAAGTTGTTGTCATGAATGTATGGACTTGGAGTTAGCAGAGTTACTGGTTTTAAAGCAAATAGGAATGGGAAAATAGTTTATATCCCTGATTTCTCTAAAATCAAGACCCAAGCCTTCTGTGGGTATTTTAGTGACGTGCAGTGCAAAGAAGCCCAAGCCAAGCTTGTGATTTGTCTGTGAGCACTTGCAGCCAATTTGTATTTTTTAGTTACTCTCTCTGATCTACTAATGAAGTGGCTAAACAAGTAACTTTTAAGCATAACTTAAACAGTTCAATGCTTTCAGAAATGAGTGTAGCTAATTTAAATCATGTAAGTAAGTAAAAACTTTGAGAAAACAATTTGTTAATAGCTTAGCAACCCTTGGGGATAGAACATCTGTGTTTTTAAGAGACAATGTTTAGTCATGAAGTGACTATAAATTCATACTAGATACATTATGAACAACAAAGAGGTTGAATTCCAAAACAGTATTTGAAAGTAAAGAGAGAAACTACAATTTTGAACATGGTAAAAATTAAACCTAAATTTATTTTAGTTGCAGATTTAGAAGTGTGAAAAGGAAAAATATATACGTATTTTGAACATGCTATCCCAGTGATTTATTAATAGAGCTTAATACACTCTTGCTGGAGATTTCAAATGCCTGCTAGCCTCTCCACATATAAGTGCAAAGGCTAAAACTTCCCTTGCATCAGTCTAGCTAGTTTTGTGTTATTTTTAGTTTTCAAGTAGAATTTAATCAAATAGATCATAGAGCGGCCCTCAGAAAGTGAATGGGAAATTTCTTACTGTTAACAGTTTCTTTAGGGAGTATGAAGTCATAGACCCTGGTGTGGAGAGCTTCACAGAAGTGGATCTATTTTCAGAATTATGTTTGATGTGAATTTTTGCACGTTTACTTCAAAGGCATTTTCATTATAAGTGACAAATGACTTCTGAGGAGGATAGAATAAAAAGATTAGCTTAAAATAATTGAAATCTGAGAAGTTAATTTTGTTGACCAACGAATAGGTTTATGAAGCATCCCATTTTGAAATCAGAAAATTTATATTTCCAAACTCGAATCTGCCTAAAAATGCTACTTTTCCAGGCATGGCAGTTGTTCTGATTAGATTTTGTATAATGTACATGATTAGACTATCAGTTTCATGTAGGATTCTATATAGGTTTATAAATTGTAAACTCTCAGTATATAATAAATTAAAAATAAGAAGGCTAGTCCTTTTGGGAGTGACTGGTTCTACTGTCTCCCTTCTAAAAGTAAAGTTATTTTCATTGTTTTTGCATACATGACTGTATTCAGATTTTTTCCCAATGTCTAAAGTGCTTCTTCCCTACCCAAACTCACCCCTTTCTCTTAGGGTTTAGAAATTATTACCTTCAGCCAGGCACCGTGGCTCACACCTGTAATTCCAGCACTTTGGAAGGCCAAGTCAGGTGGATCACTTGAGGCCAGGCGTTCAAGACCAGCCTGGTCAACATGGCAGAACCGTGTCTCTACAAAAAATACAAAAAAGTTAACCAGGCATAGTGGCAGGTGCCTGTAATCCCAGCTACTTGGGAGGCTGAGATGGGAGAATCGCTTCAACCCAGGAAGCGGAGGCTGCAGTGAGCCAAGATGGCACCACTGCACTCCATCCTGGGCGACAAGAGCTAAACTCTGTCTAAAAAAAAAAAAAAAAAAAAAAAAAGAGAGAGAAAGAAAGAAATTACTACCTTCTCAGCAAAGCCTTTCCAACCACTTAGCAGCCCAGCTATTAGAGCACTTCATATTTTGAATTATCACCTTGTTGTATGGTTGTGGCTGTCCCATTAGAGAACATGGTCCCCCCAACAGTGACTGTCCTAAACCACATTTAGTTTCTTAGTCCTGTAACAGTGTTTTTCATGTATATATTTCTTTAGTTCTGTTCATATATCTATTTACAAAATATAACTTATTTCCCAAGGTTTTTAGTAAGAGGGAAATTCTTTAGGCATGGATTTAAAAAAAAAAAAAAAAAGAAAAGAAATCTGGCTTTTCTCTTTTGATTAATTCCTAATCTTGCGGTTTCACTCATCCTTCTCATGTGGTTTCTCCCTGGACAGACCTGTGTCAGGTGTGGGAAATTGGGCAGAGAATGTAATAATCTCAGTGGAGGGTTCTGTAGCAGTTGTTTTTTAACTTGCTGAATATGTGCTTTTTCTCTTATTTGTTCCTTTGTCCTAAAAATAGGTGTGCTTTAGTGAAAGTTCCAATTAGTAGGGTTCCATTTCCTGTAGATTTTGCTACACTGGAAGTGAGAGGTGGCTAAAAACCGATCATGGCAAAATATTCCAGACACAGAAAGCTCCTGCACAGGGAGTTGGTTGCCTTCTGCCCACAGATTAAGGGGTATTGCCTCATTGGCTTTCCAGGTGGATTATAATCTCCTTCCCATCACGACATCCATTTCCACCCTCATTTTCAAAGGTGGAAAGGAAACAGGATGAGGAAGAATCCCTGGGGTGAAATTTGAATGCACACTTCTGAAGGGGAGCGACTTTTTCTAAACTTTGTAAAGAGGGTGACCCCTCACTGAAGTCAGTTTTTCTAAGCTGGAACCGTTAGCCCTAGTGTGTTCCAAAGACTCCTATTTCCTTTCCAAATAATTCAGGAGTCAGGTGGAGGAGAACAAATGGCAAACAGCATGGCCACCCGTGTGTGTTCTGTGCATGGCAGTCAGGGCTGGGCACTGTGCCGTTGGTGCAAAGCACCTGGAGTCTAGTCCACTTTAACTCTTGTCTCGGGAATCTTAAGGGCTCGTGGTTTTCCCTGAAACCTGTGGGAGGAAGCTTGCTGGCTTCACATTTATGGCAGGAGGACCAGAAGAGTCCATCAGTGGCTGTATTTGCAGGCCTCGGAGATCCCACAGTCAAGGCCTGGGGACTGACTAGGTCATAGTCAGCAGGTCCTGAGCTGGGCTAGATAAGAGTGTGCTTCCTAGACTGTGATCAGAAAGTTAATCGTTGGTGACAGTGAGTCTGCCCTTGTTCCTAAGCCATTGTTTTAGTTTTGTAAGATTTATAGGGCTGACAATCAGATTAAAATGTATAGAATAAGTAAAACCTCCTTCCTTCAGAAATGTGTATTGGGACTTTCTCCCAGTCTCTCTCTCCCCGTTTTCTAACCTTTGAAGATAAAGGCAGGAGAATTATAATTCTGACAAGCCTTCCAGACAGCTTGCTTAATCTGGGCTATGAGGCTATCAGGCCTGGAGGCTTGTCTCTGCAGCTACTGCTAAACTGAACATCCAGGCACCATGAGGTCAGCTGCACAGAGACCCTTTCCCAGAGGCAAACTGGCTCAAAGAGAGACCGTATCAGAAAAATAAAGACTTATTAGGATGGAGCCAGATGGAGGATGGAAACAGAATTTTATTTGTGTGCTCTTTTGTTTCTAGGGAAAAACAAAAGCAACACAGGTCACTGGACTCTAAACATATGAAGTTTGACTATTTACAGAGGAAGCTCTTGGATTCATTTCTAGATCTCTTCCTTCCCAGCCCTGATTTCCTTCCCTTTCTGGGGAGAGGCAGCTGTGAAGAGCTGCCAAGTCTCTCTGCCCACTCACCCTGGTGGCACTGCCAGCTCTCCTCTGTTCCCACTGTCATCTTTGGGTCCTGGCCCTCAGCCCCCATCGCCTAGACCCTGCACTAGTCCCCCAGCTGCTCCCCTCCAAGGGCTGCTTCCCTCCCATCCAGAGGGACCACATTGTTTCCCAAGTAGTCTCCCAAGAGCACGCTGAGGTCCTGGGCACAGCTTTGCTCAGGTGCGTGGAGTGGCCCCACTTTGTATGCAGAAAAGTCTAGGCTCAGTCTCAGCAGATCTCCATAAACCTGCCTTCCAAGCTATTTTCACATTCCCCCTCTTATTCTCAAACACACCGGCTGGTCCGTGGGCACCCTTGTGCTTTTCTGTCTCCCTGTCTGTGCTTCTATTATTCCTCTGCCTGGGATGCCCTTCCCCCCACCTCCACATGCCCAAATCCTACCCTTTGTTTACAGACCACCTAGGTGCCTTCTCCTCCTTGAAGCCTTTCTTGATGCTTCCAGTTTAATTTCTCCCTTCCCTGGATCCCCACAGATTACACTTATTTGCACACTTCAGATGATATTATCACCTCCTATCTTGTCTGATAGTTATTTTTGTACATGTTTTATCTCCATGTCTAGATTATGAACACCATGGTTCGGAGGCGCTGCCTCTACTTTTTGGTATCTTCTGTGGCAGTGGTTTCCATTGAGAAGCCATTGAGATTTTTTTAAGCACAGAGTAACATGATCAGGTTTTTATTATGGACTTTTTTGTTCATGCCCCCCTCACTACCCAGGAACTGCTCAGAAAGGGATGGTTCAAATCTTTTTCTCAGCCAGGCTTCTGAACAATTTCCCTGACTAGGCAGTGCCTTACACTTCTCTCCTCTCCATCAGGACCACCCCAGGTGAACTATCTTGCCAGCATCCCCTGACTGTACTTTTCACGGTCTCTCTCTCTCTCCCTCCTTCTCCCTCTCCCTCTCTCCCCCTCTCTCTCTCTCTCTCCCTCCTTCTCCCTCTCCCTCTCTCCCCCCACCTCCCTCTCTCCCCCTCCGTCTCTCCCCCCTCCCCCCTCCCTTCCCCTCTCCTCCTCTCCCCCTCTCCCCCTCTCCCCCTCTCTCCCCCCTCCCTTCTCTAAGCCACCCTGTGGCAGAGGGTACTGTTCCTCACTCAGCAATGCCTGACCTGGGGCTGCATGGCACACAGAGAGCCTACCTTCAAATCATTTATGTCCAGTAGTGAATGGAAACTATCCAAACCCATGTCCAGCCAGGCACTTTGTAGGAAATATACAGGTAATGCTGTAAGCAGGCAGATACTGGGCACTGGAGAGGACCACTTAAGACTCTGGAGGGAGGGAAGCATCCGCACCAGCACTGTAGGAAATGGAAGTGTGGTGGGAAGGACATCCTAGCTATAAAGAGACCTGTCAGAAAAGGCATGGAGGCGGGCATTTGCCTGAAGTGTGCAGGGGACCCCAGGGAGCTCACCTGGCAGAGGCTGATGGTTTGCTTAAAGGAGAGGAAGCAAATGAAGCTCAGAGGTCCTGGGCACCCAGTTTGTGGAGACTCCAGAGTCCATACAAATCAGAACTGGCAATTATTGCATTGTACTTTCTAACATTAGGTTATGTTAGAGGATTGCTTTTTAGTGATTTTTTTTCATTTGCATTTATCTTAGCTCTCCAAGTAAATGTTAAGATCCTTAAGGGCAGGGACCATATTTCATATTTTTATTAAATGCTTTTATGGTACAAAACGTCACCCTATAATTTATTTTATTCTCATATTGGGTTTTCTTAAAGCAGGGTAAAATGTTCTTACCTGTTTAATTAGGTTAATATTTAAGAGTGAAAATATATAATGTCCAGAATTAACATCAAACTAATTCAGAGGAGGGAAGTTGGGGTAGCTTAAATGAGTGCCCATGAGTTAATGGCTTGTAGCTGGTTGATGGGCACACAGTGTTCACTGTATTATTTTCCCCACTTTGGTGTGCATGGGTAATTTTCCATAATAAGATGTTGGGTCTCCGGTGGTACTGAGTAAGCCTTCAGCTTGCAGGACTCCCAGCACAGCCCCCTCCCTCATACCACCACACTGTGTAGCAGCCACCTGGGCCCCTAACTGCCAGCTGAGCCCCTTGCTACAGGCCTGACTTCCGGAACAGCCAGGAAAACAGCTAAGGATCAACCATTGTGTTAGGGTCCTGGTACAGTCACAGCTCAGTGATGCAGACCCATCAACCAGGTGGCAAAGATGACCATTATTTTGTATCACCATTGTATTTGTTAAAGCACTAGTGATTACAGTTATAATGTAAATATTAATAAAAAGGAAAGAAGGATGCATGGGTGAGCAGGTCACCTTTTGTCTTAGTTCGCTGGGGCTGCTATAACCAAATACTGTGGAATGGGAGGCTTATAAACAACAGAACTTACTTTTCACTGTCCTGGAGGCTGAGAAGTCTAAGATCAAAGCACCAGCAGATTTGGTGTCTGCTGAGGGCCCACTTTGTGGTTCGTAGACAGCACCCTCTAGCTGTGTCCTTACATGGTGGACGGGACTAGCTGGCTGGCTGTGGTCTTTTCTATAAGGACACTAATAATCCTTGCAAGAGGGATTTAATCAGAAGTTTTATCTTGAAACATCTTTCTTCATCAGAAAGTGTTTCGTATGCACTTAGAGGTAGAAACCATAGAAGATGTATTTACAGTATAAGTTTCTCTTTAAATAAGCACATCATTCTGTCTTCCTTAAATCTGCTTTTTCATTGTACAAGTTCCAAAACTCAGATGTTGTCACCCCTTTTGTGCTGAGCATACATTAGTTCTCTCTAGGGGAAATTTAGAGTTTTCACTTTTTCTTATGTATAACAAATTTTGATTTAAAAAAAAAGGTATGTTCTACATCCTCTTGCTCTAAATAACCCCAAATATAAGTGTCTTATTATAGTATGTTGATTATTTAAATTTGGAATTTCCTTTTGAAAGATCCTTTAAAATGTTTTATGGGTGTTTCCAAGGTAACTCTCAATGTTGTTTAATTTTCATGCTTACAGTGTATAACAAATTGAATTATCTATCATTGGTCCCTTAAGAGATAAGCAGTGTGTCTTTCTTTATTGAAATATGTAAATTTGTGTCAGGCAGTGTGGCTCACACCTGTAACCCAAGCACTTTGTGGAGGTCAAGTCAGGAGGATCACTTGACCACAAAACCAGCCTGGGCAACATAGTGAGACCCCATCTCTATAAAAAATTTAAAAATTTGCCAGGCATGGTGGTGCAGACCTGTGGTCCTAGCTACTCAGGAAGCTGAGGTGGGAGGATCACTTGAGCCCAGAAGTTTGAGGCTGCAATGAACTATGATCATATCACTACACTCTAGCCTGAGCAACAGAGCAAGACCCTGCCTCTGAGGAAAAAAAAAAAAAAGAAGAAAAAGAAAAAAATGTAAATTTAGCAAAATTGGAGCCTGTGTTATAAAATATGAGTGCTTGCTCTTAATTCCTTGTTTTGAAAATGACTAGAGATCTCCAAATGCTTCATCTACAGATGTTTTACTTGCCTTCTGGGGCATTGATTTGAAAAAAATCATGATAGAGAAGGGAAAGGTCTTGTATTTTCCAGTTGTCCTTTGGCTTTGAACCTTGTTCCAAGGCAGAAGATGGACTCCTTTGAGGCCCTTCTCTGGGACTGCTTGGAGAAGTCAGAGCAAGGTGCTAACAGAGTCTAGCCAGCAGTTGTGCCTGGCCCTCACTGGGCCTCTCAGCCCTGCCTGCACCACCTCAACATCACAGTCAGTCTTCAGCTCCAGTCTCCACCAGTCAGAGCAGACCTCATCAGCCGTAATGGTTTATAGATGAAGTAACTAAGTGTCAAAGAGGGACATGGTTTGTCCAAGTTTATTAGTGTCAGAGCCACCTCTAAAATCCAGACGTCTTGAATTTTCCCTCCATGATACCATTCATAGCCTAAATGGGAGAGGTACATGGTAGTCTTAAAAGTTTACACTTCGTTTTCATGGTATTTATTGAAATTTCAAGTAATTGATCAGTGCGACAGTTGCCATGGGGAGCATGAAATGCCAGCTGCCTACTGCTCTTCTGCCTTCCAGCCTGTCTAGGCTGAGGAGAGGAAGACAGCAGATGTCATGGTGGTGTGCCTGGTGCAGCTTCAGCTGTCAGACTAGGAACAATGGGGCAGGGCGACTCCTGGGCCACTACCAAACCCCCCGCCCCAGTTAACATATGGGGCAAGTGGGAATGAGCATGACTCCCAGCTCCCTTGCCCTGGCTCTTTCTGGCCCCATCGTGCCACAGGCCTGCCTGGGAAACACTGTGCATGCTCGTCTGTGGCCCTGCCTGAGCCAGCCCCTGAGCAGTGTCCACGAGAGACCTGGGCTCAAGGAGCAGCAGTCTGCAGAGGTGAAGTCCTTCCTCTCTGCGGTCTCTTTGTCTGATTGGTCAGCATCACTGCTTTGCCACCTCTGAATGTACTTTCCCTCTATCCTGCCCATGGTGTTATTGCTAGTTCATAAAGTTGTAAACTGTGAAACTGCTCCCTTCATAAGAAAATTACCAAAAAAAAAGTTCAGATCACATGGATTTATACCAGTGCAGTTAAATTTCTAGCCTGCCCAAGGCCAGATCAAGACCCTATTTTGGATATGGTGAGCCAGGTTTTACATTGCTAACACACTGAGATATGAAACTTACGACCTATGCCTTTTTGTACAGGAAAGGGTAAAAGCAGGAATTGGCCCAGGCCATGGCTCATACCTGTAGTCCCAGCACTTTGGGAGGCTGAGATGGGCAACAGATCTCTTGAGCCCCAGAATTCAAGACCAGCCTGGACAATGTGGCAAAAACATGTCTTTACAAAAAATACAAAAATGACCCAGGTGTGGCCGGGCGCGGTGGCTCACGCCTGTAATCGCAGCACTTTGGGAGGCCAAGGTGGGCGGATCATGAGGTCAGGAGATCGAGACCATCCTGGCTAACATGGTGAAACCCCGTCTCTACTAAAAATACAAAAAAAAAAAAAAAATTACCCAGTTGTGGTGGCATGCGCCTGTAGTCCCTGCTACTAGGGAGTCTAAAGTGGGAGGATCGCTTGAGCCTGGGAGGTTGAGGCTACAGTGAGCCGAGATCACACCAATGCACTCCAGCCTGGCCAACAGAGTGAGACTCTGTCTTTAAAAATAATAATAAAATAAATAAAGCAGGAATCATGAATGAAAAAGAATAGGCTTTTATTAATGGAGATTCAATCTTTGTTTCAGCTTACAAATACGAATATTTTTACACTCATTAGCCCTCTGTGAAGATTCTCCTCTCCTCAGTGGCATGTAGCCTGAGAGCCAAATCCTGTTTGATTTCTGATCACATCACCTGTCCCTTGCTTATTAGCTTTCTCTACTTTGGTTTTGGAAAACAGAGTTTCAAGTATTCTCTTTCTTTTCTACTCTGACAGTGTCAATGAAAATGGCCTGTCTTCAGTGGCTTTTAGGGGCTCTGTGGCAATGCTAGCAGAAAGCAGGGCCTGAGCCCATTTGGTGGCTCTTGAGTCTCTGAGTTGTCTGAAGAGTCCTGCCTCCATTTCAGGAAAGTGGGAGCAGAGGGTGACAGCTGAAGAGACAGGAACGACTTGAGAAACCCCAAAGTTTCCTTCAGCCTGCACCTCCCCCAGCCCCCTCATTACTCACTTCCCCTAGCCAGGCTCACGTGGCTGCTGGGCTGAGTCGCCTCAGCTGCCGTGGCAGTGTCACCACCTCCATCCTCACTGGCCAGCAGCGGGAAGCCGTTGTTCCATTAGAGTCAGCCGCTGGTTGCTTGTTCATCTTTTGGTGTGAGCCCTCCCAGGATATTTCCTGGAACGCTGGAGGGAAACATTTCTTCACCCAGCCTTTCCAGGCTTCAGCTCATCGTAGTCTTTGCCTTCCCATTCTCACGAAGGCGGGGAGACCTTTGTCCAAGAAAGGGAATTCAGGTTACTCACCCACAGCATGCTGCTGTGCTTTCGTTTAGCATTCTGCCCATTTGGCCCTCGGCATTTTGGGAAGCTCTGCAGCTTGGCCTGGGGCTACTAATGGGCAGGATCCCACCCAATCTGTTGAGAACCTCAAAGACAGCATCACTGCTGTGGGTTAGGAAGGACTCTTGGCACCTCGTATTCAGATTCTGTCTCTCATTAGTATCATCATCTTTGAAGACAGACAGCAGAATTCTCCACTTTTGCCCCCATCTCCTACCTTGGAATCAAAATATTCTCCTTCTCCCAGCCTCCTAAGTAGGAATTGATTTGCATCAGGCAGTTTGACTCAGTAATGCAGTCAGCCTTCCTGAGGAGTTGACGCGTAGGCAACTTCACCTGGTGCCCCGCAGCTGATGGCTTTTAGATCACGAGTCTCTGTCCTCCATCTGTCCCCTCGACTCTAGGCTTCCCAGGTGAACAGGCTTCCCTCAAGGCTGCCTCCGTGCCTCCACCCACCTCTCCAAACTTACCTCTAGCCACACCTCACTGCAGATCGGCCCCAGAAGGGTGCTGTCAGCCTCTGTCTGCTCCAGAGGGTCCCTCCACATGCAGTTCCAGCAACCCCCACCCCAGCCCTGTCTCCACAAGTCACAACCCTGCCCACACACCAAGGCAGCAGGAGAGTCTGTACCTTCCCACCAGCCCCCAGAAAAGAGAGAGAAATTGAAAACCGAAGATTAAGTTTCTCTCCTTTCTGTGAATCCCCTTAGCCTGGGTCTGTGACAGAGGTCCTACCAGGGACATTTGCTCAAGATTCAGACTCAAGGGGGCTTCCAGTTCTAGCCAATGATACGATGGTTTGTGGAGAGCTTGTCCCGAGCATGGGGCTCCACTTTATATCCTCCATGTTTTCCCGAAGAGTCTTTTCGCCCTTACTTACAAAAACTGTTAGTGTCACTTGTGGACACTCCACAGTGGTGAAACCATTTCCTGAGCTCAGGATCCGTGTCTGCCAACCTTGTAAGTGCCCCTCTTGGGTGGTAACTTAGTGCCCAGAGACCCCCTGCCCAAGTCCCTCTGTGTCGCCAGCCATGGTGTTCCTAGATATGCCATGTGTTGCAACTGTCTTTTGAGCCACTCTCATGATGGGCTTCTTAATTTTAACTTTGTGTTTCTTAACTTGTAACTTCTAATAAGTGGTCCTTTATAATTTCCTATATTTTAAATTTAGTTCTGGCCCAGCACAGTGGCTCACGCCTGTAATTCCTGCACTTTGGGAGGCCAAGGCGGGCAGATCACCTGAGGTCAGGAGTTCAAGACCAGCCTGGCCAACATGGTGAAACCCTATCTCTACTAAAAATACAACAAATTAGCCGGGCGTAGTGGCATGCCCCTCTAATCCCAGCTACTTGAGAGGCTGAGGCAGGAGAATCACTTAAACCCGGGAGGCAGAGGTTGCAGTGAGCCGAGATCGCACCACTGCACTCCAGCTTGGGTGACACAGCAAGACTCCGTCTCAATAAAGAAACAAATAAAGTTCTTCATTAATTGTAAAATTAACATAAAATGAAACTTTTCCACATTCATTGCTGATGTTATTCATAGACCAGTGCTTATCTTCTTTTTGTTAAATTATAATATTTCATAGATTTGTCACTCCCTCCATTACACTTGGAAGAGCCTGCACTTCAGTCTTGATCAACAATTTAGCTGAACTGATGATTCATTATTTCTCCCAGAGTTTGCTGTCCAAGCCCACGTAAAACCTCCTGGCCCCAGTATTCGCCAGAACTACCTGGGAGAGCATCGTCCGGGAGCACCACCCACCTCCCATCCTGGGTCATGCTCCCCGCTTGTTCTTGTTTCCTCCCGCTAACTGACGCACCCTGTTCAAGGAGCAGAAGTTATTCCTCTCTTTCCTCTACAGCCAAGCAAATGCCTCCTGTTTAGCTGAAGCCCACCAACATTTGGTTTAAGGACTTATCATTGATGAACTAAAGTTACACAGCAATAGGATATGGAGGAGGAATGATAGTGAGGCTACGTAATCCCCAAATTTATCCTTCACCCCCAGAATTAAAAAAAGAATGTAAATGCGTCCTCTGCTATTTTACGACAGGATCTCCAAACCTGTGTAGTTTTCATCTGAGCAGGACTGCCCACCACAAGCCCTGCACGTGCTGTCTGTAGTCACTAACCCATCACTCCCGACCTGCGCCATCTGCCAACAGTTACTGGTCTGCCTTGCGACCAGCAATCTCCCATTTCCTTGTCTATTCAGAGGCTTAATATGGTCTTGAATTTTTTTTTTCAATCTGCTATGTAGCTATTGGATTTTAAATTGTATTAGACTCTGGACCTGTGCCAGGTGCTTGCTAGAGTTTCTGATGCTATCTTATATCATCTTTAGGTGGAAGGGGGAAAACGCCATTCAACTTTCGTGGTAATAAAATTATTGCAGTTGTGCCCTCCATCTGTTCACTGAACTTCCTGTGGGTTTTCACCAGATCACATGACTGACAGCAGAGATGGCTTTCAGGCTTTTGGTCTGCTTGTTGCACCCAAGTCTCAACCACCAAACCAGACCCTTGCTTTGTCTCTGAGCTGGGCGTCCGGATGTCCCACTGTGGTAGGTTGACTCACTGGAGCTGATAAAAACATTCCAGCCAAACTTGAGAGTCTAGCATTACCTCTGGCTCCAAAAATCAAAACAACAGGATTGCTGTAAGTAGCTTTGGATTGAGACCAAGCTACAAGCTTGAGGGATGAGTTTTCTCTCTTTGTTGAGCTGTGTCACAGGACAAGTATCTCGGAAAGAGAAGCGTGAAAGCCAGGGGCTCCTCACCAAAGTAGCCTGAGCTTGAGATAACCAGTGCCCTGCCCTGTGCCAGCCAGTTCTAGCTGAATTCCTGCCATGACTATGAGATCCAAGCCCCCGATCCTTCCCAGGCACCTCCTCTGCCTTCCCAGAGCTTTAGTCTAAGTCCTCAAAGCACGTTGACCTGAGAGTCACTAGCTAGAGCCCAAAGGGGTTCTTAGAAGCCCAAGGGAGGGAAGATGTGGGCAGAGAAGAGCCAGACGGATGTCGGAGTTAAGAGGGCCTGGCGATACCTGAGCAGCCGGGGCCCTGGGCCACCAAGAGGGTTTGTTGGCCATGGCAGAGATGAAGACACTCTCAAGTGAAGAAGTTGGACTTCCCTTAGCCTCACAGGATGGCATCATTGTTCTCTACAAAGGGACATAAAGGAAAGAGTGACCTTTTCTAGGTTGTTGATTTGACATTCAGACTGACATTTCTTGGACTCAGTCCTGACAAAATGTGTCCCCAGTGTCCTTAGTGCTAAATTAAACCTTTTGTCTTTCTTTTCCTTAGTACTTTAGACTTCTAAGACATCTTAGAGGGAGAAGCACATATTTTTAAGAATTGCTATTTAAGTCTCAAACCATGCTGGCTTTCTCTATAGGGAGGTAGATGGACAGGTAGATTCGGAGAGGGGGTCAAATTAAATTCAGCTCGGGCCTACCCAGGTTGACTGAATAACATTCTCAAAATTCTTTTATGATTTATGCCTAGTGTTCACCCTTTTAAAGTGTTCCCAGGCACTGCCCTTACAAACAGCTCCCTTCAGGAAAAAGGAAGCTCCTTACCATGTGCTTCCAGGTGTTTACTCTGTGTAGCCAGTCCTGGAGAACATGCATAAATAACAAACAGAGTGCGATTACCCTTTCTGAATCTTTTAGGTGCTGGTGAAAAGTTACAGGCAAACAACCCTAAGGAACAATCTCTCTGCTCCCTTGCTCACTGTGGGAGAGGAGCTGGCGCTATGGTTCGGGGAATGCGCAGTGCTGTCTGCATGTTCAGGTTTTCCAATAACGGCTGTGTGTTCACGCTGCTCTCTCTACCCGCTCTTTCAGTCCCCCCATGACCAGTAGTGCACACTTGGGAGACAGCAGTTTGGGAACCCAGTCTGTGGAGGGGACCAGGCCTTCACTAGCCAGCACGGACGGGGGCAGCGCCTGGAACCTCAGCCCACTTAGCTGGGAGCTCCCAGGCCACAGAGCAGCTCAACAGCAGCTTCAAGCTTGTCTTTGTTTTCAGCAGTTGGGAGCCTTAGCCTTTAAAAATGTCTATTGTCAACCTCCAGGACATTCAGATACCATCTCCAATGCAAAGTCTGTCTAAGTAGAAATCAACAAATGCTTAACTTCAGGGTTGCAGCTGAACCCAGGCCCAACCCATTCAACCCTTTCTTCAAGTGAACCCTGCAGAGCCTAGAGGCATGGCAGGGAATACACCTTTAGACCTTACTGGTCTAAACATAAAACCACACCTAGTCAGAATTGGAAGGAGCTCAAAGGTCCTTCATTTTTCACAAGGCTAGAAAACTGAGTCCTGAGAAATGCTATGACTTGCCCCAAACTGCCCAGCTTGCCACCTGCTGAGCCAAGACAGAGCCAAGGCCTCCTGTCCCCAGCCTGGGCTCACCTGGTGATCAACCCCATCACTCACAGTGAGGAAACACGGCCACAAAAGGTTAAGTGAGTTGTTGGTTAGGAGGATATTGAAGAAACATCTGAAGCTCATTATTATTACTTGAAAGACATGAAAACCTAGTGTCCACGTTGGCCACAGACATTCTAAGGGCACACTCAGGTCCCTTTTGACCCTGGGGAGGCTCCAGAGGAAAGGCCTGAGCTTCTTTCAGCTTCTGGCTCTACCACTCACTGCTGTGGCCTCTTTTTCATGTGACTTATTCTTTTGGGGTCTTGGTTTTTTAAATCTCTATAATGGAGTGAATAATACCTGTGTCACAGGATTTTTGTGCAGATTTTACGTCATTCGTTCATTTATTTAATTCCTCATTCAGCAAACGTGCCTTAAGATGTCAGTGACATGCCAGATGCTCATAAGGTCCCTGCCTTCTTAGAACCGATGTTTGTTCTAGTTGGGGAAACAAATGGTGCACAAGTCAACAAATAAGAGAAGCACCAATTGCACTGAGTGTTGTGAAGGCAATAAGCCAGTGAGCCGAGAGAGGCCACTTTTGTTTTTTATAGGGTGGTCATTAGTGAAGCAGGAAGTGCCTGGTACATGGCAGCTCTAGTCAGAGTCATTTCCACTGAGCTTCCTACTGGGCTGTCTGTGAACTTCAAGCAGAAGGCTTCATTCCTGGTCAACCACAGCCCCCGCAGCCCCGTGTGGCTCAGGGAGTTAGCTGCCATGCTGGATGTTGTTGAACGTGCTGCACGATCTTACAGGAAGATGGTAAACACCTAGGTCACATACATTGCAGAAGTTACCCCTTCATAGATGGTAAACCCTTCTTAGTTACCCCATTAGATTGCAAAAGCCTAATGTCACATACACTGTAGAAGTTACCCCTCTGGACTGGGTGCGGTGGCTCATGCCTGTAATCCTAGCACTTTGGGAGGCCGAGGCAGGCAGATCACCTGAGGTCGGGAGTTCAAGACCATCCTGACCAACATGGAGAAACCCCGTCTCTACTAAAAATACAAAAAAAAACTAGCCGGGCATGGTGGCACATGCCTGTAATCCCAGCTACTAGGGAGGCCGAGGCAGGACAATTGCTTGAACCCGGGAGGCGGAGGTTGCAGTGAGCCGAGATCGCGCCATTGCACTCCAGCCTGGGCAACAAGAGTGAAACTCCATCTTAAAAAAAAAAAAAAAAAAAAAAAGGAAGTTACCTCTCTGTCCACCTTATCATAACCATAAACCCACTCCAGGGCCAATCTTCTCCCCTCCAGTTGAGCCTGACTCTGAGACAGAGAAAGAAGGCAGTTCTTCAGCACCTGCCTTCTCTTACTGAAACAGCTTTGTTCTTTAAAAATGTTGATGAAGATGAGCTCAGTGCCTTTAAGCCATTTGTCAGCACTTGTGTCTGGTTTTCATGCAGGGAGGCTTATTTCTATTATTAAGAGTCAGTTGCCAAGTGAGAAGTATCCATTTGGGTGCATAAGAGAAATGGGCTTGTAAGAGAAATGGGCTCTGTAATCACATCTAAAGACTAGACTTCGCTATGACCAGGCCATAGTAAACATCATAGTATGTCTAGTCTTTAGGTTTGATTACAGAACATTATAAGAGCATCCCTTATACTTGCATGTCATTTTAATGTCAGTAATAATAGCCAACATTCATTAAGTACTTACTCTGTGGTGGGTACTATACCAAGCCCTTCACGTGGCTTATCTCATCCGATTGTCAGTACAACTCTGTGAAGTAGGAAGGATGGTTACATTCCAAGCCTCAGAGTATAGTAAACCTTAAGAGCCTGATCTGAGCAAGGATGTGAGACTAGTCCAAGGTCACTCAGCTAATAAGGACTGGCCTTTTAGCTCTTGAAGGCTGGGACCCCATGTGTCCTAGTGGCTGTATTTTTAGTCCTGTGCTTACTATACACTAGGCCCTCAGTAAGTATTTACTGAGTGAATGAATGGGAAAAGATGGGACTGAAACTCAAATTATCTGCCTGCCTTTGGAGTTGCTTTTTGTAGTTGTTTCAAAGATGAAATGAGTAACTATATGTAAATTCTTTGAATATGCCTGCCATATAATAGGTAATCAATTGTATTAGCTATAAATGCTAGGTATAATCTCAGAATTTATTATTTTTATGGAGAACTTCTATGGAAATAATGATCAGCTTGAAGAATAACTTCATAATAAAATCTACACGTCTTCTCTTGACAGATAAAGTTTATACTATTTTATACCATTTTTGTGTACTATCATATGCTATATACTGGATGTTCCTGAGATTTTGTTTGCAACATTTGAAAGCCATAGTTACTACCAGCCAAAGAGTGTACTTTCCGATTAGAGGAAAGATCTCTGTTGCTGAGAGATGTCCTGTGCCTTTGTGGAGGGTGAGATGAGTTATTGTTTCAACATCAACTTGAGGCATTTTCACTTCTGGTTGTACCAGGTGGTGGGAAGGATAGTCATGGGGGTGCCAGGTATTTTTTCCAGATCCTCTTTTGCAGGATTTAAGGGCAGTCTTTGACTCATTACTCCTTCTAGCGGAATAGTCATCAGAGTTTCCCCAAAGCCATGAGGGCAGGAAAACTTACTGCTAGCCCATAAACTTAGTAGCAGCCTTGCCTAAGTTTCTGTAATTCAGCTGGAAGGAATTCTTCTGAGAGCAGTTTACAGTTTATTGGTTTTATTTCCCATTCCACCCTCCTTAGAGATGCGGAAAGCAGCCTTGCATAAGCTGCCTCACAGCCTCTCCTAAGGCCTTCATGGGAAAACCCCCATGTAAGTCACTGAATGGAGAAAAGCTTTCACATCTTTGAGTCATTTTTATTTCTAACAATGAGAAGTGCGTTTTAACAGCGACATTACCACATCGAAATGTAAGATGTTATTATTCCAATGAAAACAAGCCACTGGGGGACTCTGCACACCCACCTAGCCCCTCTCTTCTCCCTGAGTCCGTGTGAGGTTTTCTAAAGTTTGAGGCCGTCCTAAGAACTAGGATTTTCATCTCCATTATCATGGATGAGTTTCATTTCTTCTTCACATAGCACCACAGTCCTCTCGTGATTATTGCCCTCATGTGGTTCTTTTTTTAAGGACCAGCAGCGTGCTGAGCTCTGTACCTCACACCCAGAAGGGTTTCGTGGAGCCTAAGAGAATCAAATTTAAGGATAAAGCATTAGGGTGGCCAGAACTCTGATGTCACTTTTCAAACTAACTTTGCACACAGTCAGACCCAGGCTTTAAACCTGACTCCACTCCAGCAGGCTGCATGACCTTGCAACCGAGCACTTAGCCTCTCTGAGCTCCGAGTTACCTTCTCTTCATGGGGTTGGCACTGGCCTCAGCGGGACATTTGGTGACTGACCAGGATGCCGTGGGAGCTTCAGACGGCATGATGTATGGGGAGCGCGGGTCGGTGGGAGCTACTTGTTGCCCCCCTCTTGCTACAAATGCAGATTTTTCACAGAAAAGAACATCATCGTGTTGGTACCTCTTAGACACCTGATTCCATGACAAAGACTTCCCTCTAAGCACCCACATACCTGAGAACCCCATGTCGGGCTGGAATCAACACAGTGTATGAGGAGGCTCCCAAACTCTCCAGGCCCTAGGATACCGCCCCACCAGCAGTTAGGGAACACCCAGAGAGCACTGTGCAGGGCAGGTGGGGTGCAAGGGGACTTCAGGAGTGGACGAGGAGGGAGTAGAAAGCTGGGGGCCTTAGGTGTCAGCTGAGAGGAGGGAAAGAATAAAGAAAGAAAAATAAAGCTGGGGCCTCATTGAACTCTGACTCGTGTCAGCAAGTGCTGGAAGTGGTGCCACATCCTGAGCTGATCAAACTTTGTCAGCCAGACTGGGCCAAAGAGCCCAGCTAAAGAAGTTGTCCCCTCCATTGCAGTCATGAGCAACATCATCAGCAGACACTGAGACTTCCAGCCTGCGCTGATGATGGCAAAGAGCTGGAAGGAAACACTGATGGTCTGAAAAGGCACAGGTTTCATTGAACTAGAACTAGTAGTTTTTGAAAAGGGGACTGCAGTGTGGGGGTGCAGGGTGTGGGGAGATCTAGGCCTAGGTAGTGCTAGAGCTTGGCGTCTATTTATATAACAGTCTGGTAGCCACAAAGTGGGGAGCTGCTGATCACTGAAGCCATAGCAGATGGGGGCTGTGTGTTGAAGTTACATCAATGGCCAGAACACCCTCCGTTTTAGGAATTCTTACACACTTGTTCAAGATGTAACTCTTGCCACAAAGTCTTTGCTGCTTCACTCTGCTCCTCTCTGATCATTCTGGAACTCTGAAGATCCAGCACTTAGATGTTTTTAGTTGGTTTTCTTAAATTTATTTTTCAAATTTAATTTTTTGGTTTAATTATTTTTAGAGACAGGATATCACTCTTAGGCCCAGGCTAGAGTGGACTGGCATGATTCTAGCTCACTGAAGCCTCGAACTCCTGGGCTCAAGCAATCCTCCCATCTCAGCCTCTTGAGTAGCTACAGACATGCGCCATCACATCTGGCTAATTTTTAAATTTTTTGTAAAGATAGGGTCTTGCTAGGTTGCTCAGGCTGGTCTTTAACTCCTGGGTTCAAGTGATCCTCCTGCCTTGGCCTCTCACAGTGCTGGGATTACAGGCGTGAGCTACTATACCTGGTCCAGATGCTTTTAGTCTTAATCACTGTAAATGTTATTTTAAAATTCTTGTTACTGTGTGTGTCTGTGTGTGTTGTGTCTGTGTGTCTGGTGTGTGTGTGTCTGTATGTGCATGTCTGTGTATGTCTGTGTGTGTGTCTGTGTGTGTGTGGGTGTGTCTGCATGTGAGTGTGTGGGTATCTGTTTTGTATGTATTGTGTGTGTATGTGTCTTGTGTGTTTTGTCTGTGGTGTGTGTGTGTGTGCATGTCTGTGTTGTCTGTATGTGCATGTCTGGGTGTGTGTGTATTGTGTGTGTCTGGTGTGTGTGTGTGTGTGCGCGCGCATGTCTGGGTGTGTTGTCTGTGTCTGTGTATATGTTGTGGGTATGGATGTTTGTGTTGTGTTTGTGTTATGTGTGTGAGTCTGTGGTGTGTGTGTCTATGTGTGCGTGTCTGTGTGTTTTATCTGTGTGTGCGTGCCTCGGTGTGTCTGTGTGTGTGTCTATGTGAGTGGTGTGTATTTGGGGATGTGGGTGTGGGTGTGTGTGTGTGTGTGCGCGCATGCAGCTCCTCTACCTGCTCCTCCCCTTTCCTAAATATCTTTTAAATCCACCCAGCTAGCATCATCCTAGTTCAGGCCTGTTTCCCCCTTCCCTGGACTAGGCTCCTGCCTCTGCCTGCTGCACTGTGCCCTCCAGTTCTCCCCGCTGTGATGGGAGCAGCCACTGCACAGTGCCATTCTCATGCCTTAGCCTTCAGGCCCTTCAGAGGCTTCCGGGACCTTATGTGCAGCTCCCCAGTCTGGCCTCTGCTCCCCGGTGTGTGCTCTTCCCCCACCCCCTCCTTAGCCTCCAGCCTCACACCCAGGCCTTTCCTGTGCGGGGCCCTCCAGGGGAGCTCACCTCCCCTTCGTCTGGCTGCCACCTCCTCCCTTCTGGCTCCTTGTCCTTCCCTGCCTTGCTGCCCTGTTATTATTGGTTTTTTGTTGCTGCTGCTGCTGTTTCTGTCTCTCTCCTCCATGAAGATTTACCTTCCATGAGAACAGGAGCTGGGTTTGGCTGCCGCACCCCCGTATCTCTAGGCCCTGGCCCACACAGTGCCTGCCTGGCACCTGCCAGCAGATAGTCAGTAGAATGAAGAATGAGTGAATGAACAAATGAATGGACTCCCATAAGAAGGACTAAATTAGATAATACATACAAAGCATCTACAGTGTGTCTGGGACATAGTTGGCCCTCAATACTTGGTTGATTGCTTCATTGATTCATTCACTCATCAGTTTATTAAGTGCCTGGCTAATATCCTTGGGGATGCAGCACCTGACAAAACAGATAAAAACCTCTCTGCCCTATGGGCCATGTCTTCCAGTATAGTATAATAAGTGTGGCTGTGGATGCATGTGGGGAAGTGTGTGGTTTCCTCTCTTTCAGCCCCCTCTTCCTCAGCCTTCCACCGTCCTCCTCCTCCCAGGACCCTGTCCCCTCTCTCCCCACCCAACCTGGGACAAGGGTCACCAAGCTGCAGCCACTCCTGCCAGCGACGCCTTGGCAAAGGAGAGGCCCAGGGGCCTTGGGTAGACTCTAGCCACTCCTCAAGCTGCTGAAAGTGGAATCACTTCCTCTGCCCTGGCTGGAATAAATAGGCCAGGAATAAAAGTAGAAAATCAAAAGCCCAAATCCCAGTGATGTGCTAAAACGCAAGTGCTGCCTTAGGCCACTGAGCTGCACGACTCCTTACATAACAGAGGACTGGAGTTTGCAGACCAGGGCACCTGCGATGTGTTTGTAGAGCCAGGCCTAGGCCTTTTCCCAGACTCCATGAGGAGCAGCCTCGGGCTCCCTCTCCGCAAAGCCAAAGCCATTGCTCCTGCCTCCAGGGAGGAAGAGACTGAGGCCAAGCTATGGCCAAGAAAGCTGGCCACCCCAGACCCCCGCTCCTCCAGAGTAGCCCCCCTCCACCGGTGGCACATGCCTACCCCTTCAGGTCAGGGCTCAGGATTGTGAAGGGGAAGGTCCTCACCTCCAGAATGGTGGAACCCTGAGGACAGTGCCTCTCAAAAGCCAGTCCCTAGCATTGCACTCTGGGGAATATCAGCCTGAGCCTTGTCTGCCTCCCAGGCAGGGTCCATGTCTCAGCTAGGATATTTCTCATCATACCTTAACCACTGTTGGGGTCCCTAGCAGGGAACTATCAGCCAAACTGACATTAGCCAACCAGGACCCATTGTGTTACTTGCTCTCTCCATCGGTAATTCACATTTTCTCAGGAGCCATTTGATAGCTGAAATATTTTAAAGCCCCAGAGCTTTCATGCCCTGTGACCAGTTGGCAGGGGTGGGTGGGCTCCCCGCACACCACAGCACCACCTGCAAACTCTCACCACTTTTGCTTGTGCATGGAACTGTGGGATTATAAAATCATCTTATTTTCATTGCAGAAATTTCCAGAATTGAAATTCAAATATGTGGAAGAGGAGCAGCCCGAGGAGTTTTTTATCCCCTATGTCTGGTCTCTTGTCTACAACTCAGCAGTCGGCCTGTACTGGAATCCACAGGACATCCAGCTGTTCACCATGGATTCCGACTGAGGGCAGGATGCTCTCCCACCCGGACCCCTCCAGCCAAGCAGCCCTTCAAGTTCTTTTATTTCTGGGTAACAGAAGTAGACAGACAGGTTACTTGGTGTATCTTCTGTTAAAGAGGATTGCACGAGTGTGTTTTCCTCACACACTTTGATTTGGAGAATTGGTGCTAGTTGGCAATAGATAACTCAGCGTAGATAGTATTGCAAAAAGGGGAGGAAATACACAACAATAATAAATGTAAAAACCTGCTATTCAACATGCAGTTTTATTTCGAAGCCAAAAATCTAGAGCTTTCCCAAGATCCTGTTGCCTTAGGCACATCACACTTCAACAGTGCACACTATCCAACAGTGCACACTATTCAACAGTGCACACTATTCAAAAGCGTAGACTATTTTTTTGCATGTTCAAGATATTTGTTTTGGTCTTATGTGTGTGTGAGAGAGAGAGATTCCTTTGACATTAAGGAGCATCAATGAGAAAAGATGATGAGGCAGGAATTAATAAAGAAATGAAGTCGTGTGTGTTTGGTTGCCTGTCAGAGGGCACACAATTTCATAAACACCATGCCTGGACAATTTGATATTAATATTTAACACCTCTGCATCTTTTCTTAAAAAAGAATATGGGCCAGATACAGTGGCTCACATTTGTAATCCCAGCACTTTGGGGAGCCAAGTTAGCAGAATCCCTTGAGCACAGGAATCTGAAACCAGCTTGGGCAACATAGTGAGATCCCATCTCTACAAAAAACTTAAAAATTAGCCAGGCATGATGGCACATTCCTGTAGTCCTAGCTACTCAGGAGGCTAAGGTAGGAGGATTGCCTGAGCCCAGGAGTTCAAGGCTGCAGTGAGCTAAGAACGTGCCAGTACACTCCAGCCTGAGCCACAAAGTGAGACCCTGTCTCGCAAAAAAAAAAAAAGAAAGAAAAGAAAAAGAAAATGGCTACTTCTCATGAAGCCCAGATTAACTTTTCTGTGAATATGGCCTGTGAACTGTTGCTGGAATTAAATTGGAGTCTAGCACAAATTAAGTTAATCTACTCTGTATTAATCATTGGGAAAAAGAAAAGCTTCATTTGAAAACAGTCTTTTTCCTTCACCCACACTAATAGAAAAAGGAGAGTAATTTGTTCATACTGTATTCCACGTGGGATGAAAAGCATGTTTTGCTCTTTGTTTCTGGGCCGGTGTGATCCGTGTGTTGGTGCCTGAGCTGGAGGAAGGAGCTTCTTGCAGGGAAACAGCCACTGGGGCCACATTGAGGGCCAGTTGGGACCTTCCTTTCCAGTCACACTCTGTGTCCTCACGGGCCCCTTCACAGTCTAGATAAGGAGCCTAGTTTCATTCTCAAAGAAAAAGTATTTGGTCTTCAACATAGAAAGCACAAAAGCCCAGACGAGACTGAGCACACTGTTCGAATCCACTGCCAGCTCATCTGTGTCAGGGCTGGCTTCTCCTGTCCTGTGTCCCAGGGCTGCAGGCCCGTGTTATTTGAGTCCATCAAATCTTCCGAGGGCCTCGGAGGAACCATTCTCAGTCACCCCAAGCTCTGTAAAAGGTCAAAACACTGGCAGCCTCTCAGTGCACCACTGTGTGGGCTCCACACGGGAAGGCCTGGCCAAGCTGTGCTCTTAGAGGCTGTCGAGGTAGGGCAGGAAGCTTCCCTATCCTCGTCTGGATGGAATGAAACAGAGGTTCCCTAAGGCCAAGGGACTCGTGGAGCGCCCATCCCGGGTGGGGTCCCAGAGGTGAGTGCAGCTTGCCTCCTGTCCCCAAGGGGCTTGTTCTGTCAGGCCTCCTCCAGTCACTGCTGGAGTGGGGACTCTGACTCCTGTGTTCACCTCAGAGCCCATGTACAGGCTAGAGGTGAGGCTTGGCAACAACTTCTACTAATACTTAGCTTTGTGGCAGAGCCAGTCTGAAGGAGGAGAAGCGCTCTCAGCCAGCAGGGGGAGTGATGATTATCATTTCAGGTAGCAAGGATATGTATTTACTATGTGGGGAAATAATTTGCAACTTTAATTTGTTTCCAAAGCATTTTGATTGGCTTCCTTTTCCTTTAAACCAAAAAATTGTTTAAATGTTTAAGGGTCATGTGGAACAGCTGAGCTTCTGGCAGGACCACAGAACTGTCCTCTGAGTCTGAGGGCTGGGCAGTGCCACAGGACAGTCCCTGGGCTGCAGGACTGTCAGTGCTTGTTGTGTGAGGAAATGAGGCCCTTCAAAAACCCAGTCATCTTGACAGAGGGCACACTCCCAAGGAAGGCCTGACTGGGGAATCATACAGCCTCTCCTCCAGGCCTCTGGGCTCACTGAGGTGCCCCCAGAACCCTGATTGCCCTCCCCTCTTTCCCTTTTCTCATTCATCACACAGTAGAAGCACTCACTAGCTAACAGCTCAGCTGGGGCAGCAGCCTCCATGGAGGCCTGCAAGTGATGCTCCCAGTCCTGGTTCCCGCTCAGGAGGGAGGCCCCACCACGTGCATCACTGCCTCAGCTCTGCAAAGTCACCAGAGGCTTCTTCCTGATTTTTGTGAAAGATTTATTATATGGCAATAAATCTGAATGATAAACTTTCATTATACTTGCATTAATTTTGAGTATTAGTTTGCTTAGAAATTTTTACACGAAGTAAAAATGTGTAATGATGCAACACAGGATCATCGTGTGTTCAGATGGAAATTGGCATCTGATTTTACCCCAGATCTGAAGCTGTTACTGCATTGTGTCATTTTATCAACAAAGACTTCTGCCACAATATTTACTTTTAAAAGAATTTGTCCCTTTCAATAGCATCTTCCCTATCAAGAGTTCAAGGCACTTTGCAGAAGAGCTTCAGATTTCTAACTCTAGTTCCCACAGTCACCCGTTGAGGCTGGTGTCATACAATCTATGAACAACAACCTTGCAGCAGGACTGCCACCATTCAGCAGTGCAGACAACACAGCTCAAGGACAAAGACAGAGAAAGGAAAGAAGAGAAGGTCCCTGAAGGTGAAGCATAGAAAGTACACTGCACACACAGTTCTCTCTGGAAGGAAAGCACAGGAGCTGGGAAGTAGACGATAGAAAGTGGAAAGGACACAGGACCAGCATCAGAACACTCAGCAACTTCCTAAGAGCTTGCTAAGGTACATCCAAGAGAAATATTTAGTGAGGGAAACTTTTAAGCACTGGAATTGTTAATATATCATACTTTAAGCAACATTTCGTCCTTTAGATTCCGGGAGCCAGGGTTTTGCATTGGGTGGTAGAGCTCTCTGCATAATTGAGTCACCCTGTGCTTTTTTGCAGAGCCATAAATTTTTGGCACTTGCTGATACTTCATAGGCTGGAGTCTCTGCAAGGTCAACCCTTTGGGTCTCTTAATTCTTTCCTAGGCACTATCCTGCAATATCAGTAGTTGCCACTTGATTTTAGGGACTGATTATTAGGCCTTCTGACTCCAAATTCAGAACAATTCCAGTGTCCTACATCACCTCCTGGAGTCAAAGAGGTCAGTTTCTATTCAGTGATGAAGAGCTAAGCTAGCTATGCATATGAAGAACTGAGAAGTAGATTATAACACACAATCCACAGCAAATAATGCATATTTATTTTGTATGAATTAAAGCATAAAATTTAATCTCATTAGCGTATAGCTATTCAGAGTTCCCACTCAAAGCAAGGGAGACTCACCAGTAGCCCCAAGACCCTTGGCCAGGTCATACTCAACCCCTAATCTAACTTCACAAGGCTGTCTAAATGTCAGCTACTCAGACACAGCCTCTGGCATTAGCAAAATCCCCCAGAGGAAAAGCAGCCCCATAGAACTGGACAAGTAATACTTAACTATCTTGTTGACTCTGGGGTCCTTCAAGCAAATTTTAAAAATATTTTTACCAGATTTCCAAGTTGTCCTTAGCTTGAGGGTTGGTCCTCCATTACTGTCATTGGACTATCCCTCATGGGTAGTGCAGTTCAACTTCTAAACCACCTCAGTACCTGAATGTGGTCCGAGGTGAAACCAGATTACTGATGCCTTCAGGTGCCCAATTGAAGCAAATGGCAAATTCTGTGGAGGAAGTAAACATAACCCAAGGCCTCAAATTATTTCTGCAGTGTTGCAATCAGAAATACCCAGGTATGGGAGAAGACCAGACAACATTAATTACTTGAATTAAAACCATTAGAGGAAAACACAGACAATAGAAATATCCAAACAGACTCCAGATAAAGTTGTCGCAGAATTTAAAACAGCTATGGTTACTGTGTTCAAAAAAATGAGACGCATGGTCAAGAATTTCAACAGAGAGTTAGAAACTGTAAAAGGCGCATTGGAAATTCTATAACTAAAGTACTGTAATGAGAAGAACAGTGAACAGGTTTAAGAGCAGATTAGAAATAACTGAAAAGAGAATGAGTAAGATGAAAAATTGAGGGTGAGGGGTGGGAGCAGGAATTATATAGTAAAAAAAACAGAACATGGAGAATAGAGGGTAAGAGACTTAAAGGGTACAGTGAGCATGTCTGACCTGCTCAGACATGCAGGGTAGTTGGCATCTCAAAAGAGTAGAAGAAAGGAATATTTAAACAAATGGCTGAGAACTTTTCCAAAACTCATGAAAGATATCACACCAAAAATTCAAGAATCCCTCCCACAAACTCCAAGTGGGATAAATAAAAACAACCCACACCTAGAAACATCATAGTAAAACTGTTGAAGACCAAAGAAAAATAATATTTTAGACCTGCTGGGGTGGGAGAGGGAATATAACCATTAAAGGAGCAATAATATTAGACTGACAGCTCCTTCTCAGCAGAAACAATGGAAGACAGTGAAATACTGCCTTTTATGGTTCTGAAAGAAAATGACTGCCAACCTAAAAATTTCTAATCAGGGAAAATATCCTGCAAAAATGAAGAGGATATGAAGACATTTTTAGAGAAACAGCTAGAAGAATTAATCAGCACGCCTACCCTAAAGGAAAATTTAAAAGGTGTTTTACAGGCAGAAGGAAAATAATCCCAAACGTAAGGACAGAGCCCTAGGAAAGATTGAAGAGCAATGAAAATGACACATAAATATTGACTACATAAAACAATAATTATGTCTTATGGAGTTTTAAATATATAGAGAAATAAAATGTATGAAAATGAAAGGATTTATGTGGGAATTTTAAGTGTTCTAAGACACTTGGCATCATCCAAGAAGAGAGTAAAAATTCATTTAATATTAGTCTTTGATAACTCATGTATGCATGATAATATTTGAGATATCAATAAAAGTGTATAGCTTTCCACATAATAAGAGAGAATTCGAATAATCAATTCAGTGGAAGATTTAAGAATTGCAAAAGAGTCTAAGAAAGAAGAAAAAGCAGAACAGGTGGAACAAATAGAAAGCAAGATATTTGTGATAAATCCATTATTACACTAAATGTAAATGGACTAATGCTCAAATGTTGACAAATATTGTCAGCCTTGTTTTAAACCATATGCTATTTACAAGAGACATTTTTAGAACATGAATTTAGAAATTTTGGAAGAAAAAGATGGAGAAATACATACCCAGCAAACAGTAACCATGAGGAAACTGGTGTAGATATATTTAAGTAAACTTTAAGGCAATAATTTTTTTAAGAAATAAAAGGGTCAATTCAATTACTAGAAAGATAATCTAAATTTATATGCACTTAAAATATAAACTCAAAATATGTAAAAGAAAATTTGATAGGAAATTTAGACAAATATGCAACCAGAGTGATATTTTAACATGCCTATTTTGTTAATTGGTAGAAAAACTAGCATACAAAAATCAAGTTATAAAAGATTTAAGCAATGAAATGAGCAAACCAAACGGATGTATGTAGGACACCAAACTCAATAACATACTTTTCAAACACAAATGGCACACACTCCAAAATACTGGGCTATAAAGGTTTCAACAGGCTAGGCACAGTGGCTCACATCTGTAATACTAGCACTTTGAGAGGCCAAGTCAGGAAGATCACTTGAGCCCAGGAGTTTGAGACCAGCTTGGGCAACATAATGAGGCCCCACCTTTACAAAAAATAAAAAAATTAACTGGGCATGGTGGCATGTGCCTATAGCCCCAGCTACTTGGGAAGCTGAGGCAGGAGAATCACTTGTGCCCAGGAGGTCGAGGCTGCAGTGAGCTATAATTGCACTACTGCACTCCAGCTTGGGTGACAGAGCAAGACCCTGTCTCAGAAAAAAAGTCTCAACAAACCTGAAAATACTTCAAATGAAATATGTTCTCTGACCATAATAGAATCAAGACTAATTATTTACAAAAAGATAATTTTATAATCCTCATATTTTTGGAAATAGATTTCCAGGTAACCCATCTGTCAGAATCTTAATGGAAATTTGAAATATTTTGAACTGATCATGAAAATACTACATATCAAAACAGAGAAAAAACTTGTGGGATGCAAATAAAACTATGCTTAGAAGACCTTTTAATTTTATTTTAAATTTAAAGAGTACCTGTTCAGGTTTGTTACAAGAATATATTGATGATGCTGAGGTTTGGGCTCCTAATGATCCTGTCACCCAGATAGTGAACATAGTACCCAATAGAAAGTTTTTCAGCACTTGCTTCCCTCTCTCCTTCCCTTCCTCCCTCGTTTTGGAGTCCCTAGTGTCTATTGTTCATATATATATATACACACACATATATATTTAAATGTTTATGTTAGAAAAGAAGAAAGGTTAAAAATCAATTAAGCAATTACCTCAAAAATTTTAAAAACAGCACATGAAACCCAAAAATAAGCCAAATTACTGATATAGAACACAAATATACAATAAAGGGAATCAAAGTCAAAAGTTGGTTATTTAAAAGGATTAAGAGGACTCATTGGCTGGGCATGTTGGCTCACATGTGTAATCCCAGCACTTTGGGAGTCACCTGAGGTCAGGAGTTCAAGACCAGCCTGGCCAACATGATGAAACCCCGTCTCTACTAAAAATACAAAAATTAGCTGGGCGTGGTGGTGGGCATCTGTAGTCCCAGCTACGCAGGAGGCTGAGGCAAGAGAATTGCTTGAACCTGGGAGGTGGAGGGTTCAGTGGGCAGAGATTGTGCCACTGCACTCCAGCCTGGGCAACAGAGCGAGACTCCGTCCCAAAATAAATAAATAAAAGAATTCATAACCCCTTAAAAGACTGATCAAAGAAGGAAGGAGAAAGGGCAGGAGAGAGGAATAGCCAATATCAGAAAGGAAAACAGGTAAGTTACTTCAGATTATGCAGACATTTAAAATATTTAAGAGCCAGCCTGGATAACATGGTGAAACCCTCCTGTCTCTACACACACACACACACAAATTAGCTGAGCATGGTGGTGTGTGCCTGTAGTCCCAGCTACTGGAGAGGCTAAGGTAGGAGGATTACCTGAGCCCAGGAGGTAGAGGCTGCAGTGAGCTGTGGTCATGGCACCACACTCCAGCCTGGGCAATGGAGTGAGAGACCGTGTCTCAAAAATATGTATACATATTTAAGAGAATATTATGAATACCAATAAATTTTAAATCTAGTTGAAATGATCTTTATTGCAGTGATAGGTGTATACATATGTCTAATCAAATTGTACACTTTATTACATATGTGCAGTTTTATATATTAAGTATGCCTCATTAAAGTTGTTTTTAGATTTTGCATAAAATGAACAAATTCTTTAAAAAAAAAAAAAAACTCTCCAAAACTGACATGAAACGATCCTGAACATTGGAATCATCCTATATCTAGCGCATACATTGAGTCCATAATTACAATCTGCCACAGGAAATTTACAGACCAAGATGGCTTCAGTAGTGAATTTAACCAAACATTTAAGAGTGAAATAATGCCAGTTTTAGACAGTCTCCCAGAAAATAGAAAAACCTTCTAATTTGTTTTATGAAAACAGCTTAACCTTAGATATAAAGAATTTGCCAAGAACAATACAAGAAAGGAAAATTATAGGCCAGTCCTCATGGTATAGATGCAAACAGAAACTAGCAATCTACAAAAACAATGTGTAAAAATACATCATGATCAAATTGGATTTGTCATTCACAAATCAATTAGAGTTATTCAAAGAATACAGAAGGAAAAGTAAATGATCTCAATAAATGCAGGGGAAAATGTGATAAAATTCAGCAGTCAAGTGCTAGAAATGTTTAGCGAACTAGGAAAAACGGAAGCTATCTTAATCTTATAAATATTATTTTAAAACTACAGCAAACGCATCATACTTAAAATATCAAAAGCTTTCATTCTGAGATCAGAAGCAAAAAAAAGGATGTCTATTATCACTTCTATTCAAAATGTCGCTAGGTGATGCTATGCATGCCTAAGTATTTAGTGGGGAGTGTACTGGTACCTTAAATTACTTTGAAATGCATCATGAAAAGGGAAAAAAGGATGGCTTGATGGATAGATATATATGTGATAAAGCAGATATAGTAAACTTGGTAAAATCTAGAATGGTAGAATCCAGATGGTGGGTATACAAATGTACACTGTACAATATTCAATTTTGCTATACGTTGAGGAAACTATCACCTGAGTTCCTGGCCTAGTATGGCAAGATTTCCTTTTAAATTAATTGGGTAGGGTCAGAAGAAAATGAACTATCATTATTTGTAAATGACATGATTGAGGATATAGATAATTTAAAGAATTAGCCAATAAACTAGTAAAATTAACAAGGCTTCTGGACACAAGGTCACAGACAAAAATAACGTGTATTTCTGATGCTAGCAATAAACAATTAGACAATGAAATTGCAAAGGATATGAACAGATACTTCTCAAAAGAAGACATTTATGCAGCCAAAGACACATGAAAAAATGCTCATCATCACTGGCCATCAGAGAAATGCAAATCAAAACCACAATGAGATACCATCTCATACCAGTTAGAATGGCGATCATTAAAAAGTCAGGAAACAACAGGTGCTGGAGAGGGTGTGGAGAAATAGGAACACTTTTACACTGTTGGTGGGACTGTAAACTAGTTCAACCATTGTGGAAGACAGTGTGGTGATTCCTCAAGGATCTAGAACTAGAAATACCATTTGACCCAGCCATCCCATTACTGGGTATATACCCAAAGGATTATAAATCATGCTACTATAAAGACACATGAACATGTATGTTTATTGTGGCACTATTCACAATAGCAAAGACTTGGAACCAACCCAAATGTCCATCAATGATAGACTGGATTAAGAAAATGTGGCACATATACACCATGGAATACTATGCAGCCATAAAAAAGGATGAGTTCATGTCCTTTGTAGGGACATGGATGAAGCTAGAAACCATCATTCTGAGCAAACTATCCCAAGGACAGAAAACCAAACACCACATGTTCTCACTCATAGGTGGGAATTGAACAATGAGAACACTTGGTCACAGGGTCAGGAACATCACACACTGGGGCCTGTCGTGGGGTGGGGGGAGGGGGGAGGGATAGCATTAGGAGATATACCTAATGTAAATGATGAGTTAACGGGTGCAGCACACCAACATGTCACATGTATACATATGTAACAAATCTGCACGTTGTGCACATGTACCCTAGAACTTAAAGTATAATAAAAAAATAAATAATAAAACAAATACTCAGAGATCAATCTAAAATAAAGTGTGATTGAAACTAAAGATCTAAATAAGGGTTCCCTAAATAAGGGACCACTCCAGGGTCATTAGATTCATAAGTTGGAAGGCTCGATATCTCAGAATTGATCTACGGATTCAATGCAATCTCAATCCAAATCCCAGTATTTTGGGGGAATGGGAAAACTTGACAAATTGGTTTTGCCTAAAATCTACATGGAAATGCAAAACGCCTAGAATTGCACAGAAAACCTTGAAAAAGAATAAAGCCCATACTTACATTGCTAGATGTCTACAACTTACAGATGTACTCTAATTAAAACCTATAGGCCAGGTGCAGTGGCTCACACCTATAATCCCAGCACTTGAGAGGCTGAGGTGGGAGGATTGCTTGAGACCAGCCTGGGCAACATGGTGAAACTCTGTCTCTACAGAAAATTTTAAAAATTAGCCAAGTGTGGTGGTGCACACCTGTAGTCCCAGCAGCTGGAGAGGCTGAGGCAGAAGGATTGCTTGAGCCCAGAGGCAGAGGTTTCAGTGAGCTGAGACTGCACCACTGGACTCCAACCTAGGTGACAGAGCGAAATCCTATCTCAAAACGAAAACAAAGACTTACAAATTTACTCTAAGTTTAGTATTGTTATAAGGGTAGACAAAACATATTGATGAAATAGAACTTAAAGGTCCACATATATAAGGACAATTGATTTGACAAAAGGGACACTGCTGGGTAATGGGGAAATGATTTTTTTCCCCAATAAATGGCGTTGGCACAGTGAAGGGAAAATGAATCTTGACCCCTACTTCACTCTGTCTGCAAAATCAGTTCCCAGGGGACTATAGAGCTAAATGTGAAATGTTAAACCATAATATTCTAGAAGAAAGCATAGGAGACTATCTTCATGTCCTTTAGATAGAAAACAAAAAATACCAACCATAAAGAAAAGGTCAGATAAATCAGATTACGGTCAAATTAGGAACTTCTGTTTAACAAGAGACATCAATAAGAGAGTGAGAAGGTAAGCTACAGAGTGAAAGCAGATCTTTGTAATGTATAGAACCACAAAGGAGTCAAATAAAGACTATATAAAGGATTCAATGAGGAAAAATAAAATTGGCAAAAGACAGGCATTTCTCAAAAATGTTTTCAGTTCACCAATAACATAGAAAAGTGCTGAAATCAAGGAAAAATTCAAATTGAACCCACAATGAGATACCCCCTACTCACTCACCAGAATGGCTAAGTTAAAAAGGTCAACAACATCAAGTGTTTGTGAGGATGTGGAAGAACAGGAAATCTGATACCCTACATGTAGTCCATGTAGGACTATAAATTGATAGCACTTTGAAAAACTGTTTAGTAATATCTACCAAAGTTGAAGATACTCATCCCCTAAGACCTAGCAACAGGTTCAAGACTGTTGATAGTGCAATTATTCATAATACCTAAAAACTGGAAACACCAGGAATATCAACAGTAGAACGTGTAAATAAATAGCAATATATCTATGCAATGTAATACTATACAGCAGTGAAAAATAAATAACCAGCTGCATTCAGTTACACAGATGAAACTCAAATATTATAGCATCTAAAAGAAGACTGATACAAAAGAATACATACTGTATGAGCTCATTTACATACAGAAAACAAGGCCAAAATAAACCTATAGTTTGGGGATGTACACTTAAGTAGTAAAACTTTGAAGAAGGACAAGTACATGCCTAATGTGAAAGCCAGGATACGGGTTACTTTTGGGAAAACAGAAGCGACCGTGATTGGGAGAGGCATAGGAGGGACTCGGGAAGCTGGCAGCGTTCTATTTCCTCATGGCCAGTGGTCATGTAAGTGTTTCATTGGCAATAAATCAGTGAACTGTTCATTTTCATCTTATGTATTTTCTGTATGTTTATTAGATTTTACAATTAAAACTGTTAAAGCTAATCTAAAGCTAATTTGCATTTTAAACAAGACTGATAGAAATTTACCACAGAATAAGTTAGTCATTTCTCTTAAATGTTTCCTCACCCACTAAATTCTAGATGGGTCTTGCTAGAGGAACAGTATTGTAACTAGTCCTAAAACAATGAATGAAACAGAGAAGATCTGGCTTCTGGGAGGTTGAGTTGGTTGTTTTTCTTAAGTTCTCAAGCTTTCCTCTTGGATATTCGATTACTGTTAAATGAATTTCTACCGACTGATGCATGGAGCCCAGTGAAATGGCTGTTCATTGAAATGAATGCCAAAATCGCCCCTCCCCACAGACACTTACTGACACCCCACAGTAGGTGTCAGTAAGCCCTGATGAGCCCAGTCTCTACCCCCAGCCCCTTTCCCCCGCTCAGTGCTGTCGGGCCTCACACCTGAGCATGAGCAGGGCGACCCTCCGCACCCAGCCAGGAACACTGCCTGCCATGAGAAGGGCCCCCTCCCCCTAAGCATGGGGATTCCTGGTCTGTGTTCTTACCACTTCCTGAGGCAGAGGAGGGGCCTCCAACCCAAGACGGAATTTCTCTACACGTGTGGCAGCTGCTGTCTGGGCTTTGGGCCCCCAGCTCTGAGCCAAGGCCATGGAGAGACACTTAAATGTAAAGCCCTCGTGGCCACCCTGGGCTTTGGGGAAGCAACTCCACTCTTCACCCTACTCTGGCATTCACTGGCCGCGTGGCCTTGGCAAGTCCCCCACACTTCCTGACGTCACCGTCTTCCTTGTGAAACGGGACGTTTACATGAGACACTGTGTAAGGGGGTGACATCCTCATGACATTACAGTTCACGTTTCCATCTTCTCACATGCCTGTACTCATCTGGGCCCCGGCCCCACCCGTGATAGAGGAAAGACAGAGAAAGAGGCTGAGAAGTCACACCGCACCTCAGATCTCATCATTCTCCCACACCCCACCACTGTCCTCAAAATCCTTATTTTTTTGGAACATCGAGAAGCCCCTTGCACCCAGCTCCCACTATGTGGATGGGGACATGGATTGCTTCCTTGAAAATGTTGCTATTGCAGCTGATAGAGTGGGTCCACTGTCCCTGAAGGGGGCCCAGGAAGAGCTTGTCAGAGAAGAGACCTCCTCCCTGGCCTCCAGGGTCCTTCACTGCACTTGGGGAGATGAGACAGATTAGCGTGTGAGCCAGGGACGTAATTCAGCCAAACCATCACGGAGGCTTGGGGGTGGGCACCCATCCGTGATCATCTTCCATGACTCCAGAGCCTGAGTTTCAGTTCCATGTGCCAACTGTGAAAGCTCAGGCTGACACAGTCTCTTGGGGGCTCAGTTTCTACATCTTCCTATACCAAGGTGTGGTGGAACAAGGTTAGAGTCATCGAAAACAGGCCATTTGCTTCTTTGGGCAGGGTTACTAGAGGGTTAGGGCACCCGCCAATGGAGAGGTGGTGACCTAAGCAACAGTTCTCAAAGTGGGATCAGGAGACCTGGGGATCCCTAAGGTGCTTTCATCATCATCATCATCATCATCATCATCATCATCATCATCATCATCATGTTATTTGCCTTTTCTCTTTCATTCCTTCATGAATGTTCGGTGGAGTTTTCCAGAAGCTGCATGTGTGTGATATTGCAACAGATTGAATGTGGAAACTGATATGAGAATCCAGCTGTCTTCTATTAAGGCAGACACTAGAGATTTGCAAAAATGCAAAACGATGCCACTCTTTTCACAAATCTTTTTTTCTTTTGAAACATAGTATTCTTCATAAAAGTTATTTATGTTAGCATGTCATGGGTTTAGTATTGTTACTCTTTAGTGAGTTACTATTTTTAAATTTCTGTTTAATTTTTTAATAAATATGGACAGATATAACCCACATAAACAAAAGTTTTTAGGAGTCCTCAGTAGTTTTTAAGAATGCAAAGTTGTGCCAATCCCAGAGACTTTGAGAACTGATCTGAGGATGGTTTCTAGAGGGATGGTTCTGGTCTCTGCTTCTCAGCCCAGCCCTGTACAACAGTTTTATCAGCGTGTGGAGGAAGATATAGAAAGAATGTTCTCCACATCTGTGAATGATGAGGTGACGGGGCTACTCAATACAGCACATGATAGAGAGGATCCAGAGAGAGGAATGGGCTGAGTCCCAGGGATGAGATGTGGCAGGAACCATCGTGGAGCTCAGCCCTTGCATCTGGTGGTTTGGGTTTAGGAAAACGAGTCCCACTCGGTGGCTTCACTCAGGACAGTATTTAGGAGTTCCAGTTGTGTGTAGTGGCTGCCAAAAATGATGATGTGATTATTCCTCATTGGTAGATATAACGGGTACCCAGGACAGGGTGGTCACCATGCTGATGACAAATTCAGCTTTTGTCTATCTATAAATGCCTTTCTTTTATCTTCATTTTTGAAGATGTTTTCAAAATTCTAGGTTGGAGTCTTGCTCTGCACAGGCTCAGCTTAGCCAGTGACTTAAGAGGAATTACTGGCAAATTTGGGGCTCCTTCCTCTCTAGTATATTGTCCCTCTTCTTCCAGCCACACTGGCTACCCCAACCTGCACCCTCTGACTCGCAAGCCCAGGAAGACTGTGACTTTGCTTCGGCTCTATTTCCTGGGTCCTGGTGCACCGGAAGGGCCGTGGGGAAATGCAGGTGAAGGAGGATGTTACTTAATGATGTCTCCCTTTCCCTATCCAACATCCACGCACAGCCGCCTTCCCCTGCAGAGAGCACCACACACCCTCCCCAAAGAACAGGAGCCCGAAGACAGTTCCATGTTGTGACTGCACCGGCCTCATGTCTGGCTGTGGCCTTCCTTCCTACATACAGGAGGCAAGAGTTTGACCTAACCTTTTTCCACTGCATAACAAGAGACACCAGCTTTCTACCCATGCTGGGTGAATTCCCACCATCTACCACCAGCCATCTCCCGTAAGTGCATTTTAGGTGATGTTATTTGCAGTAAACATGTAATCTACTTGAGCTAATTTGGGGAAAAAAGCGTTTATTTCTGAATATTAGATAGCTGCCCAATTCCAGGGTGAGCCAGGGACCTAAGCTTGGATGACACCCAGCCAGGGTAAACTCCCAACTGCTCCCCAGGACTGAGAGGCAACGTGGCTGCTGCCCTGCCCAACACTCGGCATCCTGCCATGCAGCTAGAGACCAGTCGTGAGACTCTGCCCACAATGACCCCGGAGAAGCCAAGGGCCACTACTTTGCCTGCATGCCCACGTACTTGCCGTACCCAATGCTCACTCCACTTTCCAAGTCCCAGCTGGGTGGCCCTTCTTGGAGAAAGCTGGGCTGAATGCAGAACCCCAGCCTCAGAAGTGCCTGGAGAATGAAGCCTTTTGCTTTCCAGCCTCTACTGTCTGGAGAGCCCTCTCTATGTGGGGAGATTGTGTCTCGAAGACAGACCATGATGTGTGCACTTCAGCTTAGGCTATGGTTTGAGGCTTAAGTGAAATAGCATTCAAAGAATGGAGAATGTGGCTGGACCTGTAATTCCAGCACATTGGAAGGCCAAGACAGAAGGGTCACTTGAAGTCAGGAGTTTGAGACCAGGCTGGGCAACATAGTGAGACCCTGTCTCTACAAAAAAAAAAAAAAAAAATAGCCACATATGGTGGTGTGTGCTTGTGGTGCCAGCTACTCAGGAGGCTGAGGTGGGAGGATTCCTCGAGCCCAGGAGGTCAAGGCTGCAGTGAGCCATGACTGTGCCCTTGTATTCCAGCCTGGATGACAGAGCAAGACTATATTTTTTTAAATGGAGAATGTACCTTCTCAGGGAGCAGGGATTTATGTGTGATTTCTGCACATCTGCATCCCACACCTTGTAATCTACCTGATTACAAGAAATAATGGTTGAATAATGTGAGCATTTAGCACTGTGTCTAGAAATGGTAAGCCCTAAGGAAACCAGAGCTGGTGTCATCTCACAGGTTAGGAAGCCCCAGTGAGGGCGAAGACAGCAGCTCAGTGCCATCCTAAGGTCCTATGCTGTGTCCCTCTGTACTTGACACCCTCTGGCTGGCTTCCCTCATACTCACAAGAGGGCTGCCACAGCTCCTGGTGTTACATCAGAGCGTGATCTCATCTGGAGTACAGCTCAGGAGTGGGGCTCCTCTCCCAGAGGCCCCTTCACATTTCCATGCCCAGGCCTGTTTCCCACACCCATTCCTAAACCATTATTGGCAAGGACAGGAGTCCCCATCATGGCACCGAATCAGGGTCGGGGGCCAGCCCACTTAGCTGCGGAGAGGAGAGTGAGTCCCAGGATATTAATCAGGCTCTGATATGGTTGGGATGTTGGTCCCCTCCAAATCTCATGTTGAAATGTGATCCCCAATGTTGGAGGTGGGGCCTGGTGGCAGATATTGGATCATGGGGGCGGATCCCTCATGGGTGGCTTAGTGCCATTCCCTTGGGGATGAGTGAGTTCTTACTCAGTTAGATCTGGTCATTTAAGAGTCTGGGGCCTCCCCCTTGGCTCTCTTGCTCCCTCTCTCGCCACGTGATACACTGGCTCCCACTTCGCCTTCAGCCATGACAGTAAGCTTCTTTTGGCCTCACCAGAAGCTGAGCCGATGCTGGTGCCATGCTTCCTGTACAGCCTGCAGAACCATAAGCCAATCGAACCTCTATAAATTACCCAGCCTCAGGCATTCCTTTATAGCAACATGAAACAGACTAACACAGACTCTTTCAGGAAGAAGGACAGGGAACGCAGGGATGGGCAGGTGACCAACCATAGTTTGCCCACGGGCAGAGGAGAAGGTCATGGCCAGGTGTGTAGTGAGAATCCCCAACCAGAGCCCTCCCAAGTCCCGGCTCTCAGCCCTTCAGTCAGATGAAGCTGCTCCGGAGCCAAGGGACAGTTCCCAGGACAAAGTCCAGCTCTGCCCATGGTTGGCCAGGAGGCATGGAGAACAGACATGTCCATAGCCCTTCATGGCCTCCCCAGCCAGTCCTCAGCACCCACTACACACACACACACACACACACACACACACACACACACACACAGAGACTGCATGATGGAAGGCAACTTCTCCACCTCCCGGAGTCTGCTTAATAGGAAACAGGGTTTAGTGGAACAATTGATGGCAGCCCGAGACCTCAAACTGGAAACATCTGTCCTTGCCATAGCTCACCCTCCCCAATCCAGCCCCAGCCCAGCTCCTGAAGGGGCCCACCCGCCTGGCCTGGGGGACTCAAAAACCTTCCAGGGATAAGAGTGGAGTCCCCAGCCTGGGAGAGGTCTGCAGGCTCCCAGCTCTGGACCCCAGTGCCGACTCAGGGCTGATGGTCCCAAGGAAGCCCTGAGCTAGACTTTATTTACCCACCCCACTGGGGGCCAGGGCTGAGCAGAGAGATGTCTCAGGGGAGGGGTGTAGCCTTAGCCCCCCGCCCCAAGACCCTCACTCGTCCCCCTGCCTCTGCTCTGTCCGGACCACCCTTTCTGTCCCATCTCCCTGGTCAGTCACTGTCCCCCTTCAAGGCCAGACTCAGCAGCTGTCCTTGCAGCCAACCCAGCTGGTCAGATGCCCCTCCCTGGGCCCACAGTGTCCCGGTCGGGACCCTGACTCCACGATGTTAGGAAGCCCCTCGGGGCAGCGTCATGCCATGCGCTTCACACAGGAGCCCCATCGCCATGTTGGCATCTGTAAGGTCCCCAGGAACATCCGGACAGGAGAGGTGACCAGATGCTCCTGAGACCAAGGAGCTATGGCACAGGGTTGGGGCCACACTGAGTTCCAAACCACGGAAGCTGATACCCACACACTTGGCTCCCTCCTGGCCACTACTGCTGGGGCAGAGACCAGGGTGCTCCCCACCTCCCCACCTGGCTACCCTGGACAGAACCTGGCCCTGCAGCAGCTGCCTGGCTACCCAGGGGCACCTGTGTGCCTGGGCTGTCACTGGACTCTCTGAGCCTCAGTTTCCCCATCTGTACCTGGAATGCCAAGCCTGTAGAAGCAGGACTGTGGAGCACAAGATGACAGATGCAGAGTGCCCAGGAAGCAGGGGATGGAGAAATGGCAGGGGCTCAGTGGTGGCGACTGTCACTGCAGGCTGCCAGCAATATTGGTCCCGACCTGAATTCACCTGGATGACAACCTCATGGAGGGAATTTCCCTGGGTGTGTGTTGAAGAGATGCAAAGACCAGGCAGTGGGGCGGAGCAGCACCTAAGCCCCAAGAGCTCTGCCCAGAGCCTGGCATGGGGGGCCTTGTGGTGGGGCTGTCTGTCTTTTGGGTGAGTGTAGAGGGAGCAGAAGAAACTGCCTGGGGCCAGAGCCTGGGTCTTAGCCACCTCTGAGGAGGACTCACCTCATTGACCAGTTTAAATCCCGCCTCCTCCAGGAAGCTGTCCTGGATCAGCCCAGCTCCAGTATCCTTCCTTCCCGGGCTCCCAAAGCTCAACCACAGTCCTGCCATTCCCGTTACCTGCCAAGCGCACAGGACAAACAAAACACCAGCATCAGCGATGAGGAGCTGGCCCTTCCTGTGCCAGGTCACCAGTCTGCATAATGGGGATGACATTCTTCCCTACAGACCTCAGAGGCCGTGGAGGCCAGAGGGGAGGTTGGCCCGCCCTGAGGCTAGGAGGAGGCTTCCACTTGGCAGGGGGCTGTTGGCTGAGGGATGTAGGGGCTGAAGGATCTATTGTCATTGGGAGAGGCTGGTGCCAGGGTGTGTGGAGAGGGGGCACTCAGGGAGGTGAGTCCTGCTCAGGGTCGGTCCTGCCCAGCCACTGGCTGCACCAGTTAAAGCCCCACCAGGACAGAGCTGGCAGAGCAGGGGTGTCCAGGGCAGAGAAACATCCTCAAACCAGCCACTCCCCACCCCATAGAGAGCAGGAAGCCCCAACTCAGCCTCCTCCTGGGCGTAGAGACCAGGAAACCAGATGTGGTGAGACGGCCATCTCAAAATGCACACATCTTCAAAGCGGGGCTATTTTCCATGTCCTTTGGACAATTTTAGAACAAATTTGTAACACTGGGATGCTAATGGATGACAGTCATGCTGTGTTCATGCAGGTATCTGTGTCTGGGCACCTTCGGAGGCTGTTGCTGATACAGCATCTTGGGAGGTGGGGTGGGGAGGTGTTTCTTAAAGGACCTCCAGATTTCCTTTTAGGTTCACTGCATGTTGCAAAGGACTGAACCTTCAGGAACTGGGGGAGGGGCTACAGAGCCAGCTGGCGAGGGGGTGTGGGCAGCCCTGAGGACCCCCTGTCTGGGGGGGTGGGGGTGGAAGGCACAGTTTCGTCTGAAACCACCCTTCACACACCCCCTTCTCCCAGCTCCACACGGAATCCGGGTGTATTCACGCGCTGAGGCCACCACGACAAAGTGCCACAAACAGGGCGGCTGAAACAACAGATGTGTATTTTCTGACCATTCTGGAAGCTGGATGTCCATAATCAGGGCATGGGCAGGGCTGGCTGCCCCTGAGGCCTCTTGGAGAGGCCTTGCCTGGCTCTTGGAGCAGCTGCCCTTAGTGGTGGGGCTTGCAGACGGCCACCTTCCTGCCGCGGCCTCGCACGGTTGCCCCTGGTCTGTGTCTTATCTGTGCCCTAATCTCCTCTTCTTTTAAGGACATCTGTCATGTTGGATCAGGGCCCACCGATATGGCCTCACTTTAACTTCACTACCTCTCTTTAAAAACCCCATCTCTGGGCCAGGCACAGTGACTCATGCCTGTAACCCCATTGCTTTGGGAGGCTGAGGCCAGGAGCTTGAGACGAGCCTGGGCGACATGGTGAAACCCCATATCTACAAAAAAATACAAAAATTAGCCAGGCATGGTGGTACCTACCCCTCATCCCAGCTACCAGGAAGTCCGCGGCAGGAGGATCTCTTGAGCCCAGGAGGTAGAGGCTGGGGAGGGCCGTATCATGTCACTGCACTCCGGCCTGGGGGACAGAGTGAGGCCCTGTCTCAAAAAAACAAAAACAAAACAAACCCATCTCCAACACAATCCCATTCTGAGGTACCAGGGGTTAGGACTTCAGTGGAGGAACTGGGGGGACATAATTTAGCCACAACACCAGACGCCTCTCATTACTTTGGTCTGACCCTCAGTGCTTCCCTGTTTAACCACGTTTCTTTGCTTTCCTCTTCTGTCAGGGGCCCTCCCCACTCCACACTCCCTGCCCAACATACACCCACCCATACACAGGATTGGGGGTCCGAGAGCAGCTCCTTTGCCATCCCCGCCAGCCTGAGCTTTCTTCTCACCCAGCAGAGCTGTCCATCCCTGAAGCAGAAACGTGGGGTCCACTGCTCCCAGGCAGCTCTCTCCCTGTGAACTCTGATTCTGCCTCCTCCTGGGGATGAAGGCCCCAGGGTTCCCCATCAGCCCTCCAGCCTGGCCTGATTTGTACAGCCCCTCCCTGGACCATCTCTCTGCGGCACCCCAGAGGCGGCTCAGTAGACCAGGTGACCAGGACAAGGGCCGCAGGAGGTTCGGGAGGAGAGGCAGGCCAGGGCCAGGGTGCTTTGGGCTGCCGAGGAGACGTCCCACAGGCCACCCAGGATGTGGTCTGCCCCGGGGACATGGATTTGGGGTCCTGTGCATGGGAGATAAGCATAAGCTAAGGTGGAGATCCTGGGGTACACCCACATTTAGGGGTGCTGGACAGAAGGGAGCTCCTTGGGGGGAACTGAGGCCCAGGCATGGAGGAGGAGGAAGGAACAGAAGGGAGAAGGGGTCATAGAAGCCAAGGGCCAGGGTATCACCGAGAAGGCTGGAATGGGGCTGAGAGGTGAAGAAAGGTCACGCAGAAATGAGCACAATGAATTCAGCCACCCAGAGGTGCCAGGCTCCGTGGTGACAGGAGTCTTTGTACAGGGTGGGCAGGAAGCAGGTGGCAGCTGTTTTGTTTATCAGTTACTGCATGACAAGTAACGCCAGAACTCAGCTGCTTCAAACAACCGTTTTCTTATGCACCCAGATTCTGTGGTTAGGAGATCGGACAGGGCGCAGAAGGGGCAGCTTGCCCCGTCCATGATGTCTAGGGCTCACTGGCAGGTCTCCAAAGCTGGAGCCAAAATGACCTGGACGTGAATGTCTTCCCTCAGGTCTTGGGGGGCGACGCTGGCTGTGGTCTGGGACTTCAGCCGGGGCTGTCAGCTGGAACCTGGCCTAGGGCCTGGGATTCCTCCCAGCATGGGACCTCACAGTAGCTGGACTTGGACGTGGTGGCTCAGGGCACCAAGCAAGTGTCCAGCACACCAAGCCAAGGCTCCATCACCATTCACTCCAGAGCCTGAAAAGAGGGAAGGCAGCATCATAGAGGGGCTGAAGAACATGGACCCCGGAGACAGACCACCTGGGTTCCAATCACACTCCAGCACGTACTGGCTGTGGGACCTCTCAGGGCCTCCATTTCCTTATCTATAAAATGGAGGTAATAATTGATGTTCACGCAAAGCTGTTACGAAGATTAAGCCCGTGCTGCAAGGTGGCGCCCTCAGAGCAGAGCCTGATGCATCCATGGTCCATGCCTCACAGGTGTGTGTTGCTGGAAGTGTTATCCCGAGGGGAGCTCCTAAGAGGCAAGGCATGGGCACGCCTGTGGGAGGGGAGGCGGGAGCCCAGGGAAGGGAGAGCCTGCAGCCTCGGGGGTGGGTGGTGCAGGCCTTCCAGGGGCCAGGGCAGCCTCCACGTGCAACGTCACATTTCATCTGTGCCTCAAAGTCCATATGGGGGAGATCCAGCTTGGGGACACCATGAGCAAGGGCTTGGTCAGCCCCAAATCAAGGCAGGTTCAGAGAATGGGAAGTGGCTCCACTCAGCTGAGGCCATGGCCAGTGGAGAGGGTGGCCCCAGCCCTGGCCCAGTGGGTCCTAGTTAGGGCTGTGATGATGATTTTGATATTTGAGAACATGTGGCAGGCCCAGCAAAGTGGTTTCAGGTCAGCTCTTCCATTCCAAGCCCATTCCCCTGCCCAACAGTCACTCCTTTACTTCACTGTTGCCATCCTTAAACAGGGCAGAGGCCGTGTGAGCCCATTAGGACACAGGTGTGAAATAACTCCCCAAGAGGCTGTGTGTAATCCCAGTACTTTGGGAGACCATGGCGGGAGGATCACTTGAGCCCAGGAGTTCAAGACCAACCTAAGCAACATAGTGAGATCTTGCCACTAAAAAGCATTTTAAAATCTAGCTGGGTGTGGTGGCACACACCTATATTTCCAGGAGGCTGAGGCGGGAGGATTGCTTGAGCCCAGGATGTCGAGGCTACAGTGGGCTATGATCATACCATTGTACTCCAGGCTAGGTGACAGAGCAAGACCCACCTCTTTTAAAAAAAAAAAAAAAAAAAGGCTGTGTGGACCCAAGTATGCATGCGTGTGCATGTATGTGTGTGTCTGCATGTGTGTGCACGTGCGTGTGTATGTGTCTGTGTGTAACAATCAGGGCCATCACGTTGTGGTCCAGCCAGCATGTCAAGTCTGTGTGTGGGGCGCCCTCTGCAGTTAAGCAGTGCACAACCCATGCAGCTGTACCTGGCAGCCCTGAGTGTGGACTGTGGGACCGTCTGCTAGGTAACCTCCCTGACGCCAGGCCCAGGCCCCGCCTCCCAGCCCCTCATGCCCTGCCTGCGGGAGCTACAAACCTGAGCTCACCACTCTACAGGCTCTTTTCCCTCTGGTGAGGCTGCTCCCTGGGTCTCTGGTCCTGGCATGCTCCTCCTGCAGATGCTGTGGGGACAGCAAGGTGTAGGGCGGTGTGACCTTGGCTCTGAGACTGGCTAGGCCCCTCCTCTGTTACCTGAGTCATGGAATTCTCCAGAAGTGGGCAGGGCTGAGCCCTGGAGCCAGGAGAGGTGAGGTCATGGGTTTTGTCTACCATGGGCCCTGCCATCAGGCAGGGAAGGGTGTGTCCCCTCCGTGGGGCGTGGCGGCTGAACCCAGGTTTCCCGGAGCTCCTGGCTTTGACCTAAGCCTGAGCGTCCCTCCCACAGGCCGGAGCTCTCTCGTTGGTGCTGCACCTCCATCCGGGGCTACATGTCCCCTCCACCTTTCTCACCCAACACTGGACGGCAGGGAAGCCCTGTGAGGGAAGAGGGGGTGAGTTAGGGCCCCTGGGGGCTGCGTGCTGCAGATGGAGGTGGGGGACCACACTAGCTGTGCGCTTTGCCTGGAGAGGTGGGGATGGGATGTCCTGGTGAAGGGCTAGAGGGGTAGCCAGGGCCCAGCTGTGGCAGTGGGGGCAGTGGCACTGGACTCCAGTGTGGTGACCATGCCGGCCCTGGAGGGGTCTGAGCCGGGGCATGGCTTGGCAAAGGTCATGGTGGAACTGGACAGCTGTGTGGGAGCGGAGGGGAGGCCAGGGTAGGCAGGGCCCTCACAGGCAATTGCAGCCAGGCCCTGACGACTGCAAGGGTTCCCATGCGGGATCCGGGACCCACACTGGACGAGCCCCCTGCCACTCTCCACACACTTCACCCAGTCTCAGTCACTCTCCCACCAGCTCCGAAACAGAGGGGAAACTGAGGCCTCAGGAGGTAGCTCTGGGCCCCAGCTCACACAGGGACTGCAGGGGCTTGGACCCAGCTTCCCCAGCTCCAGAGCCAGCGCCTCTTTCCCCTTGCCCGCCACGCGGCCGCCTCTGTCCGTGCTGGTGGGATTTGATTCCAGGTGATGGCCTCAGGCTGGGCGCCTGGGAGGATGTCAGTGGAGGGGGTGGTGCGTTTTGGGGCCGAGGGGAGGTGAGGAGGCTGTTTTCAGGCATGCCGAGTCTGTAGTGGGGATGACACATCCCTGTGGACATGCAGAAACCACCGGAGACATAGGTCTGGACTCGGGAGAGGCCATGACTGGGGCTTCCAATGTCAGCTCCCCAGAGGCAAGAAAGACAACTTCAGGCCACCTGAGCCTTCAGGGGATTCAGAGAGCAGAGGTGCCAGGATGGGGGAATGGGGGTAGGGTCTGGGTTGCCAGACTTCCACCCCAAACCACAGCAAGCCACCACCAGGGAGCCTGGTTTGGGGTCTGTGACGATCTATAGAAGGGGTGAGGGTGGAAGAGGCATGGGGCACAGGGTGAGGGGCAAAGGGCAGCCTCCCTGGGTGGAGAAGAAGGCCGGGGGTGGGGGAGTCTGCATATCCACCCAAGTCCCCTGTCCCTAGGGCTGGCCACGATTCCTCCTGCCCCAGAGCTGCTGGGGGATGCCGGGGCAGGAAGCTGGAGCGAGGGTTACAGCCAGGGCAGCCTGATGGCAAGAGAGACCATCCCCTCCTGCCTGACACCCCGCTCCTGTGTGGAGCACATTCATGGTTGTCACCCCGGTGCTGCCTGGGGACCAGCTCTTCACGCTCAGCAGTTACAGCAGGAGCCAGGCTGCTGGGAAACAGTGGATGTGTGGCCTGGGGGACCTTGGAGCACTTTTCCTCACTCAGTCCCAGACTCACAGGGATCCGCGCATGTACGTGCACACACACACATACACACACACCACACATCACACACACTCATTCACACACACACACTCATTCACACACACACATCACACACATTCATTCACATTCACACTCGTACACACCACACACACGCTCATTCACTCATACACACACACCACACATCACACACACACAGTACACACACACATTCACTCACATTCACACTTGTACACACCACACACATGCTCATTCACACACGCACGCCACATCACACACTCTCATTCACTCACACTCACATACCACACACACCACACACATCACACATGCTCGTTCACTCACACTCACCACATATCACACATGCTAATTCAGTCACATTCACTCACACTCACCACACACCAGACACATCACACATGCTCAGTCACATTCACTCTCATCACCACACATCACACACATTCACTCACATTCACACGCACACACTTGCTTACACACACTGACTCACTCACTCGTACTCACATGCTTGCACACACTTGCAGCCAAGATAGGGCTTATGTCATAGGACCAGGGGGACTCCAGGTGGGAGGGGGGTTCCCTGGCTGGGTGTCCTTGAGGGAAAGTTGCACTTCACAGCTGTGGCCTGCAGCCAGAGAGGACAAAGACTGTGGAAGGTCATTCAGCCTGTCGGGTGGGCCAGGGCTGGATGGCAGAGCTGTGCCCCCCATAACCCCGGGCTCCCAGCTCATTTACCCGCTGTTCTCCCGCCTCTGCTTCCCTTCAGGATGGCACCGCCAGGCCTGGGACACTGGTGCCCCAGAGCCCAGGCCTGGAGGGGCCCCTTGCAGGTGTGTGCCCAATGCCAAGGGCGCTCTGGGGCGGCCCCGCCTGAGGACCCTACCCTAGAGACTGGTTCCCCAACCTGCACCCAGAACTCCAGTCCCTTGGCGGGCAGGAGTCCCTCCCACCCCTGCCGTGGCCTGAGCGGTTCCCCAGCCATGTCCTGGGCGGTGAGGAGATGAACCAGACAGCCCTCTGCAGAAGGCCTGCCCCGAACGCCCCAGCTGGCGGCCCCCTGCTCACGCCTGGCTGCGGGGGTCTGAGGTGTCGGAGGAGCCGGCAGATCCTGGGGCACAGCAATCCCCGGGCTGAGGATCAGTTCCCGGGACACTTCAAGTCCCTGCTCTGTCCTTTCCCAGGACGAGGACACGCCCTCTCTAGACCTCACTCTGTTTCGGCGCGGTTTAATAGAATCCTCCTCAGGCTGCTGCTGTGGAGGTTAGATGTGAACATGCGTGGAGAGGACTTGGTGGCGCTCTCGGTAGTGGAGGCTTAGCAGATGACACCGTTAACCCCAGGCCCAGGGTACAGTGGCCTCTGTCCCTCAGCCATGCAGGCTGAGCTCAGGTCGGGGATGAGAATAAGCGAGGCCAGGGCACCCCCAGGCCAGGGATAGAGGCCTGGCCCAAGGCTTTGCCACCAGGGAACCCTGCTTATCCTTGTAGGGTGCGAGGGGCAGGGTCTGCCGGAGAAGGGGCCTGCTGACCACAGCTAGGGAGATGCAGAGGTTTCCTGGGGTTACCAGCCTCCAAGGGCAAAGCCACCCCAGAGCTGGGGACATGGCGGCCCTGGAAATGAAGATGGCGGCCTTGGAAATGAAGCGAGGCTGCCTGGGCCTCTCTTCCCTCACCCTGAGCAGGGCCATTGCTTCGTAAGGACTGGCAGAACTGCCTCAGGGCCTCTGGGCCAGCCAAGGCCTGCTGAAGGGGCCCTAGGAGTTCACGGTTGCACGAAGCCCAGCCCCTCCTGGAAAGGCGCAGACTCAGGCCCAGACCCAGGCCCCTTAGGCATCAGGAGCTCAGCTCGGCTGCTCCTGCAGGCCCGCCTGTCCCTTCCTTCTCCTGTGTCTTCCTGGGTTCATGCCACTCCTCAGACTCCCCAGAGTGGGGGCAAAGCCCCTGCCTTGGTTTCCCCAATAGTGCCTGGCCAGGTGGGGCAGGTCTGCAGCAGGGGAATCCCCTGGGAGGGCAGCATCGTGACCCCCATGAGTAGGAGTTGGGGTGGTGCAGGCGGGGACCATGGAGGCAGGGTGGACCCTGCACCCGGATCCACCTTAGAAAGGAGCCGGCCAGGCCAGGGGCGGTGGCTCACGCCTGTAATCCCAGGACTCTGGGAGACCGAGGCAGGCGGATCACGAGGTCAAGAGATCGAGACTATCCTGGCCAACGTGCTGAAACCCCGTCTCTACTAAAAATACAAAAATTGGCTGGGCGTGGTGGCACACACCTCTAGTCCCAGCTACTTGGGAGCCTGAGGCAGGAGAATCGCTTGAACCTGGGAGGCAGAGGTTGCAGTGAGTGAGATCATGCAACTGCACTCCAGCCTGGTGACAGAGCGAGACTCTGTCTCAAAAAAAAAAAAAAGAAAAGAAAAAGAAAGGAGCCGGCCTAACTGGGCCTTTTTGTGCTAACAGCCCTGATTTCCACAGGTTTGGTGGAGGGAGCAGGGGGCCTCCTGCTTCTTGAGATCCTCTGCCCACAGGGCGGCATCTGTGGGTGGACCCTCTCCCTCCTGGGCCTCAGTTTCCTCCTCCTGCGCCTCAGTTTCCTCCTCCTGCAAGTTTGACACCGACCTGGGACGCCTGGGGCCGTCCCCATGAGCACTGAGGTCATGGCTGGGAGGCCACGAGGCTCCCCCAGGAGGACGCGCCATAAATACCTCGTTGGCCTCATTACCTTCATTAGAGCCCGGGAGCCCAGGCGTGCAGAGCTGAGCAGGCAGGGTGCATGAGTCACCTTAAAAGAATGCCCCCCTCCACACACACACACCCTGGATGTGGGAGAATGGGCTTCCAGCGCTGGAGAGGGCTCCCCCGAGTCCCCCAGCCGTTGACCCTGAGGTCTCTCCTGCTCCACCAGCCCCTCTCGCTTATCTTTTATCCCTCTCCTCCCTGAACACACACACAGACACACACACACACACACACACACACACACCTCTCACCTCTGCCTGTAAACCCAGGGGAGGAGCATCCACTGTGTGCCACAGCCAGCTGTGACAATGCTGCCAAGAGTGCTGAGGGGCCAGGGGTGGCCTGGTGGGAGAGAGGGCTCTCCGGGTGCAGGTGCCTCCTGAGGAGGAACTAGGAGACAGGGAGAAGGAATGGGCAGAGGTAAGAAGGGGTGCTGTGCCTGGAAGGGGTGCCTAGAGGTGGGCAGGGTGAGAGAGCTGGCCGAAGTGCTGGGAGTGACAACAGCAGGGGGACAGTCCCTTCTCTGTTCCCCCACGGCTCCCTGTCTGGGCAGGCGTAGGCCCAGCCCATCAGCACGTTCTGAGCTGGTGACAGGAGACCCACAGCCACCCCAGCTTGGCCCTGCCAGCCCCTTTTCCCTCCTCAGACCCCGTGTATCTGAGGGCTATGAGCTGACAGCTTTCCCTCCCTCCATTGTTGACTCCCCTCTCAGCCCTCCTCAGTCTTCCCCCACCCTGCCCCCTTCCAGGCTGTGTCCACTCACAGGCCAGGGGACTGGGCCCTGACCCAGTCCCAACAGCCTCAGGGCTGTGATGGGTTTTTATTTTTATTTTTGGTGTGGGAGGGTATACATTCACGGAGACAAAGCTCTCCCCTTCTGAGACTTGAATGGGAATCGGAAGACAAGACAGGTCACCTCTGGGGAGGAGGCAAGGGGTGTGGGGGTAGCACTGAGTGCCTCGTGCAGGGATCAGACAAGCCTGAGCAGGGGAGGGGCCGTGTGCCCTCCTGCCATCTCTTAAATATTCTTATGAGATGATGATAGCTTAAAACCTTTTGTGATAAAACCACTCAAGAAACTATGAACAGACGGGAACTTCCTCAATCCCATAAAAGATTTCTATGAAAACACATCACTAACACGGTACTTAGTGGTGCAAGACTGGATGCTTCTCCCTTAAGAGCAGGAACAAGGCAGGGTGTCCCCATCACAACTTCTGCTCAGCGCGGTGCTGGAGGTTCCAGCCAGGGTGATCAGGCAAGAAAAGAAGTAAAAGGCCTCCAGATTAAAAAGGAATAAGTAAGTCTGGGCGCGGTGGCTCACGCCTGTAATCCCACCACTTTGGGAGGCCAAGGTGGGCAGATCACCTGAGGTTGGGAGTTCGAGACCAGCCTGACCAACATGGAGAAACCCCGTCTCTACTAAAACTACAAAAATTAGCCGGGCATGGTGGCTGGCGCCTATAGTCCCAGCTACTCAGGAGGCTGAGGCAGGAGAATTGCTTGAACCCAGGAGGCAGAGGTTGTGGTGAGCCGAGATTGTGCCATTGCACTCCAGCCTGGGCAACAAGAGCGAAACTCTGTCTCAAAAAATAAATAAATAAATAAATAAAATAAAAAGGAAGATGTAAAACGATCTCTGTTTGCAGATGACAAGATCTTAAGTATAGAAAATCCTGAAGAATCCATTAAGAGACAATTAGAACTAATAAGTTCAGCAAAATTTTCAGGATATAAAATCAATACACAGAAACTGACTTTATACACTAGAAATGAGGAACCTAAAATGAAATTTAAAGAACAATTCTATTCATAATAGCATAAAAAAGAATAAAATACTTAGGAATAACTTTAACAAAAGAAATGTAGCATTTGAGAGCGTGAGGCAGGCAGATCACCTGAGCCCAGGGGTTCAAGACCAGCCTGGGCAACGTGGCAAGACCCCATCTCTACAAAAAATAAAAAATAGCCAGGCTATGCTCTCAGCTACTTGGGAGGCTGAGGTGGGAGGATCACCTAAACCTGGGAGGTCAAGGCTGCTGGGAGCCATAATCTCACCACTGCACTCCAGGCTAGGTGATGGAAGTGAGACCCTCTCTCAAAAAAAAAAAAAAAAAAAGTAGATCTTTTTATACTCTAAAAACTATAAAACCTTGTTGAAGGAAATTTTTAAAAATTACAACAAATAGAAAGACATCCCATGTTCATGAATCCCATGTTCATGAATCCCATATTCACGAATTGGTCTTGTTAAGATGGCAATACTTCCCAAATCTATCTAGAGACTCAACACAATCCCCCTCTCTTAAGTCTCTGAAATGTCTATTTCTGTGAAGCAGAGATGGGGCCCTTATTTGGGAGAGTTGAGGGTCTCACCTTTATCATTCCCTCAGGACTGCCCGCAGCTAACACCAGAGGACTGTCCACCTTAGGGCAGTAAGTTTGTTGTGGAAGGAAAACCTGGATTCTGGGGCCAGACAGACCTGGTATGAATTCCAAAACTATGTGACCTTGAGTGTATTGCTTAATCTCTCTGAGCTTCTTTTTCACAAGTATAAGATGGGAATTGACGTCACCTATCTCACAGGGTAGTGAAAAATACAGAATATTTGTGAAGCACCTCTCATGTGGTCCAGCATACTCAGGGCACCCAACTAAGGTCAGCTCCTGCATGTGCCTTCTCTCACCTCCAGCACCCCCAGTGCTCCCGGGTCAGATGGATGCACCCACTTCGGGACAGGCCCAGGCCTAGGGAAGGGTTGGGACCCAGGGTGATGTGCACTCATGGACGTTGCCCGGTGGCCCAACCTCCTGCCACAGAGCTGGGACCCACTGGAGGCTCCCAGAGCCCTCGGGATCCTTCATCATCAGTGTAAGGGCAAGGTTCCCCCAACCCCCAGCTTCAAGGCTCCACAAAGAGATGGTTTGTGGGTGAGTGGGAGACACACAGCGTGGCTTCTGGGAGGCTTGTGGAGGGGCCTCAACCATGTGGCTAGACCTGAGGCTGAGGCTGGAGTTTCCCCGCACGAAAGCTGAGCCTCTGGGAGCCCCGAGTGAGGAATGTGCGTAACAAGTAACATCTGTGGAGCATAGCAGGCACAGGAATGAGCGTGTATAAACTCATTTAATGCTGATAACAACGCGATGGGGGAAGCGGTCTCTTCGCCAGCAGGTTTGCAGAGGCGGTAAGTGCTATCTTTCATCCCACGTTTACAGAGGAGGAAGCTGAAGGTAGCGGGCAGAAAGTGGTTGTGCTGGGGCTGAGGCCTGGGCTCTCTGGCTCTGGTGCTCTTTGCCACTTCTGTGTAGTTCCTCGGTCAGAAGCGTGAGGCAGCTGCCTTGGAAATGGCCACAGCCACTGTGAACTGGGTGAAGAAAGGTGTCACATGGGCTAACATGGCCCCAACTGGAGAGACAGAGTTGGATTCCCAGTTTTGTCCTTCACCAACTCTGTGACCTTGGGCAAAATCACTTACCCTCTGCAAGCCTCAATTTGCTCATCTATAAAACAGAGCTATAATCCACTTCTAGTTGATGGTGGATAATACTTCGAAAGAGCCTGCAGGCCCAATGAATAGCAGAGGCTTTTGTTAGCCTTTTAGAATGTAGGGATGCAGCATGAGAAATAAATCTGGAAGAGTAAGTCATCGGGCAGAGGGTCATAAATGCATTTGGATTGGGCTGTGATGGAGAAATCCAAGAATCTGTGCAAAGGGAAGGAAAAAGCATGCCAGGTGCCAGGAATAGAAATAGCCAAGCAGGGAGGTGGGAAGGTTCGAGAAGGAAAGTCAGACCCTCTCCAAGCATTACAACATTCAGCCTTCCCGAGAGCTCACTTCATAGAGGAGACACTGGAGCCTAAAGCACTGAATAACCTTCCCCGAGGCTGTGCAGCAGCGAGGGGTGGAGAAGGAATTCCCCTCTGTGAACGGCCAGCCTGCGGCCTCCCCAGCCTGACTCTCTATAGGGTGAAGTGTGGGCTGTGGGCTGTGGGCTGGGCGCCTGGGAGGAGGAGTGGGGCACAGAGGGAACGGGTGGCCTGGATCACGCACCCAATAGTCCAGCCTTGAAAACTCCAGGAAATTGACCCAGGGTGAAAAATAGAGAGACACACCGGCAAAGTCAAACCATAGTGGAAAAACATGTGAAGTCCAGCAAGAAGTGATTGTCATCAAATCAGAACGGTGGCTACTTATTAGGGGGAAGGAGGAGGAGAAGCTTGGGACTACTAGGAGGGGGCCCCCCAGGACGAGGATGGCTTCTGGGATGCTGGAAATATTCCCATGATCTGCGTGGCTGCAGGCATTTCCTTTTAAATCATTTATTCCACTGCACATTTGTCTTGAATGCACTTTAGTTGATGCCTATTTCATGATAAGAAAAGTTTTCGAGGCCAGGCATGGCGGCTCAGGCCTGTAATCCCAACATTTTGGGAGGGTGAGGCGGGCAGATCACGAGGTCAGGAGTTTGAGACCAGTCTGGCCAACATGGTGAAACCCCGTCTCTACTAAAAATACAAAAAAAATTAGCCAGGCATGGTGGCATGCGCCTGTAATCCCAGCTACTCGGGAGGCTGAGGCAGGGGAATTGCTTGAACCAGGGAGGTGGAGGTTGCAGTGAGCCAAGATTGTACCACTTCACTCCAGCCTGGGCAACAGAGTGAGACTCCATCACAAAAAAAAAAAAAAAGAAAAAGAAAAGTTTTTGAGAAGAAAAAACAAAAACCCCACAATAATAGGGCCAAGAAAGGGAGCACAGTCACAGGTAAGAGTGAGACTTTTACATCTCTAGGAAGTATTGTATACAGGCCAGGCCGGTGGTTCACACCTGTAATCCCAGCACTTTGGGAGGCTGAGGTGGGTGGACCACCTGAGGTCAGGAGTTTGAGACCAGCCTAGCCAACATCGTGAAACCCCATCTCTACGAAAAATACAAAATTAACTGGGCGTGGTAGTGCGCCTGTAATCCCAGCTACTCAGGAGGCTGAGGGAGAAGAATCGTGCAAATCCGGGAGGCAGAGGTTGCAGTGAGTCGAGATCACACCACTGCACTCCAGCCTGGGCGACAGGGCAAGACTCTGTTTCAAAAAAAAAAAGTAAAGTATTGCTGCGCCTTGAAAGTCGGGATGATATGGATGCATTTTTGGGAACGCGGGAGAAAATGAGAAGTGGTAGAAGGGGTCTGATTGGCTGGGCGCGGTGGCTCACGCCTGCAATCCCAGCACTTTGGGAGGCCTAGGCGAGCGGATCACCAGGTCAGGAGGTGGACACCATCCTGGCTAACACAGTGAAACCCGTCTCTACTAAAAATACAAAAAAAAAATTAGCTGGGCGTGGTGGCGGGCGCCTGTAGTCCCAGCTACTCGGGAGGCTGAGGCAGGAGAATGGCGTGAACGCGGGAGGCGGAGCTTGCAGTGAGCCAAGATCGCGCCACTGCACTCCAGCCTGGGCCACAAAGCAAGACTCTGTCTCAAAAAAAAAAAAAAAAAAAAGAAGGGGTCTGATCAGCTCCAGTACAGACCCCAGGTCTGGAACAGGGTCCAGGCAGCCCGCACACATAGGGCTTGCTTCTGCGATGGCTGCAGTTTTTGTATGTAGCATATAATGCTCTTACAATAGAGAACAACCCACATGCTTAACAAAGGGCAGCTATGCTCATGGCTGCTGAGCAGGGCTGGTCGGGCGGTGGTGAGGCTGTGCTCCAGAGGCCGCCCCTCCACTGGCGCATTTTCCAGAGGCGTCCTCCAGAGGCCTGAGTGATAAGGCTGGCGTCTCCCCTGGACTTGTAATGCAGTCAGTCAGGCAGTCTCCCCACTGGAGCCAGAGACCCCTTCTTCAGGAAAAGTCTATCAGCATATCTCCCCTATCTGGGTGCCTTGGAGGCGGTGCTGCAGAGAAGGCCCTGCTGGCTGGGTCTGCCCTCACCTCTCCCCTGGAGGCCAGCAGGATAGCATCTGGTAGGAGCAAATCACCCGCAGCTCCCGCTCACCTCCTTTCCTGGGGAAGTTTGGGGCCTGGATCAAACTAGTGGGCCAGGGAATGTGGCTGCAGCCCTGGGGGAGGCTAAGAGGCTGGGGTCCACCTGGCCCGGGGTCCCTGCCTGACATAATGCCCCTCCTGGTTAAGCCCCTCCAAGCTTGGCTCTTATACCAACAAGGTCTGAGGGTCTGAGTCTCCATCATGTTTACCCTGGGATTCAGGGAGGTGAGGAACAGCCAGAAAACAAAAGGAAATCCTTTGGCTACTTGGAAAAGGAAAGGGGTGAATAGGCATCATTTACAAAGTTCAAAGCTGACACACCATGAGAAAATAAATAATTTGCAATATATGTAAAATATAAAGTGTTAGTATCCTGAATCGCACATAAGAAAAAGGTAACACAATAGAAAAATAAGCAAAAGATGGGGAGAAGAAATTCCCAGAAGAAAATAAAATGGTTCATAAACTTATAAAAAGAGGCTTATTTGCTTCAGTGCAAATAGACAATAATGAGATTTTTTTTCTCTACCAGACTGGAAAAAAATAAAATATTGATAATATGCAGTGCTGGGAAGGATGTGGCTGAATAGCTCATTTACTGTCGGTTTGAATGAAAATGGATGCAGCCTTTTTGGGGTTAATTCAGCAACAGCTGTTCAACATATAAGTACATATTGCTTTCAACCCAGCAATTCTATGTCTAAGAAAACATTGCATAAAAGCACTTTCTTTTTTATTTTTGAGACAAAGTCTCGCTCTGTCGCCCAGGCTGGAGTGCAGTGGCGCAATCTTGGCTCACTGCAACCTCCGCCTCCGGGGTTCAAGCAATTCTCCTGCCTCAGCCTCCCGAGTAGCTGGGACCACAGGCGCCCACCACCACGCCCGGCTAATTTTTGTATTTTTAGTAGAGATGGGGTTTCACCATGTTGGCCAGGCCGGTCTTGATCTTCTGACCTCGTGACCCGCCTGCCTCGGCCTCTCAAAGTGCTGGGATTACAGGCGTGAGCTACTGCGCCCAGCCTCATAAAAGCCCCTGCACAGGCTCATGAAAATAGTTTGGACAGATGTCCATGCACCTTTGTCTGAATTAGCAAAATATTAGAGGCAGCTGAATGCCCACCAGGAACCATGAATTAGCAAAATATTAGAGGCAGCTGAATGCCCACCAAGAACAATGAATTAGCAAAATATTAGAGGCAGCTGAATGCCCACCAAGAACAATGAATTAGCAAAATATTAGAGGCAGCTGAATGCCCACCAAGAACAATGAATTAGCAAAATATTAGAGGCAGCTGAATGCCCACCAGGAACCATGAATTAGCAAAATATTAGAGGCAGCTGAATGCCCACCAAGAACAATGAATTAGCAAAATATTAGAGGCAGCTGAATGCCCACCAAGAACAGGTTGCTCCAATAAATTCTGGCGCCTCTACTATGAATCCCAGGCATGGCATGACTTAGAAATAACTTTTATGATAGTGTATCTTTAAGAGAAGAAGCAAGTCATGGAGGAACATGTAGAAGATGACCTCAAGTTTGCGGAAACAAAACAAATCAATGTTGATAATAAGAGAGAATAAACACACACAGAGAGAGGGAGAGACTGTCAAATGCAGAGAGTGGAACTAGAAGGAGGTGGCTAGGGATGGGGTAGACATTCATTTATTTTTCTTTCAAGTATTCTGTGAATATTTATTGAGAAACTAGTATGAACAAATGCTATTCTAAGTGCTGGAAATGCAGCACCTCCCCCCCTTTTTTTTTTTTTTTTGAGAAAGGGTCTTGTTCCATCACCCAGGCTGGAATGCAGTGGCTAGATCACAGTTCACTGTAGCCTCAGTCTCCCTGGCTCAAGCCATCCCCCCACCTCAGCCTCCTGAGTAGCTGGAATCAAAGCCTGGCTAATTTTTTAAATCTTTTATAGAGACGAGGTATTGCCATGTTGCCAGCCTGGTCTCAAAGTCTGGGGCTCAAGGAATCCTCCTGCCTTGGCCTCCCAAAGTGCTGGGATTACAGACGCGAGCCATTGCGCCCGGCCAACATTCACTTCTCCTTTAGATCTTTTGTGTTGTTTTAATATTTTTTCAGCAAACATATAAAGAAAAGTTAGAAAATAAAAGGGATGATCTTGAGAGATCCAGCAAAAGCTCTCAACTGAAGGTGACTGTTGGCGTCTGGGGGTGAGGGTGGGGACCGGAGTGTGCTCTGGGTTATGCATAGATTGGCTCATCCTTGAGCCCTTCATCTTTTTCAGCTGCCTCTGGCCTCTTTGACAGGACAGCTTCCCTCAGAACCACCCCACCCGCCCAGTGCTCAGTGGGAACCACTGCCTGTCTCCCTCTGTGGCCCTTCTAGGTTGGTCTTTCTGAAGTGCAGAGACCACCGGCGCCCCTGTTTCCACCCCAGGGCCCTAAGGCTGAAGCCTCTGAGATGGCTCCCTCCAGCCCTCCTTCCCCACGAGGCCTGAGCCTCCTGCTGAAACCCACCACTGTGCCAGGCCTAGGCCTCGGCTCTGCCCCCTTCCCTCTCTGCCAGGCAAAGCCCACTCACCCTGAAACTGCCCCGCTGCCTTCTGGCCTTGGCCCTGCTTCTGACAATGCCCTTGGCCCACCATTTTGTCATGGTCTCAGAAGGCTGGAAACCAGCCTCACTTAAAAGGAAAGGGATGTATCTGTGTGTGTGTGTCTGTGTGTGTGTGTGTGTGTGTGTGTATGTGTGTGTGTGTCTGTGTAGCCTTGAGGGGTGGTAATCTCAGAGGCTCCTGGGTCCTCTGCAGTCTCAACCAGGGTCCCAAACCAGTTGATGGATGGGTGGTTCTCCCTCAATGGGCAGAGAGTCCTGCTGCAGGGGACCCAGGTGGGGCAGGGAGAGGGACAGCAGCCATTCTCTCCCCTCAGGGCCACCAGCCATTTTTGGGAGCCACACGAGTCCTCCTGGACCTGGACTGTTCAATTGGCAGTGGTAGTTGGGAGGAGAGACACCAGCAACCCCTCACTCAGATCGTGATGTCCCCCAGCGCCCCCCAGGTCTCCCCATTACTGCGGAAGTGGGAGGAGCAATGCAAGACCGTCAAGCAGCCACGGGCTGACACTCCTCACAGACCAATTCACCCCCCTCCCCTGCTCCTGCGCTTCCCAATTTTCTTAAAATTAAACTTAAAAAAAAGTTACAAAACACACTTGTTATTTTAAAAATCCGAACAGTAGGGACGTATATACAGTAAATGTTGAAAAACCTCCACTCCCCTCCCACTCTCCAGAGCTTACTCCTCTTAATAGTTGAGAGTGAATCCTTCCAGACCTCCCGCAGTATAGAGAAGCGTTTCTTGTACACATGCACATTGTAACCAAAATGCTTCCCATTCTCCTACTGCCTCCAAAGTCAGCTCCCCAGCTTGGGGCCTGGGATCCTGCATCACCCGTCCTCCCTGGCACATCTCATTTTATTCCTGTATCCATTCAACAATTATCTAAGCATCTGCTATAGAGAACCAGACAGACAGACTCAGTCCGCGTGGAGCCTGCGCTCTGGTGAAGGAGACAGCAAGTAAACCAAGGAGATACTCTTAGATGTCGCTAAGTGTTTGTCGCTCCAGACCCCTCGTCACTGTCTCCTCGCCTGGAAGACCTTCACTGTCCCACTGACGTTGCAATTCCTCCCCATTCTCTAAAACGCATCTCTTCCTAATTACCCAGCCTGCTGGGATCTCTCTCCTCCTCCAAACTTCGTCACTACTTAGTAAGTGGTGCTATGTATTTCAGTTTTCACTATGAAGTGACATTTGTCCTGTGAGAGTGTTAGGCACCTATGTTAATCACCTAGGATGTGCCAGGTTCCGTGCTACAGAGTGAGGCCCGTTGATTAAAGGTCACAACCCTACAAATTTGTTATGGCCGTTTTACATATGAGGAAACTGAGGCACAGAGAAACAAAAAGACTGACTCAAGGTCACATAGGGTTGAAGCCCGGGTCAGCCTGAGCCCCAAGCCCAGGAAGGTTCTGCAAACTCCACTGCAGGAATCATGTCTCGGTCCTGTAGCCCCCATGACAGCCATCCCTGATTGCCTAGGGCAGCCCTGGCTTCAGTCCTTCTCCCCAGCGCATATAGAGTTTTGTTCTGAAAACGTGTTGTTCATCCCCTGAGCCTTGTGCTAGCTGAGTAGTGTGGTTTAGAAAAAAACATGGAGTGTGGATTTTGTGGGTGCCCCCCACTTTTCCCACCTCATGAAGGGGAGAGAAAAGGTCTGTGCATGGAAGAAATGCCAGGCTGAGAGAGGAGTGGGTGGAAGGAGGGGGCGGCCCCTGGGCTCTGCCTGCGCTGACGAATCCTCCCAGCGTGTTTTGACACGTCTCGCTCCGAGGAGGGTGTAATTATTTTCAGTAAGGGTTTCCTAACGTATCATTAATGGATCGTTTCCCGCCTGCTGCAGAAGGCGGTTGCTGAGAGACTGGGTGAAGGGGCACATTCTCTAAATGTGCATGAGAATCTAGAGGAAGCTGGATGGTGGCCCAGCCGCCACATCAGCCCACCCTGCTCCCCAGCCCCCTCCTCACCACAGCAGACTCCCAGGAGCCAAGCATTCCCTGCCCAGCACTGGGGGAATGAGAAATTCTGGAGCTTTCTTTGTGCCTTTTTCCAGGATGGATTGGTCCCAGGCCACTAGGCCCCGGGTTACCTTGTACTGCATGTTTCTCCAACGGTGGCTGTGTCCACACTGCAGTAGCGTGAGGCTGTGTGTCACCTCCTGCTAGTGGGATTCAGTGACCTTTTGAGAGGACTGGTAGAAACACCAAACACCAGCTCCTTTATCTGGGCAAACTCTTTTTGCCCAGTTTTGACAAACTGCTTATCCTCTCTGAATTCAGTTCTCTGTCCATAAAATGGAGATGGTAAGGGTGGAGGGGTGGGTGTGGAAAGGTTAATGGGCCGGGCGCGGTGGCTCACGCCTGTAATCCCAGCACTTTGGGAGGCTGAGGGAAGCAGATCACGAGGTCAGGAGCTTGAGACCAGCCTGGCCAACATGATGAAACCCTATCTCTATAAAAATGCAAAAATTAGCCTGGCATGGTGGCAGGCACCTGTAATCCCAGCTATTCAGGAGGCTGAGGCAGGAGAATTCCTTGAACCTGGGAGGCGGAGGTTGCAGTGAGCTGAGATCATGCCACTGCACTCCAGCCTGGGCAACAGAGCAAGACTCTGTCTCAAAACAAACAACAGACAAACAACAGCCGGGCACGGTGGCTCACGCCTGTAATCCCAGCAGTTTGGGAGGCCGAGGCGGGCAGATCACTTGAGGCCAGGAATTCAAAACCAGCCTGGCCAACATGGTGAAACCTTGTATCTACTAAAAATACAAAAAATTAGCCAGACGTGGTGGTGGACACCTGTAATCCCAGCTACTTCGGAGGCTGAGACAGGAGAATCGCTTGAACCCAGGAGGCAGAGGTTGCAGTGAGCCAAGATCACACCACTGCACTCCAGCCTGGACAACAGAGCGAGACTCCGTCTCAAAAGAAAACAAAAAACAAACAAACAAAAAAAAAACAGAAAGAAAGGTTGGTTCATGGGTACAAACATGTAGTTAGATAGAAGGAATAAGCTCTAGTGTTTGATAGCAGAGTATGGTGACTTTGGTTAACAATAATTTATTGTATATTTTAAAATAGCTAAAAGAGAAGATTTGAAACGTTCCCAACACAAAGAAATGACAAATGTTCAAGGCACTAGATATGCTCATTGCCCTGATTTGATCATTACACATTGTATGCATATATCAAAAGATATCACATGCAGCCCCAAATAACGTACAATTATCATGTATCAAAAAAAGTCAAATAACCAAACTTACACCAAATAAAATCAAGTACTCTAACAGTAAAAAATACATTAATTAAAAAGATAAAAAGCAAAAGCAATTATTTTTAAGAGAAAAAATGGAGATGGTGCCTTGAGTTTGTAGAAATTCTGAGAGAATTAGAGCTAATGTTTGAAAAGAAGTCAGAATAAAACATGCTCAAGAACTAGTGGTTGGTGGGAATTGAACAATGAAAACACTTGGACACGGGAAGGGGAACATCACACACCGGGGACTGTTGTGGGGTGGGGGGAGGGGGAGGGACAGCATTAGGAGATATACCTAATGTTAAATGACGAGTTAATGGGTGCAGCACACAAACATGGCACATGTATACATATGTAACTAACCTGCACGTTGTGCACATGTACCCTAAAACTTAAAGTATAATTAAAAAAAAAAGAAATAGTAGTTATTGCTGTTTGGGGTTATGTGGATTTTTCATTCATTCATTCAACAAAGACTTATTCTGTGCTTCCCCAGCCAGAGTCAGGCAGATTTATCGGCACTCAGGATGCCTCAGTGAACAAAAGGGGCAAAGATTCCTGTCCAAATGGAGTTGACATTCTAGTGGGAGAAGTTAGCCTCTAAGCAATAACATCATAAGAAAATTACATGAAATAGAAGAAGATAATAAATAGTGACAAAGGGAGTTGAAATTTTATTTTATTTTTTTTTGACACAGAGTCTCACTCTGTCACCCAGGCTGGAATGCAGTGGCGCTATCTTGGCTCACTGCAACCTCCCAGGTTCAAGTGATTCTCCTGCCTCAGCCTCCTGAGTAGCTGGGACTACAGGCACCTGCCACCATGCCCAGCTACACTATTGTATTTTTAGTAGAGACAGGGTTTCATCATGTTTGCCAGGCTGGTCTCAAACTCCTGGCCTCAAGTGATCCAACTGCCTCAGCCTCCCAAAGTGCTGGGATTACAAGCGTGAGCCACCGCACCTGGCTAATATTTTTGTATTTTTAGTACAGATGGAATTTGGTCACGTTGGCCAGGCTGGTCTCAAACTCCTGACCTCAGGTGATCCGCCCACCTCAACCTCCCGAAGTGCTGAGATTACAGGCGTGAGCCACCGCACCTAGGCCAAGAGTTGAAATTTTAAATAGAGAAGGGGACACTGAGCTGAGACTTGAAGGAGGTGAGAGAGTGGGTGATACAGGTACAGAGAGCACAGCCAGGACACAGGCTGAGGGCAGGGCGTGTTTTGGTGTCCGCTGGTCGGCAAGGAGGGCTCTGTGGCTGGAATGAAGTGATTGATTGGGGTGTAGGGGCGCGGGGCCCATCAGGTAGGTCCTTACAGACCAGTAGTCCTCAAACTTGAGCCAGGACTGTCAGGACCACCTGGAGGATTTGGGAATCCCAGCTTGCTACTCCCCCAGCCCCACCCAGAGTCTCTGGTTCAGTAGGTCCAGGCCAGGGCCTGAGAGACTGCATTTCTAACAAGCTCCCAGGTGCAGGTATGGGTGGTCTGGGGGCCCTACTTTGAGAACCGCTGTAAAGATCACTGCCAGGTCTTTGGTTTTACCCTGGGTGAATGGCAGCCCTTGAAGGGGTCAGCATTTTGAGCAGAGACTCAGTGATATGGCCTGCATTTTGAAAGGATTCTCTGGTTGCCATGTTGATGTGAGGCTGCAGGGGAACGAGGGTGGACACAGGAAGGAGAGTGAGGAATTGAAATTTCCAGATGAGATTGCCGTGGTAACGCCGGTGGGGAGAGGTGGTGGATTCTGGCCATATTTTGAAGGCAGAGCCAATAGTATTTCCTGATGGATTGGACACTCGGTAGGAGAAAGAGAGAGGCCAAGGGTGACTGCAAAGTTTTTGGCCTGAGTAATACGAAGCTGCCATGAGCCCAACTGGGGAATCCTTCAGGAAGAACAGTTTGGGGAGGAGAAGCTCAGGAGGTCGGCTTTGTTGAGTTCAGGAGAGAGGTCTGGGCGGGAGAGTGAATGTGGATGTTGTCAGCCAACAGGTAAGATTGGATGAGACCATCAAGGAGACAGGGAGCCAAAGGGGCAGGGTGGAGTTCAAGGACCAAGTTCCGGGCATCTAACCCAAGAGGGCAGGGAGGAGAGGAAGGAGTCTAGGAGGAGGCAGGGGAGGAGGGAGAGGAGGTGGGGGAGGAGGGGGGAGGAAGGGGGAGGGGAAAAGGGAGGAGGATGGAGAGAAGGGAAGGAGGAGGACGAGGAAGAAGGGAGGAGGTGGAAGGGAAAATGGAGGAGGGGGAAGGGAAAAAGGAAGGGGACAGGTAGAAGGGGAGGAAGAGGGGGAGGAGGGGAAGGAGCCTGTGTGAGGAGGGAAAGGCAGGAGGGTTATGCCTGGAAATGAAGAAAGTGAGTCAAGGGGGAGGACATCCCTGCGAATGCTGCTGATAGATCAGACACATCAGGCCAGGTGACGACTCAGACGCCACCGCTGGGCTCGATATCATGGGTTATTTGGGTTCCTGTCATTCCTTCAGGTTCGTGACTGACTCAGTCGTGCATTCATTCGGGCATCTGCTGAGCACCAGCTCCGGGCCAGGCTATGTTCCAGGCAGTGTCAGGGCCATGGAGAAATGGCAGCCCCTTCCTACCCTTGAGGCAGGTTCAGGGGCACCCTGGTGTGTACAAAGCACTTTAGCCATTGCAAGGGGTTTCTGCAGAAATTCTTTATTCTCATTCTTCACAAAGGCATGTGGGAAGAAGGGGAAATATTGTTATCTGAGGGCCCTGTAGCCCAATGTGGCTCCGAAGGGGTTAGGTGCTGAAGTTTTGATGAGAATCTAAGTTTTCAGGCCTTTCCATGTGTCAAGGCTGCCTGGCAGAAAGCCTCTGGGTAGTTGGAGGACACTTGAGCAGTCTGTTCCTGTGTTTTTCTTGGGTTTTCTACTTTTTAATTAAATAAGTAATCATGAATTTGTGTCAACTGCGCATGATTTAGATGATACCAAAACATACAGCGTGGAGTGGGCGTCTTTCTCCCTCCTGACCTTCCGGAGTCACAGCCGTCCCAGGCTTGCTGTGTGCCCTCCAGGGTCCATGCTGACAGCAGAAACAGAGGCAGCAGGGAGGCTTCTCCCATTATATACGCGGGTCTCATGGTGCGTGTGCTCCTGCAATTTGCTTCTTGTTCTCACTGTGTCTTGAAGACCCTTTCTTGTCAGAACCAAAAATCCATTTTCATAGACTCTGGTGGCCTGAATGCTGCCCGGCCCCCAGCCCCTTGGGACTCCCCACCTCCCTGCTCAGCTGGGCCAGGGAGGCTCCCAGCCAGGAGGTCAGAGGCAAAATGAGGCGGTGAGAAACTCCTGCCCGCTCCCCTCCGAGGCTGAGGCTTGGTCAAGGCTGTGTTCTTCCCCCACCGAGTCCCGCAGGTCAGTCCTCAAAAAGCAGCTCTCTCCCTGCTCTGTCACCCACCCTGCAACGGGAACTGTCTTCCTCCTAAGCCTTCAAGCTGGGCAGGTGGTGCCTTGTCTCTCCTAACCTGCCCCGCACCTTTGTAAGTTGTCCCTCCACCCCCTTGTCTGTCACCCCTTCGAGGCCCCTCTAGGACTCCCTGTGGGGACCATGCCCCAGGCAAGCACTTTCTAGGTCCAGGCACAGCTCGGGGTCCTTTTCAAGCATTAACTCATGCAGTCCTCACACCAGCCCTCAAGATAGGAATTGTCAGCCCCATTTTGCAGGTGAAACACCAAGGTCCAGTGAGGTGAAGCACCTTGATCTCACTCACCCTGCAGGTGTATTAGCTGGGCCCCTAGGATGGAATGGTGTCTCATGCTTTCTACATGTGACCTTTGGGGCATTTGAAGCCGGGAGTGTGCTGGGTGTGGACACGGGATAGCTTCCCCTAATTGCCCACCTTCCTTCTCTTCCTTCCTTTCCTGCCTCCCTCTCAAGCCATCCAGCCCTCAAGAGTAGCTGCTCTGGAGGCCAGTGTAGTGGCGCAGGCCTGAGGCCTCAGTGGAGGAAGGCTCAGATTCAAGGAAGACACACACGTGGCAGGCCCTGGAGGAGAGGCAGCCCAGAGCCTGTCTCCTCCTGGGGCCTCGGCCCTGAGCAAGCTCGGCCCTGAGCACATTCCCTCCTTCTACTCCCCACTCCCCTGAAGGTCCTGTGCTCTGCCCAGGAAGGGCATGGAGTCCAGGTCTGCCTAGAGCCTCGGGTTGAGGCAAAGGGCACGATGCCAGCTGGCCTCATCAGAGGGGTTGAGCCTGCGGGTATGAGGGCGAAAACTCCAGGCTGGGTCCTGGATCTGGGGGCTCCGAAGGCTGTGGAGGGAGCCACAAGGCACCCCTTGCTCCACCAGACCCCAGCTGCCTCCGCCCCACCCCACAGCCCAATTCACCCAGCAGATTCAGGAGAACAGAGACCTAATTATTTCTACCAACGGCCTTAACGAGATTTCACAGAAAGGCTCAAACTGCTCCCCCATCTCCTCCCTGCCACCTCCACCTTCCCTGCTCTCCCATCCCAGGGCCTCTTGTGCTTCTTGAGAACCTCATTTTTCCAGGATACTTTTCCATCAAAAAGAGACTAATGAGCCTGGCACGGTGGCTCAGACCTATAGTCTCAGCTACTTGGGAGGCTGAAGCAGGAGTATCAGTTGAGTCCAGGAGTTCGAGTCTAGCCTGTGCAACATAGTGAGACCTCATCTCTAAAAACTAAAAAGTAAATTTAAGGCTAGGCACTGTGGCTCACGCCTATAATCCCAGCACCTTGGGAGGCTGAGAATGGCAGATTGCTTGAGCCCAGGAGCTCAAGACCAGCCTGGGCAACATGGCAAAACGCTGTCTCTATTAAAAATACAAAAATTAGCCGGGCATGGTGGTATGTGCTTGTAGTCCCAGCTAGTTGGGAGGCTGGGGTGGGAGGTTCGCTTGAACCCAAGAGGTCAAGGCTGCAGTGAGCCATCATCACACCACTGTACTCCAGCCTGGGTGACAGAGCAAGACCTTGTCTTAAAAAAAAAAAAAGAAAGAAAGAAAGAAAAGAAAAGAAAAAAGGCAGGATGTGGTGGCTCACTCCTATAATCCCAGCACTGTGGGAGGCTGAGCCAGGCAGGTCGCTTGAGGACAGGAGTTTGAGACCAGCCTGGCCAACGTGGCAAAACCCCGTCTTTATTAAAAATACAATTAGCTGGGTGTGGTGGCGGGCGCCTGTAGTCTCAGCTACTCAGGAGGCTGAGGCGGTAGAATTGCTTGAACCCAGGAGGCGGAGGCTGCAGTGAGCTGAAATCGAGCCACTGCACTCCAGCTTGGGCAACAGAGTAATACCCTGTCTCAGAAAAAAAGAACAGAGATGCTTGATGTCACTAATCATTAAGGAATGCAAATCAAAATGACAATGAGCTAGCACCTCACACCTATTAGGCTGGCTACTATTTTTTTAAAATAGAGAAAATAAAAAATGTTGATGAGGACGGAGAAATTGGAACCCCTGTGCACTGCTGGGGGTAGGTAAAATGGTGCAGCCGCTGTGGAACATAGTACGGTGGTGCCTCAAAAACCTCCACATAGAATTACCATATGATCCAGCAATCCCATTTGTGGGTATGTGCTCAAAAGAACTGAAAGCAGGGTCTTGACGACATTTCTGCACACCAGTGTTGACAGCTGCACTGTCCACCACAGCCAAGGGGTGGAAGCAACCAAATGACCCTCCGCAAATGAACGGGTAAAAAAAATGCGGCCTATCTACACGATGGAATACTATTCAGCCTTAAAAAAGAGAAGGAAATCCTTTCATGAGCTACAACATGGATGAACCTTGAGGACATTATGCTGAGTAAAATAAGTCAGTCACAAAAGGATAAATACTGTATGATCCCACTTTTACGATGTATCTAGAGAAGTCGAAATCATGGAAACAGGCTGGGCGCAGTGGCTCACGCCCGTAATTCCAACACTTTGGGAGGCCCAGACGGGTGGATCACTTGAGGTCAGGAGTTCGAGACCAGCTTGGCCAACATGGTAAAACCCTGTCTCTACGAAAAATACAAAAATTAGCTGGGTGGGCTGGCACATACTTGTAGTCCCAACTACTCGGGAGGCTGAGGCACAAGAATCGCTTGAACCTGGTAGGTGGAGGTTGCAGTGAGCGGAGATCGAGCCACTGCACTCCAGCCAGGGCGACAGAGCAAGACTCTGTCTCAAAAAAAAAAAGTCATGAAACCAGAAAGTCAAATGGTGGTTGCCAGGGACCGGGGGGTAGGGAAGAGGAGTTGTTTAATGGGAACAGAGTTTCAGTTTGGTGAGATGAGAAAGTTCTGGTGAGATGAGAAAGTTCTGGAGATTTGTCACATGGCAAGGTGAACAAAGTTAACACCACTGAACTGAACACTTAAAAATGGTTATGAAGGTAAATTTTATATTATGTGCTTTTTACCGCAATTAAAAACAAAAATAAATATAAACTGACCAATGAACAAATTATAAAATCTTATTTTAGTGGATAGCCTGTGTTTGCTTGTTTAGGGGCTTAGAGCTCTATTTTTACTGATACACACACTGACTTCATTATATTTTCAAAACCCAACAAGCAGGTCACCTCCATTCTCATCGGCCAGCACCTTCTCCCACCGCAGCCCTGTTCTAGCATCCCACGGCCTCTCGAGATCTTACGTCTTCCCCAGCACCCTGGAAGGGCCCTGGGCAGAGCACAGGGCTAAGACCTGATGCCTGGCCGAGGGTCTTGGAGCCTGAGGACTGTTGGCTCCTGCAGGACAGGCAGCTCTGCTCAAGCCAGGAGAGGAATGTCAGAGCCCAGAGGGTGCCCAGGGCCCCTGAGACGCTTGCCAAAAGGGAAAAGCTCAGCAGCTGGTCAGGGAGGGGACGCTGGGCAGGAGTCCCTTGGCTCTCAACCTTGGCTGCACACTAGAATCTCACGGTTACATCAGAATCAGGATATTTTAAAGCACCCTAGGTGGTTCCAGCATGGAGCCGAGGCTGAGAACCACTGCTCTAGAGAATGGGATGGAAGGGTGTCCCCACGGGGCTCAGGACTGGGCCTGTTGTCAGTGGGAGGTCTGGCTCGGGGCCAGGACACCCTCCCAGCCTCCACCCCAAGGCTGGTGAGCGCAGCTCTCAGCCGCACCTGACCTTAGTCAAGAACTGGCAGGCAGGCACCAAGGGTCCCGCCTGGAATTCCAAGGCAGTCACGCATTCCCCACCACCCTGGGAGCCAGGGGTGTTACATCATGTCCAGGGCCCTGAGTCACTACGGATGTCTCTCCTGATGGCCACAGAAAAGCAAGCACCCAGCAGGAGGGAGGAAGCTGTGAGCACAGCCCCACGCCCACGTCCCCTCTCAGAGCAGCCCCATAAACAGGACCAAGCTATTTTAGGGGAAGAAGATCAAATGTGGGGATCAGTTCCCCCAGCTACTTTTGACTCAGTCCTTCAGGCTATTTCTGTGAGGGCGCAGGCTGGTGTCACCCCGCGTCACCAAGCACTCTGGGCCTGAAATTAAATGTGTCTGCTGGAAGAATGAGTGTGAATTCCTATAGGATAGATGGTTGCCTGGCAACACAGTGTCACGGCCAAAACATGGGCCAGGGCAGGATGGGCGCGGGAGACACTCAGGTTTGCAAAGTGCCAACTCAAGCCTGTGACAGTCTCAAGGGTCTCTGAGACTCAAGAAACTGATATTTGCCCAGGACGCCTGTGGACCTTTAATCACAACGAAAGAGGGTAGAGTGTGGAGCTGAGCCTTGTGCCTCTGGACACATTACAGCCTGGGCCTCTACCAGGACCCAGCACCGAATTATGATCAGTAATTCTGTATTATTTTCCTGAAGGAGACACTCTTGCAAATTGTGTAAGCTTCAGGGCCCCTCAAAACCTGGAGAATCTTCTGACCCCTTTCCATACCAAAAGAAAAACTTCTACGTGTGAGTATCCAGATAAATTTTATGTAAAATAAACACCCCGGCAATGGAAGGCTCATGGACCAAAGCTTTGGTCAAACACTCAGTTAAAATCAGTTCTGGGTAAATAATTGGGAACTGGCAGGAACTTTAAAATCCACCTAGCTCGTCCCTTTTCTAAGAGAGGGAAATGCAGCTCTGAGAGGTAAGGCGGCGCTGCCCCCCTTAGAGGGTTTTCAGCAGCGCCTCCCATCTCTGCAGGTCCCTGGAGCTGGCAAGAAGGGGAATTGACCTATGATTAGTTTTGAAAACGTGCCTGGGAGGTGAAAGACACAGGGTGCAATGTGGCATTTTTATTATTCTTGTGATGTCATCACTTTGAGAAGCTTATCTATACACACATCTCCCCACCCAAACAACAAAGTCAGCTTCAAAAAAGAAAGCCCTGAAGCAAGCTGTTTGTTTCATGAGTTGCTTAGCAAGCCAGAGGCATCTGCTCTCCAGATTCTAAAACTGTAGGTGTCGTGGGCCGCAGAGGCTCCCAGGTCTTGCTGGCCCTGGCCTGCCCTCCCCAGGGCAGCCAGGCCGCAGCAGTGTCTGGGGGGGTAGGGTCAGTTCAGGGTGGTGCCCAGGAGGAGGAGAAGGCCTAAGCCAAGACAAGCCTCAAAGCCTCCTCTTCTCTAGCGCTGGCCCTGCCCCACTGACTTCCAGAAACCTCTGCCAGCCTCCCTGCCTTTGCTCCCAATTCACCCGTCCTCCAGAAGTGAGACCTGGAAAGAATTGCAGAGGTCATTCCATTGTAGCAGCTTTTCAGGTGGAGCCTTGAGGCTCTGATGTGCTCGGGGTCTGCGGACCATGGGCTGCTGACCTCTCATGCATGCTTGGGGGTTTTTTGGGTTTTTGTTGTTGGTTTTTTTTTTTTTCTGAGTCAGGGTCTCACTCTGTCACCCAGGCTGGAGTGCAGTGGTGTGATCTCAGCTCACTGCAACCTCCGCCTTCTGGGTTCAAGTGATTCTCTTGCCTTAGCCTCCTGAGTAGCTGGGATTACAGGCGCCTGCCACCGCGCCCGGCTAATTTTTGTACTTTTAGTAGAGACGGGGTTTCACCATGTTGGCCAGGCTGGTCTCAAACTCCTGACCTCAGGTGATCCACCCGCCTCGGCCTCCCAAAGTACTGGGATTACAGGTGTGAGCCACCGTGCCTGGCCACCCTTGTGTTTTTCTGAATCACCAGTCTTTTCTCCTGAAATATCACTGCCCTAGGTCCTGTTCCTGTGGGGATTGGCTGGGCCAGTGGTTTTCAAAATGTGGCTCCTAGACCAGCAGCCTCAGCCTTGTCTGGAAACTTCTGAAACAAGCAAATTCTCAGGTCCCACCCCAGACACCTGCTGGTTGGGAACTCCGGGGCTGTGACCAGCCTTCTGTGTTAACAAGCACCTCAGGCGATTCTGAGGCACCTACAGCTTGGGCACCTTTCTCTAGACAGAAGCTCTATGAAAGCAGGGAGCCACCTGCCTTATCCGCTGCCACTTCAGCAGGGCTCCTGGAAGATGGTGGCTGCTCAATACGTGTTTGTTGAGTGACTATCCTAGACCCAAGCTAGAGCTGCTGAAACTGGGTGTGTGGGAGACCTTATGGACATCTGCATTTCAGCAGGCCTTCCAGGGGAGCGGGTGATGAGGGGCTGCGAACACCATGAAGGGGCAAAGGGCCCCAGTTCCTCTGGCTGGGGTGTTTGCTGGGCCTGAAAGCAGAACAGGCAGCTGACTTCGGGAATAGGAGCTCCTCTATTCTCACGCTGTCTTTATTCAACCAACCTCTTTTATAGAAATGGTCCTCTTGGTTTCTAGGACACGAAGCTACTGAATAATCAAGAAATGAAAGATGGGTCCATCACAAACCAGACAATTGCTTGGGACTCCGAGGACGTCCTGTCGGCAGTTCTCAATGCAGAGGAACCCATGTGGATGCGTGGCTTGCGCCTAGGCTGATCCCCGGCCTGGCTCCAGGCGGGCATCACTGTCTGCCCTGTACTCTGCCTTCCCGCCGTCCTCACCAGCTTGGAGGATTCTGAAAGGGAGCCCATGCCTAGGAGGTCTGGCGGCTTCTCCTGCCATCCTATTTCTGGGCCTGGCCACAAGGAGGTTTCCAAGAAGGGCCCTTGGTCAATATCACAGACAGCTCTTGGGTTCCTGAGCTGTGCCTTGTTAGGGCAGACCATAGAATCCAGCCACAGGCACAGGCTATCACCACCACCTGCTCCATGTGGGTCCCTCCTCTGTGTACTGGAGGTGTGAGGACACTGCTGGGGCTCAAGTTACAGGCCCTGTACCCCTCAAAAGACAGAGTCTGACTGCAGAGGGCAAACACTCCACAAAGCCAACTGAAAAGCATTGAGTGGGAAGGCAGTGGGGAGCTCTGAGTGTGACCCCCGTGCCGAGGCATCCACTCAAGGGCTGATGGGTGGGAGAGGCGCTGGGACCTGGGGAGCAGGATGTGGAGATGGGAGTTCTCCTGGGAAGGCAGGTCTTGCAGGGCTTATGGCAGGACGGTACAGAGAAGGGGTCCTGGGAAGCAGGGGACTGGTGTGGGTTAGGTGGGTTGGGTCACTGTTTGGGAGGCGTGACAGTTGTCTCTGCTTTCCGCACGCCTTCAAACTCAATGGCACGAAACTGGAGGGCACAAAGGCCCTCCCCTCAAAACCCCCAAATCGCCCACCATCTCTGCGTCCTGCTACTGGCCACATTTTAAATTGCCCGCCATCTCTGCGTCTTGCTACTGGCCACATTTTAACAAATGATGTTCAGCATTTTTCCCTTTGGGTTTGTCAGAGCAGGGTTGTCCCTGGATGTTCTGTAGGGTCGTTGTGTCGGGGGCAGGGGTGGGGGAGGAGTAAAGGGGTTGCGGGGAGGAAGGGAGGGAAGCACCCTGGGAACTATTTCTACACAAATAACTAGCTATTTTAGTTTCCCTACTGGACTAAATGCCAAGTATCAATTAAAATTTTTTGAAGAAAAAAACAGATGTATTAATTCTTGCTTCCTCCTTTTGTTGGCGGGTCTGCTCTTTGCCATTTGTGAGGCCGTGTGTGGGTGTGAACGTCTGTGTGTGCACATGAAAGGCTGCGTGTGCTGGACACGTGCTGTATCCACACATGTACTCACACCCGGATGAGACGGCACCCTTCACCAATTATGAAACTGCTTCACAAATCCAACCTCAGAAATGACTGGATTTAGCGTTTTTATGGGGTGGGATGGTGAGGCACATCCCCCCCACATGCCGTCTCCCATGAGGACAGAAAAGAGCATCATACTTTATTTTATGACCAAGAGGTCATTCGTCTATATCTGCTCTTGAAAGCCACTGAGGACATTTTGCCAATCACTAGGAGAAACTAAATAAACAGAGCCAAACAGTGTCAGCTCTCTGCGGCTGAGTAATTATGAGGAATTCCTCTTTAAATAGAAGTTTAAGTAAATATAGAAAGATCACTTTACAGAAGGCAGCTCCAGAAGAGATGGGGGAGCGGGGCCACAGGCGACCCTTCCAAGTCAAGGAGAAGGTAAAGGCCGAGCTTGGAGAAACCAGAACCGGAGGGTTTCTGGTATGAAACAGACACGCTTCTCCTTCTTCCGTGCCTGGAAGCAATGTGCCAAGTTGTTTCTGCCTTCATCTTGGCAGGCTTCAATTTCGGATGCTTCATTTATAAAAATGGCTTCTGTTCTGGGCCTGGGCTTAAACCCTGGCCCTGAAGACTCACTCTTGTCCGCCAGCTCACCAGGGCTCTGTCCCATTGGTCACTGTGCTGAGCCTTGGAGGAGGGATGGAGTGTGGGGAACAGGTGGAGCTCGGGAGATCACTGCAAACCGAGAGGAGCCCTTGGTAACGCGTAGTAACTAGTTCGTGATACTGTCGGTTGGTGCTAGGCGAGTCAGAAAGGCCAATGAGCAATGGATGAGTGGAAGATGATTGTTATCCTGGTCTGGGGAGACAGAAGGCCTCTCACAAGTCTGACCAGTCCCCATGGAGAAGCCCCACCTAGTGCGAGCTGCCCACTCTATTCTGTGAACATGAGGGCTGTGCAATGATCTCTCTCCCCTTGTCTGAACATTCTCTGGTCCCCCGCAGGGCTGTGAATTCCCCATGGTCACGGCAACTGAAAAAGTCGTTGCCTTGAAAGCTCAAGCAGAAACTGTGTTCTGCACTGTGAAACACCAAGACCCGTTCTAAGTCCCTACCACACAAAGACTGAGAAGTCCTGGAAGGCTTCCCAGGGGAGGTAGCACACGAATGATGTTTTGAGGAATGAATAGGAGTTTGCTGGAGGAAGGAGGCAGGGCATTCTAGAGCAGGTGGACATCTCAGAGGGATCAATCCCAACATGTTGGGAAACTCTGAGCAGACAGGGAATAATGGCTGGAATGTGGGTGGAGGAGGGAAAAGATGAGGGCAGATGGGAGCGAGGACGAAGGAAGGTCAGCCTCCTTCCAGAGGACTCTGTCCTAGAGCAGTGGGAAGCGATGGGAGGAGTTAGGCAGGAATGTGGCACACCCAGGCTCCCCTGTTTCAGACTTCCCAAGGCGGGGTATGAAGGCTTGAAGGTGGATGAGCGTGGCAGTGTGACATTAAGTTAACAGATGGCTGCAGTGGTTTGGTGACAAATGACAATGCCTGGCCCAGGCTGGTGGAGGGAGGTGGAGAGCAGTAGACAGAATGGGGAAGTAAGTGCTGAAATCAGCCATGAAGTTAGTAGGGGTGGGGGCAGGAAGGAGTCAAGGACAAGGTTGAGGAAATCTGTCGGATGACGCTGTCATTTGTGCATTGGGAAAACCAGAGCAGGAGCAGACTGAGTGTGGCCAGGCTGGGGCTGTGCCTGGAGAGAGGGTCTACACGCAGCTGGGTGAGGGGTCCGGAATTCAGAAAGGAGGTCCGGGCTCGAGAGGCCTTGGGCACAGATAGCATTTGAAACCGTGGTTTGGGTGAAGTCACTCCTTGGAGAATGTGGAGCGAGGACAGTACTGAGGCCAGTCCCCAGGGGACCCACATTTGGGGCAAGTGGCAGGGGAGACTGAGGAGTCCACTGAGAGGACAGTTGGGGGAGTGGGGAGTGTTCTAGAAGATGAGGCAGGAGGCAGAGGAGGGGACGGTCCATGGCATCAACATCACCCAGAGAGGGCCTGAAAAGCGGCCACTGGATGACAGCAAATGAGGCTGGAGGCCATGAAGAGGCCTGTTCAGTGAAGAAGGGGACACCCCAGCTGGCCTGGCCTGCAGACTGGCCCTTCCAGCAATTGCCACACTTCCTCCTGCCAGGAACATGGTTGCCGCGATAGTGCCAGGCGGGGGACACCATCCGGCCAGTGCTGGACAAGGAGAGGGGAGGAGCCAGACCCATGCCCTCCTCCATGTCTGACCCGAGCTTGAGGCTGTGGGGCAGGTATGAGGTGAGCCTCTATTCCTGCCGGAGCAGAAGCTGCCACCTTACTGTGGGTCTGCACTGGGTGGCCAGCATGAGGTGCCCGGGTAAGGCGGCTGGCCCTCGCCTGCAGGACAGACCAGCTGTGACAGTCATCTTCCTGGGTGAGCTGGGTGTTAGCAGTGTGGGGAAAAGGCGTTGGAGAAGGTGCCTTCCCTGGAGACAGGTTAGGCCCTGAGGCAGAGTCCTGAGCAGCCTACACCCCAGACCAATTAAATCCGAGCCTCTGCTGCGAGTCTCGGCCCCAGTGTTTGTGAAAGCTCCCCAGGTGATTCAACCCCTCCAGGGCTGAAAACCGCCAGTCTAGGGAGAGAAAACCCAGGTGTAGGGCTCTGTGAGCGCTTTAGATCGGAGCAAAGCAGCAGCACTGAAGCAACAGAACCCAGGAAGAGGCTGAACTCAGATGGGCAGGGCCGGCTGCACAGCAAGGTCAGCCTCCCTTCCAAGGGGCTCCTTCCTTCTCCCTCCGGTCCTCGAGGCCCTGGTGTTGTTTTCCTCCAGGAAGGGTCATCCCCACCCCACCTTTAGCCCCCGTCTTAACCCAGCAAGATCCTCTGGAGCTCCTCCCTCCCCTGCCACCCTACCCCACCGTTTCTGGGAAACTGCCCCGGGCAGGCTCCTGAGTGGTCATCCCCGGACTCTCTGCATTGGTGAAGCTCACAGCCCAGTGCCAGCCCACGCCCCAAACTGAGGCCCCTCTCCAGTGTCAGGGAGGTGGAGGACTGCCTGAGGCCCCTCAACCTACATCTGTCCTTGGACCCAGAGCATGGAGAGAGGGCAGCCCACCAGGGTCACTGACCTCAGAGCCCAGACTTTTGCTCTGAGCTGGGGAGGGTCCCAGGCTTGGCAGGGTTGGGGCTCAGGAGGAATTGGGGGAGGGCCCGAGTCAGTGTGGTCCCTCCTTCCTGGAGGAGAGCTCTTGGAGGCCAGGCGAGAGTTCTGCTTCTGGGAATTAGGAATGAAGAGGTCCTGTCTGGAGACCAGGTCAGAATCCCATCCAGCCTCAGGGCAGGGTGGCCCCAGCACCCCTCCCATCATTCCTGGGATGAACTCCCGGAGTGGCGTGACCCTGATGTGACATGCCGAGCTCTCCCTGGCCTCCTTCATAACAGGTTCTGCAGGGACAGACTGACCTAATCTCCTCCTGGGGTAGGACTGAGGATGCCACAGACCAGAGGTGAGGCGACCTTCACAGGGTCGCGCAGCACCTGGTGGTCTGGTCAGTTCTAGAATCCCGGACTCCAGAGGCCTGCTCCTGTGGACTTTCCAAACACTGCCATGACTCACTAATGGTGACACATACCGAGCATGGCCTGTGTGCCCTGCCCCCTCTTGGAAGCTCACTGAGGGGAGAGTGTGGGTGTGCAGCCCTTTGCTACCAGGGAGCCCACAGCATGGGTGTGGACACCCCTTCTCGCACACACACAAAAACCCCAAAAGCCTCAAGGCAGCAGTGTCTCTGCTAAGCCTCGTGGCTCAGACTGGACCTGGGATGGGGACAGGTAGGGTCTGGGTGAGCAGTGTGGCAGGCAGAGGGTGCAGGAGGGTGAGTAGGAGACCAGCTGAACACATATGTGGACAGGCGGGGAGGCTCCCAGTCACGAGGCCGAGCCTCACTGTGCAGGAGGGAAGCTCACTCTCTCTCTCCAGCTGTGGGGCTGGATGGAGCAGGGACAGGGAGGGGCCCAGGACAGTGGAGGGTCTCTCAGGCTGTGTCCAGGCTGGGTTTTCTCCCTCCCTACCCCTCCCTCCTTCCTGCCCATTGCTGTATGAGAGGGCACCCAGGCATTCGCTTTTAGAGTTGTCTTTAGGGTTGTGGAAATGGAGAGAAATCAGGGCCTGGTAGGAAGGATGGGGGCAGGAGGCTCTGCACAGCAGTGTCAAGAATTCAGGAATCAAGTCACTGGGAGAAATGTGGCTTCTCTCTGGCCCCAGCCCCTCACTGGGGTCTTAAGCTCCCAGCCCTCGCCAGCCACCTCCTCCCTCATCCAAGTTAAACGAGCCTGGAGTTGGATAAGAATTCCAGGCCAGGACCTTTGGGAAGTAGAAACCGCCAATCTTATCCACTGGGCTCTGAGGAATTTGGCAGGGCCAGGAGGAAGGGGCTCCACGGACTGGGCTGGACACCCCAGCCTATCTCCCCCACCCTGGAGCAGGGGGCGCGCTCATTATTAATAGCCCCACAATAAACCCCAGCGATAAGGCTCTCCTCTTCCCACCACGCAGATAGTTCTTCCAGTTCAGAACAAAGAAACAGAGAACAAACAGCCAGGTTTCGTGGAGGGGTTTTGTCCATAGAACAAATCTCTGGGTTGATGCCACAGCGCACGGCCAAAGAGGTCTCACATCTTGGTCTGCCTGACCTGCCAGGGGATTCTCTTTGCTGTACAGAAGAAGCGCCCATGCAACCTCACCTCGGCTCCTCTGTTCAGCTGTCCCTCTCCCTGCCAGCTGAAAGCTAACCCAGGCCTGGCAGCCAGTTCCAATAAGGCCTCCCCTATAGCCCCACAGTCTGAGTTTTCTGCCAAAGCAGGGTCAGAGGTGCACCGTTGGGTGGTGGGCTAATTCCTTCCCCTGAGTGCGTCCTGTCTCCAGTTTGGAAAAGCCCAGGTTCCTAGCTGGAGGTCTTTTTTTTTTTGAGACAGGGGCTCACCTGTCACCCAGGCTGAAGTGCAGTGGTGTGATTATGGCTCATCGCAGCCTTGAATTCCTATGCTCCAATGATTCTCTTGCCTCACTCTGCTGAACAGCTGGGATTACAGGCACATGCCACCACATCTGGCTTAGATAGGGTCATAAGAGCAATCACACAGCAAACAACAAGCTTGTGAAAGCAGAGAGAAATGGGCTGGGGCACAGTCAGCAGCTAGGGTGGCACCTGCCCTGGCTCCAGGGTACCTGGGATCAGGGTCTGGCATCCTCTGCTGGCTGCAGGTTGACAGAGGACAAAATGTTCCTCAGTGTTCTATGGCTGGGACTCTCCCCAACCCACAGCCCCCGGGCAGCCCCAGAGGGGCTATGAGACATTCCCTCCGGATACTGCCACCTGGGTCAGGCCTGAGCGTGGGGTGCAGCCAGAGAACCTGATTTTGGGGTCAGCTCAGGAGCCCCCTAAGCCACTAAGTAGCCAGCTTCCTAGGGTCCCACAGGAACACTCAGAACTCCAGCGGAGGAGCTCGGCTCTGCCTGATTCTGACCTTGACCTTGGCCTTGCTTGGCGAGACCTGTGCCCTGGGAAGGCCCCCAGTGCCTCCCTCACCTATCAGGCTCCAGGAGACCACCTTCACTCCGTCTGAGCCCCCAGCCTTGGGCCTGCTCTGAGTTCCTGAGCTGAAGGCCTGACAGTGACCCTGCTGCCTGATCTCCGGGCCTGAAGGCTGGGCAGGCTGCAGGGAGGCCAGACCTTCCTGGGGGTGCACCCTGTATGAAGCTGGCCCTCCTCCCCCAGCTCAGGCTGGGTTAGCAGAGATCTCCCAAGACCGATGCCCACCACAGGACCAGAGGGGTCGAGATAGGCGTGTTGGGCTTTTCAGAAAAACATGAGCCTCTTCCTCAGTACAAGAAAATTTGGGGAAACTTTTTTTTTTTTTGAGACGGAATCTAGCTCTGTCACCGAAGCTGGAGTGCAATGGTGCAATCTTGGCGCGCTGCAACCTCCACCTCCCAGGTTCAAGTGACTCTCCAGCCCCAGCCTCCTGAGTAGCTGGGACTATAGACTCCTGCCACCATGCCCAGCTAATTTTTGTATTTTTAGTAGAGACGGGGTTTTACCATGTTGGCCAAGCTGTTCCCAAACTCCTGACCTCAAGTGATCCGCCTGCATTGGCCTCCCAAAGTGCTGGGATTACAGGCGTGAACCACCGCGTCAGGCCTGGAAAACTTTTAAACAAGGAAGCCACATGGGGAGGGTGAACAGGGGCAAAGAAGAGGAGGGCAGGAGAGGCCAACTTTTTTTTTTTTTTCCCTAAGAAACTTATTTCTCTCTGAGTAGCCAAGCAAGTCCTAATCCCAGCAGTTTTGGGGCAAGATTCAATAAAATCTCTGTCTGCTGGGGCCTGGGCAAAGCCGCTGAAAATAAATACTTTGTGGCTTGTCCGGTCTTCTGCCGCCTGGAGCCTGGAGGGCCCTTCTATTGACTTTGGGCCCAGTGGGATATGGACCGAGGGTGGAATTCTCTCCCCAGCCAATCAACTTCCTCTCCCCAGTTAGGACCATTTAAAAATCGTAAGTAGAGTTTCCGGTGTGGAGGGGGAAAAACAGAAGAGAGCATATTTGGTCGAAGGAAGAAAAAAAGAATTGCAGAAAGGCCAATTTACTTTCAATCAGAGCTGTTGGATTGTCCCGTTCGTGGAAAATAATCTTAGGGGTTAGGACCTTCCCTTAGCTCTCACACTTTCACCTCATGTCTTCTTAAACTCCAGGCCTGCAGCACGAAAGCTCAGATGTCTAGAGTCGGGGCTGGCGCAGGGTCTTCCAGGGGCTGAGGAGCCCAGGACCTCCTGCCCCAGTGGTTGCTGCCAGGGCTGGGGAACGTGCAGGCTGCAGGGACAGTGGCAGCTCTGCAGGCCCGGCTGGGGGATGACTGGAAAAAAATGTGCAGGAAACCAGGGGAGGAAAACGCTCAGGGTCACAGGCAAGCAGCAGAGAGCCACACTCCACCACGCCAGTCAGAGCAGAGCAGACTTTACAAACCGGGTATCTGTATCTGGGAGCAGAAGGAGAAAGGATTGCATTTGATACTGGGGGATGGGGGGGCGGTTCTAGAAACCCAGGAGGAAAGAAAGGGTGAGGCACCACCGGATGAGCGGGTGGGTGGTCCAAACAGAAATGGGAGGATGGCAGGAGAGCACGCGAACCCCCACTGGGGCCTAGGAACTGGAAACCCCCCCACTTTTTACAGTGTTACAGGTCAAAGCATTTGAGCAGCCATCTTGGGGTGTGGAAAGTCCTAACACCAAGGGTAGGCCACAAGAATGTGACCCATTTTCCCTTCCTATTCATTGTCCAGACCCTCCCTCTCACTGGGGGTCCAGGAGCCTCCAGAGGCTGTGGGAGGGCGGGGGGTGAGCTAATGCTTCTTTCCTTCTCCCACCGCATGTCCAGGATGGAAACACAATGGTTGGCTCTTGCCTTCCAAGGTCCGGACAGAGCACAGGGCTGCAGGGCTGCAGCCTGGAGAAGCTGTGTCTCCCTCTTTTAGCCACCGCCACCTCGGAGGGCCTGACTGGGCAGCTGAGGGCCACAGGCTCGGCTTGTGTGGTCCCCACTCAGTCCCTGGGCATGACATTCCACCCTCAAGAGCCACGCTATTCAGTTCAGCATTATTCCCCCAAAAGTTCTTATTTTAAAATGAAGACACTCTTGAGAGGGCTGATTCTGAGCAGGTGTCTATCTGGCTGACCTCCTCAGGGAACTGGAGGATGGAAATGTCATCATGGCCCAAATCTTATAGGGGGTTGGTCTCTCTGGTAGAGCCAACAGTTCCCCAAAGCTCTCTCCAAGGCCTCAAAAGTTAGCCTTGGTGGGCTGGATGAGGTGGCTCACGTGTGTAATCCCAGCACTTAGGGAGGCTGAGGCGGGTGGATCACGTGAGGTCGGGAGTTCGAGACCAGCCTGGCCAACATGGCGAAATCCCGTCTCTACTAAAAAATACAAAAATGAGCCAGGCGTGGTAGCAGGCACCTGTAGTCTCAGCTACTCAGGAGGCTGAGGCTGGAGAATCGCTCGAACCCCGGAGGCAGAGGTTGCAGTGAGCTGAGATCACACCACTGCACTCCAGCCTGGGCCACAGAGTGAGACTCCATCTCAAAAAAAAAAAAAAAAAGTCAGACTTGGTGGTTCCTTGTACACAAGGAGAATCCCAAAGCCTCTATTTTTGGGGAGGGAGAAAGAATGGAAGAAGAGGACGAGAAAGTGCTGCTGACAGTCTTAGCTCTGATCCCCACTTTCGAAGACACGGTGGATAGTCATGGGTAATTTAAAAGAAGCATCTTGGGGCAAGGACTTGATCTCTTTAGAAACCGTATTTACAGGCTGGGCACGGTGGCTCATGCCTGTAATCCCAGCACTTTGGGAGGCTGAGGCTGGCGGATCACCTGAGGTCGGGAGTTCGAGACCAGCCTGACCAACATGGAGAAACCCCGTCTCTACTAAAAATACAAAATTAGCTGGGTGTGGTGGCACATGCCTGTAATCTCAGCTACTCAGGAGGCTGAGGCAGGAGAATCGCTTGAACCCGGGAGGTGGAGGTTGCAGTGAGCCGAGATTGTGCCATTGCACTCCAGCCTGGGCAACAAGAGCAAAACTCTGTCTCAAAAAAAAAAAAAAAAGAAAAAGAAAAAAAGAAACTGTATTTATTTACAATGAGTGGTGACATGTCAACTAGTCACAAATCCATGTATCTAAAACCCCCATAGGACCAGAATTAAAATAGAAAAGACTTCTGAGCAGCCCAAATAGACATTAAAAACCCCTGCTCTAAAACACAAGCTCTTTGTTTATTCGTGAGCCTTCAGTCAAAACCTTTGAATTCATATGTTACGTACAGTTGCAACTGCCTGTGTGAACAGATATCCAAATCCATGCAGGAGAAAAAGGTGCAAGGAGGGAAAAGAACTGTTATGGGAAAAAATGATCAAAACTTGGCTGTCTGGAGTATTTGGTATAGGGATGGGGTGGTGGGGTGCTGGCTGCCATAGTGCTCTGAAGTCGTGGGCTCTCAAAGCCCAAGGAAATGATAAGATTCATAGAGGGGATCGCGAGTCACCAAGAAAGCACTCAACTCTGCTCAGGGCAATATGTGATAGATTCAAGGAAAATTTATATTCAAAATTGGACAGGGCTGTGACTCTTAAAGGGATAAACACTCCTTTATTGGAGCACCAGGTTTCTCCTCCATCTGAGCTGGGGGTGGAGATTTTGCTGTGCCCAGCTCCATATCCAACAAGTTCCTCAGCTCTCCTGAAGCACTGTTAGAGGAGAGAAGAGAATTGGGCCCTGACCTGAAGCCTGCATCAGTGACCAGTCCAGGCTAGTGACCCATCAAGCCCCGGGAGCCCTTGTACCTTCACTGTTCAACCTCAGCACCTGTGCCCCTTCTCTCTTTTCTCTTTATTCTGCCTTCTCATTCTCTCTCCACCTCTCCTATTTCTCCTCTCCATTCTACCCACAGCCACCCCACCCACCCACTGCCATCCTGTAGGACTTTGTGCAATGATGGAGATGTTCTGCATTTATGCTGCCCAATACAGTAGTAATGAGCCATGTGGCTATGGAGCACCTGAAATGTAGCTAGGGCAACCGAGGAACTTCATCTTTGACTTTCATTTGTTTTAATTATTTAATTATTTTATTTTATTTTATTTATTTTATTTATTTTGAGATGGAGTTTCGCTCTTGCTGCCGAGGCTGGAGTGCAATGGCGCAGTCTCGGCTCACTGCAACCTCCGCCTCTCAGGTTCAAGCGATTCTCCTGCCTCAGCCTCCCAAGTAGCTGGGATTACAGGTGTGCACCACCACACCTGGCTGATTTTTTGTATTTTTAGTAGAAATGGGGTTTCACCATGGCTGGGCTGATCTTGAACTTCTGACCTCAGGTGATTCGCCCGCCTTGGCCTCCCAGAATGCTGGGATAACAGGTGTGAGCCACTGCACCTGGCCTATTTATTTTTTGAGACAGGGTTTTTCTCTGTTGCCCAGGCTGGAGTGAAGTGGCATGATCACAGCTCACTACAGCCTCGACCTCTCTCGGCTCAAGCAAACCTCCTGCCTCAGCCTTCCAAGTAGCTGGGACTACAGGCATGCACCACCCACCCAACTAATTTTTGAAAATTTTTTGTAGAGATGGGGTCTCACTGTGTTGCCCAGGCTGGTTCCAAACTCCTGGGTTTAAGTGATCCTCCCACCTCTGCCTCACAAAGTGCTGGGATTGTAGACGTGAGCCACTGTGACCAGCTTCATTTTCATTTAAATAGCTACATGTGGCTAGCAGTTACCGCTTCTGGAGAGCACAGTGACCCTGGAGGAGCTCCAATGGGTCCCCAGGCTGCTCACTGGCCTGTTGGTCTGGATGACCACAGGCATTCATTTATTGTACATGCAACTGTTATTAAGCACCTACTGTGTACCAAGCAGAAAAAGATTATCTTGTGAAATACTTCAGTGAGCTCTCAGTCCCTTCCTTCTCTGTTTTTCCTTCCTTTCATCAGCAAATCCTGGCTGCCTGCCAAGCGCTCAGTGCTGTATGACAATGGTGCATGAACTGCAGTGAGCCTCAGGATCACTTCAGGGACCTGTTTAAAAAATGCAGAACTGGCAGTGTGCGGTGGCTCACACCTGTAATCCTAGCACTTTCGGAGGCTGAGGCGGGCAGATCATGAGGTTAGGAGATCGAGACCATCTTGGCCAACATGGTGAAACCCTGGCTGTACTAAAAACACAAAAACTAGCTGGGCATGATGGCATGCGCCTGTAATCCCAGCTACTCGGGAGGCTGAGGCAGGAGAATTGCTTGAACCAGGGAAGTGGAGGTTGCAGTGAGCCGAGATTGCGCCACTGTACTCCAGCCTGGCGACAGAGCGAGACTCTGTCTCAAAAAAAAAAAAAAAAGCAGAACCCCCTTTCCCACCCCCACCCATTAGATCTACTGAGCCAGAATCTCCAGGGCAGGCCCAGCATCAGAGCCTCCCACAGGAGAATCTATTCCCACAGGGAATACTAAACCAATGGCAGATGCTTTTCTACCAACAGCTTATACTTTAGAAGGTGTGATCAAAAAAAAAAAAAAAAAAGGCCAGTAAATGGTGAGCTCTTTTTACAAACAGCTATTCCCCAAGAACTGTCTGAAAATGCCCTAGAGAGAACTAATACCTTAAGCCTTTTTATGGTGACATCTTAAGGGAATGTCTTTGGCAGATGTTTTTCCTGCCATGGAGTCAAATAGCAGAGTGGTTAGGAACCAGGCCTGCAGGGGCAGATCTGGCCTCAGGTCCTGCCTGTGTGACCTTGACAGGGCTGATCCCTATCTGTAAAACAGAGATAATCGTCTCTGGCTTCCATGTCACAACAGTTCATTATGAGAGTGGATCACGGGGAGATCAGGACAAGTTTCAGAAAGCTGAGAACCTTAGGGTCTCAGGTACCTCAAGGCCAGGAGGGACCCAGCCCTTCAAGAGTCCCTTGAACAAAGGGCACTTAGACCCTTAAGGCTTTAGTTTGGGATGTTTTCAGCTTGGAAAATATTGTTCTAATTTTATTCCAGTCCAACTGGAATACATTTAGAACATGCATAGATCTGGTTCCAATTCAAACTGGTTCATTGGGTACTTCTTGGGTTAAAGAAAATTGACAAATAAGGAATCGGTAAAAAAAAAAATCATCATCATCATATCTGAGTTCAGGGTTGAACTTTTCAGTTGGAAAGTTGTGATTCTTTGGTTCAGTTCAAGTACCTGTTTACAAATTAACTGTACAAGCATTTATTTAGCACCTAGTTTTGTTCCAAGAATAAACCAGGTATGAGACAGTTGCAAGGAATTTCTGCTCACCTGTGGAAAGAGACAACTAAAGAATCATAATCCCCTTAACGACCAAACAAGCAAAATCCTAGGGACGCCCACTAGGGAGCAAAAGGTTCTGGGGGAGGGTGGCCAGCAGACACACAGAGGAGGGGTGATGTGTGAGCTGGGTGCCGAACAGTGAGTGAGAGGGATTTCCTGGGCAGTTAGCGGTGGGGAGGAAGGGAAGCAGGAAGGTGAGATAAGCTGTACTGTGCACGCAGTCACAGAAGAAGGGGAAGGATAGTCTAGACTGTGGGTGGCCCATGGGCTTGGAGAGGTGCTTGCGGGAGATCATGAAGACACCAAGCTCTGCCCCGGACTTGCTACTCTGTCCCCACCCCAAAAAGAGGACCACTTTTCCTGGCTGGAAAGAACCATATTTGTATTTCCTTGTGTATTTATTTGTTTCAGTAGTTTTATTGAGATATAATTCATATATCACACAATCATTCATTCAAAGTGTATAACTGAATGATTTTTAGGACAGTCAGATACATGCCACTATCACCACAGTCAATTTTAGAACATTTTCATCACTGCAAGAAATCCCATATCTGCTAGCTATCTTCCTCCCACCCAACCCCCATCACCCTCACCTCCTCCCCAGCCTGAAGCAACCACGAATCTACTTTCTGTCTGTATAGATTTTTCTATTCCGCACATTACAAATAAACGGAGTTGGCTGGGCATGGTGCTCATGCCTGTAATCCCAGCACTTTGGGAGGCTGAGGAGGGCGGATCACCTGAAGTCAGGAGTTTGAGACCAGCCTGGCCAATATGGTGAAACCCTGTCTCTACTAAAAATACAAAAATTAGCCAGGCACAGCGGCAGGTGCCTGTAATCCCAGCTACTCAGGAGGCTGAGGCAGGAGAATCGCTTGAACCTGGGTGGCGGAGATTGCAGTGAGCCGAGATCGCACCACTGCACTCCAGCTTGGACAACAGAGTGAGACTCCATCTCAAACAAAAACAAAAACAAATGAATTGAGTCTTACAATATGTTGCTTTCAACATCTGGCTTCTTTCACATAGCATGAAGTCTTCATCCATGTTAAGGCCCATCTATGTGGGAACACGTATCGGTCTGTCACCCCTTTTTATGACCAAATAATATTTTATGGTATGGATAGACCACATTTTATTTATCCACTCATCTGTGGACGGACGTTTGGGTTGTTTCCACCTCTCGGCTATCATGAACAATGCTGTGTGAACATTCACGGATGCGTTCCTGTGTAAGTCATTACTGTCATAACTCCCATGTCACAGATGAGGGTGCATGTTTTCATTCCACTGAGGAGTGGAACCGTTGGGTCACAGAGGAAATCTATATTCAACTCTGCAAGGAACGGCCAGGCTCTTTTGTATTTACATATTTACTTTGAAAAGAAGGAAATGCTGGGTGCAGTGGCTCACATCTGTAATCCCAGCACTTTGGGAGGCCGAGGCAGGTGGATCACGAGGTCAGGAGATCAAGACCATCCTGGCTAACACGGTGAAACCCCGTCTCTACTAAAAATACAAAAAATTAGCCGGGTGTGGTGGTGGGTGCCTGTAGTTCCAGCTACTCAGGAGGCTGAGGCAGGAGAATTGCTTGAACCCAGGAGGAGGAGGTTGCAGTGAGCCGAGATCACACCACTGCACTCCAGCCTGGGCGACAGAGGGAGACCGTCTCTCAAAAAAAAAAAAAAAAAAAAAAAAAAGAATAAAGAAAAAAAAGAAAAGAAGGAAATGAATGAGAAGACAGGAGTAATAATGGAAATCTGCTTGAAGCCAAGGGGCAGCCTATGTTCAGGGAAAGGAGAGGTTAGGGCCGCAATGAAATCACCATGGGTGGCATTACATCTTCCCAGAGACAGTGCCAGCTGGGAGGAGATGGGCACAAGGTCAGCACCCTTGGCCACTCACCTATGGACCGAGGGCACCTCCTTGTCACTGCCCCACCCCTCCACAAACCAAGGCCCAGGCTGGCTGTGAGTCTCCATGGAGCACAGCAAACATGTCTCTGCCCCAGCCTGCCATCTCTCCCTTCAGAGACAGTTAAAGAGTTCAAATTCCAGAGGGAAGAAACATATCCAAGGTCATGTTCATCATGGCGTATCTGGTGAGCCCCCATGACCTACAGGACTGCTCAGCATGTCCATATATTCTGTACACATAGTGCTCACTGTGGGCCAAACACTATTCTAAACCCTTTCCAAATCAAAATGCTTTAAATACTCAAAATAACTCTATGAGAGACTTCCTGTTAGGACTCCCATGTTACAGACAAGACACTGCGCCAGAAAGGGAAGCTAGCTTCCCCAAGGTTGCATGGCTCATAGTGACGACGCTGAGACTGAAGGTAGTCTGTCTGGCTTCAGCACCCACCTTATGCCACCTCAACTATTCTCCTGCAAGGGCAGTGTTGAAATTCTCATCCCACAGACAAGGACATTAAGGCCGAGGCTGATACACTTTCCCAAGGTTGCGACTAAAGCCCAGTCTCTATTCCACACCACGGCCTCCCTTTGTGGTGAGAGGGGGCAGAGATCAGCGTGCAGTGAGTCACAGCAGTTAGAAGGCGTGTGCCTTTGTCTACTGCCACCTGTTTCAGGAAGCTCTCCCTGACTGCTCCCTAGTCAGGGGGCTCCCACAGCTGCCAGGGATGTTCTGCCACAGTCCTGCTCCCTGGGCATGGCCATTGGTGTGTAGATGGCAGATGCCTGCTGAGGATGAGTGTGACTTTGTCCCCTCTGGCTCCCCAGCACTGAGCCAGGGCCTGGCACCAGCAGGTGCCCCATAAGCATGTGGGGGATGAAGGGAATGGTCCAGGTACTAAGAGACTGAGGGGCTTGGAGAGAGAAGAGCCAGTTGTGCCTGGAGCCAGGTACTCACTAGTGGGGTACCCAGGGCCAGGGAGGAATGGTGGAGTGGGGCATGGGGCAGGCCCTTCCAGTAGGGAGGGCTGGGGGTCCTCAGGGGCCTGATGTCTCACCGTCCAGAGAGGACTGGAGTTGGGTGGGGAGTGCTCTGTGGTCATGGGTGCCAGAGTCTCAGCCAGTGCACAGGGCACCTTCATGCCAGTTAGGAGGCACCCTTCCTCCCTCCAGGTGCCCAGCCCTGCCCCAGGACCCTGGGAGCTGCCTCAGACCCTCAGCTGGGCACCCTTGTGTAGGACACAACCTGGGTGCTACATGTGAGACTCTCTGGGTATAGAGTGTGACTGTGTTGTGTGGGGGTGCGGGATGTGGTATATACGCACACGTGCAGGGAGCGGGGTATGTGTGGTTGGAGAGGGTTGTGTTGTGTGTTGTGTGGGGGTGGGGGATGTGGTATATACGCACACACGCAGGGAGCGAGGTATGTGTGGTTGGAGAGGGTTGCGTTGTGTGTACATGGTGTGAGAATGGAGAATTAGTGTGGTATGCGTGTGGTGTATGTGTGTGTGCTGTGTGTGGGTGTGTGTGATGTGGGGTGTGTGAATTTGTGCTGCACTTTGCAAGCCTCCCAGGCTGGGTGGCCTCTGTGCAGGGAGAGCTGGGAGGCCTAGCTGTGAGGGTGCCACGTCCTAGAGCCAGAAACTCAGGTGTCTCAGTGGCCAAGCCTTCGCCTGCCCCTGGGAGTGGGGCCGACACGGGGTCTGCAATGGCAGAGAACGGGCTGAAGGTCCTCAGTGGGCAGGCACAGCTGGCCTCCCCTCAGGAAGGCCCTTCCTTCCAGAACTCTGGACTATCCCTTAGTTAGGGAGGGAACGGTCTGGACAGACTGAGCCGAGGAAAATATTCCTGGTCAAGGGATGCCCTCAGCTTGAGGTGCCTGGTCGGAGGCTCAGAAGAGATCTGGGGGAGATGCTGGGTCCACACAAGGATGATGTTCTGGAAACCGGAACTGCCCAACGGTGGAGGAGGCCGCTTCCTAAGGGAGCAAAGCCCCACCCCCTATGCCCTTGATGAGTTCCAGCAATGCTGCGGCCCCCTCAGCCATGGTGTTGGAGGAATCTCCCCTTCATGGTGCAGGACATGGGTCAGAACACGACCCCACAGACCCCTCACCCTCCTGGGTTCCACAGAAGCAATGGGGATGCCCGGGACACCTCCTTCCTTCAATTGCACCTGCTGCCCCTCCCCGGAAGTTCCTCCATTGCTTTTCCCCCGTGGCCCCTCCAAATACTCCAGGATACCAGGATGTGGAAGGCACTTTAAAGCCACCCTCTCATTTTACAGATGAGGACACTGCGGCCCTTACAGGGAAGGGACTCGCCCAAGGTCACAGAGGTACAGCTAACACCACGGGCACGCCTCGAACCAGGCACCCACCTAAGCGCCCTCATCTCCTCACGCCAGGCCCGAGGTGGGACCTTCTCCATCTTACACAGGGGAGGACTTGGCCTGGGGTTGAGAGAAGCCAATATGGCCCAGGTCACAGCACTAGAAAGAGGGCAGGATTCTCACAGGGTCCCCTCTGCCTCCAAGGCCCTGCTGCTGACCCTGACGCTCACACTCGGTGTCCCCCACACAGCGATGAATCTGTCGTGTCCACTGAGAGAGGAAGACAGATCCTCTCAGTACCATCTGCCAGGGACAGGGTTAGGGAGGCTGGGCAGCTCACTCAGCCTAAGTTTGTTTCCCCAGTAGTCAAACGGGGATAATAATAGTAACATTTGGGGCTTGTAAGATTTCCATAAAACATGTGACGCCTTCTCTTTGGAGACCTCAACAAGCAACGTTTCTCCTCTCCATCCCCTTCCATGACCAAAGTGCTACCCTCACCAAGCCTCCTAGCCTCCTGGCTTCCCACACCCTTAGGGCTTCGGCCAGCTTTCTTGGGGTACCACCTACATACAGTATGATGCACCCATTTTGCATTCAGTGTTGGATGAGTTGGGACAACTGTATACTTCCATCCACATAACCGCTCCCGGAAATGGGGCACCCAGGGCCAGGGAGGAATGGGGGGTGAGGGGCCATGGGGGAAAGGCCTTCCAGTGGGGAAGGTTACTGACTCCTCAGTAACCTGAAGTCTCAGGGTCCAGAGAGGCCGGTAGGTGGGTGGGGAGTGCTCTGCGGTCGCAGGTGCCAGAGACTGAATCAAGATATGGGACAGTTCCATCACCCCCAGAATTCCCTTGTCCTCATCCCAGTCACTGCCCCCACCCCCACCGCAAGACAACCAATACTTTTGGTGGACTAGGGACTACATTTGTCTCTTCTAGGGTTTTCCATAAATGGGGGCCACACCATATGTATCCTTTTGTGTTTGGCTTCTTCACTCAGCATAATAATGTATGTGGGGTTTACTCAGCTTCGCCCGTCAGTAGTCTGATCCCTTTTATGCCTGCAGAACAGAACCAGGAAGAGGTGGCCTCTCCGCCGCTGTGCCTCCTCAGAACCTGCTGTGGCTTCTGAGCAGCGGTGGCTTCAGTGCTGGGCACACTGGGCCTGGCCCACAGGAAGGGCTCAAGTTCGTTGCGAGCAAATTGACTGAACCCTTGATATTCGGGAAAACACAAATTGCCTAAACTAGGCGGGGAGTCATTTCATTGCTTTTCTTTTCTTTTCTTTTCTTTTTTTTTTTTGAGACGGAGTCTCGCTTTGTCGCCCAGGCTGGAGTGCAATGGCGCCATCTCGGCTCACTACAACCTCCTTCTCCCGGGTTCTACTGATTCTCGTGCCTCAGCCTCTCAAGTAGCTGGGATTACAGGCATGCGCCACATGCACGGCCAATTTCTTTCCCCCCCCCCCTTTTTTTTTTGTATTTTTAATAGAGACAGGGTTTCACCATGTTTGCCAGGCTGGTCTTGAACTCCTAACCTCAGGTGATCCCCCAGCCTGGGCCTCCCAAAGTGCTGCGATTACAGGCGTGAGCCACCTAACCGGCCCATTTCATTGTTTTTCAAGCAGTCCCACCAGCGTGGAGAGGAAGGGGTAAAATTTAAATACGATGAAGAGGAAAGGACGGCTTAAGATAAAGAGCTTGGGCTGACGAGGGAATAGTCCCAGGGTTCAATTATCCAGCAGAGCGCGGCCTCCCCACGCCCGCCCACCGGGGATAATTAAAAGCCGGACGCCTCGGTCCCTTCCCCAGGGAGGCGGCGGCGCTCCGCGTGTGAAACGGCGCTCAGAAATGAACGGCGACACAGTGGCTTCATTGTTCGGCGGCGGGGGAAACTGAGGCCGGAGGGCGGCCGCCGGGTGACTGGAGGCTGGGTCACCACGTGAGTCAGAGGCGCAGACGGGCAAGATTGCTGTCATTAAGGTTTACAGGTCTGCAGCCGCCGCCGCGGCTGTGCGGCCCGAGCCGCGCCCGGCCCGGGTCTCGCTCGGCCACCCCGCCTCGGCGCCTCGAGCGCAACTGCGGGTGGCTCGGCCACCGCGGGGGGCTGGAGAGGTGACCCCGACGGTCTCCGCCCGCCCTGCGCTCCTCTGCCGCCGCCGCCGCCGCCCCGCTCCCGCGGGCCCGCCCTCTGACAGCGCCCGCTGAGGGCCAAGCCTGGCGGCTGGAACCTGAGCCCCGGGGTGGCTGCCACCCCCGCCCGGCCTCTACCTGCGCCACCCGCGCGGCGCCCCGGGAGGCGGCGCGAGCTCTGGGAGCGCGGCGCCGGGAAGACGGCATACGGCCCGGCCCTCGCCGCCGCCCGGCGCCTCCGCTGCGCGCGCGCCCGCCGCCCCGCCCCCCACTCCTGGGCGCGCGCACCTCGCTTCTCCCGAGGCCGCGGGGTCCCGGTTGCGCGCCCGGCCCGCCCGCCCCTTCCCCCTGCCTCCCCGGCCTCGCGTCGCCACCCGGCTGAGTCACGGGCCGCGCACACTGCACGTCTGACTGCACGGGCCCCTCGGGCCTGCACCTCCGCGGCCCGGAAGGGACGGAAGCCCCGCGTCCCCACCCCCACCCCGGGAGGGTCCCTGCGGCAGTTACGGGGGAGCAGCGATAGCTGCCCTGGAGGTCGCATTCCCACCCGGCCCCCGAGTTCTCCGGGAGAACTCCCCCGCAGCCTCGGCGGCATCGCCTCCTCCAATCTCCCCAGGAATCGTGTTTCCCCCAACCCTGCCTCCGTGCGCGCCGGGGTGGCGGCGGGATCCCGGTGCCGCCACCCCTCGGCCCCTCCGCCGCCGTGCGGGACCGCGATGGGGGAGGGGACAGGCCCGGTTTCGGTGAGGGGGCTGGGGTCGGCCACGCCCTCTTCCCTGGCCCCAGGGTGGGGGCCGCGAGGATGGCGGGGTCACCGGGCTGAACTCGCGCCTGTCTGACCTGCGGGGGTGTAGGCGGTGTGGACTGTGGACTGGAAGACGTCCTTAAATTTTTAAAAATAGTCTTGCCGTATGGAGAAGAACACTGGAACCTTTAAGTCCGCATCCCCTCGCCCGATTCGGCTCGTCTTAGTCCAGAGTGTAACTCCAAACATACTTATTAAGAAACTGTTGCTTTATTTTGACTCGTTTACATAAAATTTCCACTTTGGGGGGGATGGCGGTGGGCTTGTGGATTCCCTAAAATAACTTTTAATGGAGCGAAGCCTTCCATTATGGGAAGCGCCTAGACGCGGAGAGGCGTCTGGGGGCCTGGGTTGCCGTCACAGCCCTGCCACCAGCTGGCTGAGCGACCGGGGCACGTCGCTGCCCCCTCTGCCCGTGTTAGGAGAGTGGCCGCGGCGGGGCGACTGCACGAGCTGCCCCTAGGATTGAAAGACAGAGGCTGTCTCTCCTTAACTTGCTTTGATCCTGCAGAGAAGCAAAATGGAGTGAGATTAAAAATAAAGAAGATGCAAGCAGTTTGCTTTTCTGAATGGTGTGCCTTCCGCCCCGCTCCAGTTGTATTTATCATGCAGACAAGGTCAAGGTAACCTTCACGGTCTGGCCAGTTCCATTAAGTACAGAGTGCCCTTTCACTAGGAGGAGACCTCCATTGAGAACTTTACTTCCCACATCACTCGGGAACCTTCAGGGCTTTGAAGGCTCCTACTCCAAAGGGTCAGGAGGGGAGAGGCCCGGAGGGAATGCGAAGAGAGACTTTTCACAAAGGGAGAGAAGAATGAAGGTGAACAGGTGATGTCGACTTGATGTGTGACATTTAGGGATTCATAAACGGTTTATGGTCCTGTCCCAGGAGGCCCTGCCCTCCCCACCCCCATGGCTCCGAGGGGCTGAGTAATGTGGACACCCCGAGGTAGCGAGGTAGCGCAGCTAGGAGACTTTACTGCCTGGTCCTGCGCTCTGCTAACCTGCCTGCTTCCTTCCTCCCTCCCCTCTGCTCTGCCAGGGTGGGTAGGGGGGTGAGTGGAACAGAGCCCACAGGGATGCTGTTTCACAAAGCTAGTGTCAGGGTCCCCTCCCACCGCCCCCCAGCAGCACACACGTGCATTAGCATGTCTGTGATGGGTGAGAGGCAGCTGCAGGGAATCGCAAGGTTAATTTAAAATGATGGAGTGGTGGGAAGAATGAAAGGCCACGATTAGAGCTCAACTTTGAAAGAAGGCAGGGGAACAATTACTTTAAAAGGTTTTAATTGGTCCTGTTCTGAAGAACTCACTCCTCCTTTGCTAAAACCCTAGGCCAGCTCAGACCTGCATTTCTGGATTGCCCAAGTGCCTCCCTGTTTTTCCCCTTTGAACAGTAATTCTCAGAGTGAATGCCTCCACTGCCCTCTCTCCGTAGCCTTCTCGGTTTTGGTATATGGGTGTGTGTGTGTGTGTGTGTGTGTGTGTGTGTGTTTGTGTGTGTGTGTAGCTAGCTGGCTACTTATCTATCTTTATATAGCAGATTTGCAGGCTGGCAGGTCAAAGGACTTGCAGGAGGAGAAGAGGGCCTCTCTAAATTATTCTCTCAACTCCTTAGCCTGACTCACTTGGGGCGGGTCTACATTGCAATCTAAGTAAAGTGAGGGAGGAAAGTGGCTTCTAGCAAACTGAAAACCTTTTGAGAGAAAGGGCGATGGGCCTGAAGGTGAGGTCCTAGCTATGCCAGCCATGGAAACAAACACCCTGTAAAACACTGAACTCCCTTTCAAGTTACTTGCAATTGACTGGCTTGCACCAGATAATAAGGCTGGGTTCTTTCCCGCAAGAGAACTACCTACATCTTAATGGAAAAAGGGGTCAAAAGTGGCCAGTCTGCTCTGTTCAAAATGTTCAAAAATGGCGGATCCTAGGACTGGGGCTGGAAATGCTGAAGATGAGTCCGGAACACCTTGTGGTTCTGGGAAGTAAGAAAGTGCTCAAGATGAAAGGGATGTGGGTATGTCAGAAGGACACAGGGACCAACCTGAAAGAGGGCCCAGCCTCAAACCTGGAACAACTGGAACAACAAAATCAATAATGTAGTATTAGATTCAAATATAAAATATAAAATAGGGGCCGGGTGCGGTGGTTCACGCCTGTAATCCCAGCACTTCGGGAGGCTGAGGCAGGCGGATCACTTGAGGTCAGGAGTTTTGAGACCAGCCTGGCCAACACGGTGAAACCCCATTTCTACTAAAAATACAAAAATTAGCTGGGCGTGGTGGCGGGCACCTGTAACCCCAGCTACTCGGGAGGCTGAGGCAGGAGAATCACTTGAAAGCAGAGGTTGCAGTGAGCCAAGATTGCACCACTGCACTCCGGCCTGGGCAACAAGAGCGAAACTCTGTCTCAATAAATAAATAAATAAATAAATAAATAAATAAAATACTTGTGAATGAACCCATGCTAATACAAAGGCATGGTTGGATAAGTGCATGGAGAAGAAGAGACAATCTCGCATGCAGATAATTTCAAATAATTCATGTAGACAAAACACTACGTATCTGTGTATGTAGGTAAACTCCCCTGAAGGAAGTGGAGCCTAATTCCCTCTCCCGTTGAGGGTGCACTGCCCTTAGTGATTTGCTTCCAAAGGCTACACACAGTATGGAAGGAGGTTGTGGGAGAGAAGAACTTTATAGTGGGGAAACCTGCAAACACTACCTGACCAGTGCTGAAGGTCAGCATCACCAGTGCTAAGTCATGTTGACAGCATGCACCGCAATATGATGTGGACTTCTTTTCCCTAACCCATAATTCCAGTCTAACGATGAGAAAAACATCAGACAAATCCTGTTGAAGGACATTCTACAAAATACTTGACCTGTGTGGAATCCTGGATGGGTTCTGGAAGAGAAAAAGGACGTTAGGGAAAAATGAATTGGAGTAAAGTATGGAATTTCGTTAATAGTAATATACCAACGCTAGTTTCAGGGTTGTGACGAATATTGACAGAATAATTTAAGATGGAAATTGAATATGGGGTAATACTGGAACTCTCTTTGCAACCTTCCTGTAAACCTAAAAATATTCTAAAAGAAAAGGTTAAAAAAAATAAAAAGACCCAATTTAGCTGGTCTAGATTGGGCCTTAGAATCACAGGATTCACAGGATTTAGGCATTCTAAGAAGGGGAAGGGTTAGCAATGGCGCCCAGGGGACCCTTAGAAAGAAACTGCCGAGACCGGTTGGCGAGTTGATCAGGCAGAGTAAAATAATTTGGTTTTTAAATCACATCCTAGCCCATGTATTGTGATTTTAAAGTAGCTTGCAGTTGTCCAAACCAAAAAGAACTCCATCCTGAATTCCTCTAGGTGTAAACTGAAATTTAAAAAAAAGTGCATTTTAAAAAATATGATCTTTGGCTGGGTGGGGTGGTTCACGCCTGTAATCCCAGCACTTTGGGAGGCCGAGGCGGGTGGATCATGAGGTCAGGAGTTCAAGACCAGTTTGGCCAAGATGGCGAAACTCTGTCACTACTAAAAATACAAAAAAATTGAGCAGGGCATAGTGGCAGATGCCTGTAATACCAGCTACTTGGAGGGTGAGGCAGAGAATTGCTTGAACCCGGGAGGCACAGTTTGCAGTGAGCCGAGATAGTGCCACTGCACTCCAGCCTGGGTGACAGAGCGAGACGCCGTTTCAAAAAAAAAAAAAAATGTGATCTTGTTCATATACAGTTCAAAGCAGGCAAAAGTAACCTCAGGTGTGAGGAGCCAGACTAGTAGTTACTCTTGGGGAGTGAGTGGGAGGGTGAAGGGAAGGAGAGTCTAGGTTGGTGATGTTCTGCCTTTTGAGCTGGGAGCTGGCTAGCTAGGTGTTTTCAGTTTGAAAAATTCAGCAAGGTGTATGCTTAAGATCCATATGCATTTTTCTATATGTATTAATAAGTTGTATCAATAAAAAGTTTAGAAATTATATAAAATAGTCCGGGCGAGGTGGATCACGCCTGTAATCCCAGCACTTTGGGAGGCCAAGGTGGGCGGATCGCCTGAGGTAAGGAGTTAGAGACCAGCCTGGCCAACATGGTGAAACCCTGTCTCTACTAAAAATACAAAATTAGCCGGGCATGGTGGCGTGCGCCTGTAGTCCCAGCTACCCAGAAGGCTGAGGCAGGAGAATTGCTGGAACCCAGGAGGTGAAGGTTGCAGTGAGCCGAGATCGCCCACTGCACTCCAGCCTGGGTGACAGAACAAGACTCTGTCTCAAAAAAAAAAAAGAAGGTAAAGAAAAGAAATTATATAAAATAGGTTCATTTCACCAGGCGCGGGCGCTGACGCCTGTAATCCCAGCACTTTGGGAGGCCAAGGCGGGTGGATCATTAGGTCAGGAGTTCAAGATCAGCCTGGCCAAGATGGTAAAACCCCGTCTCTACTAAAAATACAAAAAAAATTTGCCGGGCGTGGTGGTAGACACCTGTAATCCCAGATACTTGGGGTGCTGAGGCAGATAATTGCTTGAACCCAGGAGGCGGAGGTTGCAGTGAGCCGAGATCGCACCACTGCACTCCAGCCTAAGCGACAGAATGAGACTCTGTCTCAAAAATAAAAAATAAAAATAAAAATAAAAATTAATTAATTAATTAAGTTGATTTCTAGCATTAAAACTTTAGAGCTGGGAGAGACCAACACTCCTCTCTTCCCTCCCCCAACGCTCCCCCAGGCAAATAAATTTAGAGAGTTCAAACAGTTTACCTGGGGGCATGAGGCCATCAGCCTGGGGTCCTTGCTCCCTGTCTAAAACAAGGGCTGTCCCACTGGGCCTCTCTAGGGAGCAGTAAAACCCCTTTCTTTTTCTTTTTTCTTTTTTTTTTTTTTTTGAGACAGAGTCTCACTCTGACGCCCAGGCTGGAGTGCAGTGGCGTGATCTCGGCTCACTGCAAGCTCTGCCTCTCGGGTTCACGCCATTCTCCTGCCTCAGCTTCCCCAGCAGCTGGGACTACAGGCGCACACCGCCACACCCGGCTAATTTTTTGTATTTTTAGTAGAGATGGAGTTTCACCGTGTTAGCCAGGATGGTCTCAATCTCCTGACCTCAGGTGATCCGCCCGCCCCTACCTCCCAAAGTGCTGGGATTACAGGCGTGAGCCACCGCACCTGGCCCTGAAAGTTTTTACATTGTGAAAGAACACCTATTGTGATAGTATACATAAACATTTTTTCAATATTTCATTTTTGTAACTAAGGAAGAAAATGGCAACTCTTCGTTTGCCATTGTTGAGAGTTGACTAGGTTGCCAGCAACTTCTCCAGAGGTCTGGGGATGGGTGGGGTTGAGTCCAGCTGAGGGAGAAGGAATGAGGGTCACAGCCAAATTCCCCACACTCAGGAAACCCCATTGAGGGTTTTGGAGGAGTTTCTGTCCCGAAGAATTTTACCATAAAACCCACAAACCAGTGCTTTGAGAACTGGGTTCAACTCTAAGGGTATTTTTTTTATTTCAATTTTTTAAAAGTTTTTTTTTTAGAGCATTTTAAATTCACATGCATTTGTAAGAAATACTATGGAAATATCCTGTGTAACCTTCACCTAGATTCCCCCAAAGATGTTAATCTTGCACTAAGATTGTCTTGTCTTTTGTGTGAGCTGAGGGAAGATCACCTAACCAGAATCTCTTCTTGTAGAGTTAAGAAAACTCTTGTTAGAGTTGTGGTGGCTCATGCCTTTAATACCAACACTTTGGGAGGCCAAGGCAGGTGGATTGCTTGAGCCTAGGAGTTGGAGACCACCCTGAACAGCGTAGCAAGACCCCTGTCTCTACAAAAAACCACAACAATTAGCTGGGCATGGTGATGTGCGCCTGTAATCCCACGTACAGGCTGAGGTGGTTGGGTCACTTGAGCCTGGGAAGTCGAGGCTGCAGTAAGCCGTGATAGTGCCACTGCACTCTAGACTGTCTGACAGAGTGAGACCCGTCTCAAAAATTAGATAAAATAAAATATAAATAAAATGAAGGCCTGCATTGTCCAAGTGACTTTCTCAAGATCACACCTGGGAATGACAGGGTCTGGGCCTCTCTCTAGGTCCCTGTGGCTCCATCTATATGAGATTCCATTTTCTGTTCCCCAGGATCCCTGAGGTCAGGTCAAGTTGGCAAGTAGACATAGACATATTATACCCCCCGACAACCCTTTTTTCCAGTGGTCCAGCAACAAAGGTCCATTTTCCACTCATGCTCTGTGTCCACCCTGGGTTGCCTGGAGGGCTCTGCTCTGGTCATCTCCACTGAGGGACATCCCATCTCTAGGTGGGCACGATTGCCAGTGGCAGGCTAGAAGAGCAGGGCAATAGTGTGTGGCTCTGCCACTCACATTTCACTGGCTAAACCAAGACGCATTGCTACCCTCACTCCAAGGGGGGCCGGGCCGGGGATATGCAGTTCTACCTTTCACCTGGGAATGGAAACGGAAATATCTGTTAAGCAGCACTAATGAACATTCCGATATCCTACATCTATCAGGAGAGATGGGATGCTTTGAGTCAGTCACTGGCAAGCTTCTTTATTTGCATGATAAGAGGGCTTCTTTCTGATTTCGGCTTTTCTGTTGTGCTGCCTTTTTTTTTGGCAGGCTCCCAGAGTGAATGGGCATTGGTCAGTGGGGCTTGCGGCCCTATCTCCCCAGGGAGGGAGAAGATCTGGGGAGGCATGCCCCCATCCCCAAGCCAATGAGCTCCGGAAGCTCCTCCTGGAAAAGCTAATTATTGAGGTAGGAAAGAAGGAAGGAAGGGACTGTCATTAAAAACACAAGGGAGAGAATGGTTCTTGTATATTGTGATGCTGATTAGACTCCTTCCTCCCTCCGTCCCTTCTTTCCCCCTCCTTCCTTCCTTCCTTCCTTTTTTCCTCCCTCCCTCCCTCCCTCTTCCCTTCCCTTCCTTCGTTCCTTCCTTCCTCATTTCCTCCCTCCCTCCTTCCCTTCCCTCTCCCTTCCCTTCCCTTCCCTTCCTCATTCATAGCTAGAACATTCCAGACCCAAACACTGCAGTCTGGGTGGCAATTTTTAACAGAAATGTAGACCAATTGAGGCTCCCAAAGGAGGGTGACCATGAGCTGGACGTCCTGTCCTGGGATGATCACCTGACAGAAGAGAGAATGTTCAGTTGATAGGAGAGAGGGTGAAGGAGGATGCAGGAAGGTGTTCAAGGAGGGCTGGCAGGTGGAATTAGATTACATTTGTTATGCAGCTGCTGAAGGTAAGAGTAGGATCAATAGGTAGACATTAGGACAGGCACAGTGGCTCATGCCTGTAATCCCAGCACTTTGGGAACAGGAGACAGGAGGATGACTTGAGGCCAGTTCAAAACTAGCTTGAGCAACATAGGGAGGCACCGTCCCTGCAAAAAATTTTTAGAAAATTAGCCAGGTGTGGTGGTGCACACTTGTACTCCTAGCTACTTGGGAGGCTGAGGTGTGTAGGATTGCTTGAGCCCTGGAGGAAGAGGCTGCAGTGTCATCACTGCACTCCAGCTTGGGCAACAGAGCCAGACCCTGTCTCAAAGAAAAAAAAAAATAGCTGGAAGTTATAAGCGGTAAATTTCAACTCAGATTGGAGTCAGCCTTTTAACTAGAAAGTTCAGCAAGGAAGAATGGGTTTCCTTGAAAGCAGGGAACTCACAGTTCCTGAAAGTCTTCAGACAGGTTGAATGACCTTTCTTATCGATTATTTCTAATGTTATTCCCAACTCTGAGTCCACAATTCCCAAGAAAAGAGACTCTACAGAATCTCTTATTTCAGGATCTAAAATTTCATCTTTAAATGAGGTCATCTACCTTCTAGCCTAAGAGTTGTTTTTTTCCATGTACAGCTAAATTTTATTAATAATAATATTGATTTTTTTTTGAGACAGAGTTTTGCTCTTGTCACCCAGGCTGGAGTGCAATGGCACAATCTTGGCTTACTGCAACCTCCGCCTCCTGGGTTCAAGTGATTCTCCTGCCTCAGCCTCCCGAGTAGCTGAGATTACAGGCGTCCACCACCACGCCCAGCTAATTTTTTTTTTTTTTTTAAGACGGAGTCTTGCTCTGTCGCCCAGGCTGGAGTGCAGTGGTGCAATCTCGGCTCACTGCAAGCCCTGCCTTCCGGGTTCATGCCATTCTCCTGCCTCAGCCTCCCGAGTAGCTGGGATTACAGGTGCCCGCCACCAAGCCTGGCTAATTTTTTATGTATTTCTTTTTAGTAGAGACAGGGTTTCACTGTGTTAGCCAGGATGGTCTCAATCTCCTGACCTTGTGATCCGCCCACCTTGGCCTCCCAAAGTGCTGGGGTGACAGGCGTGAGCCACCACACCTGGCCTAATTTTTGTATTTTTAGTAGAGACGGGGTTTCACCATGTTGGCCAGGCTGGTTTTGAACTCCTAACTTCAGGTGATCCACCTGCCTCGGCCTCCCAAATGGCTGGGATTACAGGTGCAAGCCACAGCGCCCAGCTGATGGTTGTTATTTTTACAGCTAACACTTATAGAACACTACTATGTGTCAGGTACTTTTCTGAGAACTTTTATGTATTTTAATACAATTATTAATTTAATTCTCAGAACAACCCTACAACGAAAGTGCTATTATTATCCCCCCATTTTACAGATGTGAATATTGAGTCATAATGAGTGTAAGGGGCAGAGCCAATGTTTGAATTGGGGTAGCCTAGTTCTAGAGTTTAGAGTTTGTGCTTCTAACCACTGCCTTTCTTGATGCCTCTTTTGGTGGTACCCAGTGAGGTTTAGTGATGTGTCCAAGGTCACAAGGTTAGTTGAGTGATGACACTTGGTGTGGATGGAACCTCATCTGCTGGCTACCCAATGTGGTCAGTATCAAAGACTTTTATCACCTGTGACCCAAAGTGCTGGTATTACAGTTGTGAGCCACCTAATCTTCTGTTCTTGTCCTTTGAGCAGATATCTAGATGGATTACTGGGTCAGAGAATTGGAACGTTTTTAAAAATTGTGGTAAAATGCATATAATTTACCATTTTATGCTTGAACCTGGGAGGCAAATGTTGCAGTCAGCCAATATCGCGCTATTGCACTCCAGCCTGGGTGACAGAGCCAGACTCTGCCTCGAAAAAAAAAAGAAAGAATTTACCATTTTAGCCATCTTAAAGCATATAGTTCAGTGGTATTAGGTATATTCACATTGCTGTGCAAACATCACTACTATCCATCTCTAGAACTTTTTCATCTTCCATAATTGAAACTCCATATCCACTAAACAATAATTCCCTGTCCTCTCTGCCCGGCCCCTGGTAACCTTGATTCTACTTTTTTTTTTTTGAGACGGAGTCTCGCCCTGTTGCCCAGGCTGGAGTGCAGTGGTGCGATCTCGGCTCACCGCAAGCTCCGCCTCCCGGGTTCACGCCATTCTCCTGCCTCAGCCTCCCGAGTAGCTAGGACTACAGGCGCCCGCCACCACGCCCGGCTAATTTTTTTGTATTTTTAGTAGAGACGGGGTTTTGCCATGTTGGCCAGGATGGTCTTGATCTCCTGACCTCGTGATCCGCCCGCCTTGGCCTCCCAAAGTGCTGGGATTACAGGCATGAGCTACCGTGCCCGGCTGATTCTACTTTCTATACTCTGAATTTGACTACCTCATATAAGTAGAATTATGCAGTATTTGTCCTTTTGTGACTGGCTTATTTCACTTAGTATGTCTTCAAGGTTTATCCGTACTGAAGCATGTGTCAGAATTTCTTTCTTTTTTAAGGTTGAATAATATTCCATCATATATATGTGTATATGTGTGTGTGTGTGTGTGTGTGTGTGTGTGTGTGTGTGTGTGTAGTGGACTATTATAGATGGAAACTATATATATGTATAATTTACCACATTTTGTGTATCCACAGGAACATTTTTAAGGCTCTTGATTCAAATCGTCTGCTGCTGTCCAGAAAGATGACACCAACTTACACATCCGATAAGAATGGATGAAATTAAAATTCTGGGCCGGACGCGGTGGCTCACGCCTGTAATCCCAGCACTTTGGGAGGCCAAGGCGGGCGGATCACGAGGTCAGGAGATCGAGACCATCCTGGCTAATGCGGTGAAACCCCGTCTCTACTAAAAATACAAAAAATTAGATGGGCATGGTGGCGGGCGCCTGTAGTCCCAGCTACTTGGGAGGCTGAGGCAGGAGAATGGCATGAACCCGGGAGGCGGAGCTTGCAGTGAGCCGAGATTGTGCCACTGCACTCCAGCCTGGGTGACAGAGCGAGACTTGGTCTCAAAAAAAAAAAAAAAGAAAAGAAAAGAAAAGAAATTAAAATTCTGAAGTTTGCATACCTAACTGTTCACTTACGGTATCTCACAGTCTAATTAATTCATAGCCACATGCATAGAGTTTATTGCATTTGCAACTATGCAGCATCAAATTGTTGCAAAGGGACCTCTGGAAAGGACTGTCCTTCCTCCCAATGTGTATGTGTGTATGTACATGTAATACATGTACATATAATGAAGATTACATACATGTATAATTGTATTATATACATATATAATTGTATACGTATATAATACATTTATATAATCTTCAATTATATGTATATGTATTATATATACATACATACACATTGGGAAGGATATATATATAATTGAAGATACAGAATTGAAGATGAGTATATTTAATATTTATCAAAGGGTAAAGGCGCTCATCCGCAGTTTGGATCAGAGCCTCAAAATCTAAATTCATGCCACGAATAGCGTTTTTCAGATGTTGACTTCCTAGGATCCTATTCTTTTAAACCTGATTCAATTTTTGTGCCTATCAAGACAGACACCAAAGATTTTATTTAGGAGGAAATATGTGGTATTCTTTTTAAACTTTTCCAGAGACATCACTTATGTGATCTTACTTGGTTTCTACAACATTCCCAGCCCCAGGAGGCAGGCAGAGTGATATTGCCAATCACATTTTTGTAGACACAGGCTCAGAGAAGTGACATTACCTGCTAGATGTCACACAGCCCATCTGGGACCCCAGGGCTCAAGCCCCTGCCCTCTGGCCCTGAGTCCTGCCTCTGTCTGTGGACTCCCAGCTCTTGCTGTTGCTAGAGTGTGCTGCTCCTTTACTTGGCATGTCCACATTCCTGGGTTGTCCAGGAACGCACATTCTTGGAGAGGAAGGGGAATAGATATTTTAGCCACATACAACACTCTGAGCTTGCCAGGCACCTAATAGGGACACTCAATAAATATTAATTAAAGAATGCAGCCACATTGGCTTATGTGCTGGCCAGATCCTTTAAAGTGTCAAGAATATTCCTTGAGAGACTGAGTGTTAGGCTGGAAGGCTGTGTGGAGGCGGAGAGGACAGAAAAGTCCTGGAGTAATGGAGTGCATTCTCTTGGAAGATGAAAATATCCACCCGCCCCAGGGGGCCCCTATCTGTCACTGTCACCAGGAGAGAAGGAGGAAGGGAACATATGTCTGTTGAGTGCCTCTGGGACCTGTATTTTTCTTGCTGGGGTGGGATTTATTCCGCTTCTCCCGTACTCCTGCATCTCCAAGGCCAGTGGAGGACACCAGGGGACAGCTGGCTGAGATCAAGGGTGAGTGCGATTGGTGGGGTGTGGAGTGGGGTGGGCGGGAGATGGAATGGGTGTGCCCACCCTCTCCTAGCGTCATGAGGGATTTACTGCTCATTGAGTAGGTGTTCCTTAGTGTCTCTGGCTTGACAGCAGAAGTCTACTTGGATAGGCAGTTCTGGGCACGCACAGCCAACTGTCGGGGCCTCTCCCCTAGTCTGAGTGTTCATGCTCACAGAGCTGGTGTCCCCTGGAATCCAGGGACTCGGAAGAGGGGAAAACTAAGCTGGAAGTGGAGAGTGAGGCAGAGGCCTGGGTAGGGAACCCTTGGGGAGCTCCCCCCAGCCTGAGGGCTGCTACCCAGTAGACCAATGTGCCAGGAGGAGGAAGGATGTGGGGGCAAATGGGGATCTCCCATTCCACCCAGAGCCTGTGACTACCCTCTCTTTGCACTGGGAGGTATTGCATGCAGAAAGCATAAGCAAGGCAAGTGAGGCTCCTCTGGGAAAGCCAGAACCTAGACATTGATCAGGCTCCTGGGGCTTTTTCAAATGAGCTCATCCCTGCTTTCCTAGGCCTCTTTTGGCATTGAATGGTATTTCCCTTTGGTTCTTTCAAAAGCAAGATGTGTTTGTGTAATTTTAAACAAGTGATCAATTTCAGATTAACGTCAAGGAATTTCTTCATCGTCTCCATCATCAAATTCTACTTAACATGCTCTGCCCATTCCAAGAAAAAAAGAGGAATGAATGTGAACTCTTTTTGTACATACAGCCATTTACTCAAAAAATGCAGCCGGCAGAGATTCCACAGCTGGGAAGCTGACTGGTAAGCACCCTGTGTAAGTGAACGCGCTCAGTGGGATGGAAGGAAGAGTACTGAGGGGACGCGGGAGGGAGGGAGAGGGCTCCAGGTCACTCAGGGTTTTGTATGGCCAGGAAGGGAATTTGTCTTTGATCCAAGGGCGTGCAGAAGCCCCGCTGGGTGGTTGTGCACTCAAATCAGCACTGAGCCCGACCGCCTGGCAGGGGAGAGGGACTGGGTGGGTCTGAGGACTCAAATCAGCACTGAGCCCGACCACCTGGCAGGGGAGAGGGACTGGGTGGGTCTGAGGAAGACAGCAGAGGCTAAGGTGTGGACCAGTCCCGGACAGATGCTGGGTGGTTGTGGTGGGTGAGACTGGAGAAAAGCAGATAAGTGGAGAGGCATTTTGGAGATAAAATGGATAGGCTTTGGGGCTGGTAGGATAAGGGGTAAGGGAGAGGTTTGTTGTCCTTGGTTTCTGGTTGTGATCACTGGATGGTGAGGAGTGAGCTTTCTGAGCGTGGAGCTCTGGAGGAAAAGCCTGTTTGGGAGTGTTAGAGGAGTTTGAACCAGAGCAACTCCATCTTGAATAGGGGCTGGGTAAAATGAGGCTGAGACCTACTGGCTGCATTCCCAGAGGGTTAAGGCATTCTAAGTCACAGGATGAGATAGGAGGTCGGCACAAGATACAGGTCAAAAATACCTTGCTGATAAAACAGGTTGCAGTAGAGAAGCTGGCCAAAATCCACCAAGATGGCGACAAGAGTGACCTCTGGTCATCCTCACTGTTACACTCCCACCAGCGCCATGACAGTTTGCAGATTCCAGGTAATGTCAGGAAATTACCCTATATGGTCTAAAAAAAGGGGACACATGAATAATCCACGCCTTGTTTAGCATGTCATTAAGAAATAACCATAAAAATGGGCAACCAGCAGCCCTTGGGGCTGCTCTGTCTATGGAGTAGCTGTTCTTTTATTCCTTTACTTACTTTTTTTTTTTTTTTTTTTTGAGATGGAGTCTTGCTCTGTCACCCAGGCTGGAGTGCAGTGGCGCGATCTCAGCTCACTGCAACCTCTGCCACCCAGGTTCAAGCGATTCTCCTGCCTCAGCCTCCCGAGTAGCTGGGACTGCAGGCGTGTGCCACCATGCCCGCCTAGTTTTTCATTTTCTTTTTAGTAGAGACAGGGTGTCACCGTGTTAGCTAGGATGGTCTCCATCTCCTGACCTGGTGATCCGCCCGCCTCCGCCTCCCAAAGTGCTGGGATAACAGACGTGAGTCATCGTGCCCTGCCATTTCTTTACTTTCTTAATAAACTTGCTTTCACTTTGCACTGTGGACTTGCCCTGAATTCTTTCTTATGCGAGATCCAAAGAACTCTCTCTTGTGGTCTGGCTCGGGACCACTTTCTTGTAACAGGAGGAAGATGGCCTATCTGGGACCTAATGAGCTCAGGGTGCCTTTGAGATATTGACCAGGCAAGTGGGACTGGAGAGCAAAGCAGAGACCTAATTTTTTTTTTTTTTTTTTGAGATGGAGTCTCACTCTGTCACCCAGGCTGGAGTGCAGTGGCGCGATCTCGGCTCACTGCAACCTCCGCCTCCCAGGTTCAAGCGATTCTCCTGCCTCAGCCTCCCAAGTAGCTGGGACTACAGGCACGTGCTACCACACCCAGCTAATTTGTTGTATTTTTAGTAGAGATGGCGTTTCACCATGTTGGCCAGGATGGTCTCGATCTCCTGACCCTGTGATGCTCCTGCCTCGGCCTCCCAAAGTGCTGGGATTACAGGCGTGAGCCATCGCGCCGAGCCGAGGCCTGTTCATGTTCTGCCTCTTTGGCTGTAATGGTGGCTGCCTATGAGAGGCATGGGTGGCTGGCAGCCCAGGTAGAAGGAAGCCTTATCTTTTTCTTCCTCCCCTTTTGTATTCTTGGAATTGTGTACCATTGTGCATGCATTGCCTATTCAAAAATCAATAAAATAGAAAAAGCAAAGAAAAAGTACCAAATAAGATGGACTGAAGATGGAGACTCTCTGGGCTATGTAACGTTTATAATCCCTTCTGGCTTGAACCTCATTTTACTGCATTTCTCCAGATTTTTCCTTTATGGTCTACCAGACTCTAACAATGCTAAATAACATCATCTTCCCCCAACTTTGAAAGCCTTCAAAAGAAATGTTTATGGGATAGAGGGGGATCAAAACTAAATTGGGCACAGCAGAATCCTGCCCACTGGGTAACTCCTCTCCATGAAAATGAATCCCTCTTCACTTCCTCCTTGTATCTCATAATTACCAGGGGAGATATCTCCAGGACACAGGAAAATATGTATGACTCATAGTAGTACTAGAAAAGAACTAAAAACACTTACATTGTTTCCTCACTTATCCCTCTCTTATTCCAACAGGGAAAAGATTTCCCTAGGTTTATTTGTTTGTTTTTAAACTCAGACGCTAGCCTTACCTCTTTGACAGAGTTCTAACTGGTCCTTATAAAACCCACACAAGGGGCCGGGCATGGTGGCTCATGGCTGTAATCCCATCACTTTGGGAGACCGAGGCGGGCGGATCACTTGAGGTCACTTGAGGTTCGAGACCAACTTGACCAGCATGGTGAAACCCCGTTTCTACTAAAAATACAAAAATTAGCCAAGTGTGGTGGTGCACACTGTAATCCCAGCCACTCAGGAGGCTGAGGCAGGAGAATCGCTTGAATCTGGGAGGCGGAGGTTGCGGTGAGTCACGATCCTGCCACAGCACTCCAGCCTGCGTGACAGAGCGAGACTCTGTCTCAAAAAACTGAAAACAAAAAACCCCCACACAAACAAAATCCCAGCCACTAGAAAAAGTAGCTTCCTTCTTCATTACCCTATCACTTGGACAATTATCTCCTCTAAAAATTCATTTCCTAGGCACGGAAGATTAGGCAAAATGTGCTTATTGGGCAGCTAGGACCTCAGAATCCATGATAATATGATAATTAGCATCTGTATACCACTTGGTTTACATAGCACTGGGGCTCTTGTGGTGTGAACGTCTCCTCCCAGCAACCCCACCGTGAGGACTTTGTTCTTGGAGCCTCACGCTGAGTCTGGCACACAGAAGACACAAGACATTGTTAATTCAGTGTTTGTTGTATGAGGAAGGTAGACAGACTGGAAACAGACTTCCCTAAGGTCTTATAGCTAGCAATGGCAGAAAAGTCTATTGAATCCTAAAGCCGAGCTGAGGGCCTTTCTATTCTCCTAGGTCTGCGTTGGGAGAATGAGCAAGATGCCTTGGCCCTCACTCCTTCGGTGGGTCCCAGCACGTGCCAGGGGCAGCATGTGCGGTCACCTGTATGACCCCTTTGCTCTAGTCCCAATTCCCTACTACAGATAAAACATCATTCACCCCTCCGCAGGCTTTCTGTTCTGAATCACGATTACCAGCATGTCTCATAGCTCAGATCCTAACCAGCACTTACTAGGCAGAATTCAGCACTTAAGTGACCCATTAAGGACTTTTGGCAGAGGAATGGGAAAGATAAAAATAGGAAAAAAATCAGAAAACAGAAAAGGATAATTTGGTAGCCCAATGTGACCAGGAACTTGGAGCTGCCCAGTTGAGTGGCTGGAAGCTGGAATGAAGAACTTGTCTGCAACATGGCCAGTGAGAAATAACACCAGGACCCATCAGGGTCCATCTGGGTTAGGCTCAACACTGATTTCCTTGCTTTGCTGTCTTTAAAATCAATTTTTTAGTACCTGTAGGGATCAGCCAACTGTATGTCTCACCGTCTATACGATAATGGCAAATAATAATTTTTTGTTGTTGGCATTTGAGAGCATTATTTAAGTACCCCCATTACTGAGGCATCTCAGCCAACTTCCCTGCTGAGGGTACTTCCCTTCCACTTGTCTTAAAACTGGCACAACTTCCTAACATGAACCAGTTTGACTCAAGTAAGGCCTGCTCTTGATCTGAGGGGTGGAGATCGTGGCGATCTCTATAGTTATTTGAGGAGAAACTTCTCTGTAACCGTAGACGATCTAGTGTTTTTCCTCCAATGTTTTCTACAGAGAAAACTGCCTTCTGAGGGAGATGCCCTCCCAGACCACCCACTGCAGGGACCTCACTTTCATCACTGACTTCCTATGGCTTGGGAGTGTTTATAAAGTTATACACTTAAGTGATAAGTGTGGCTTGGGTATTGAAAAGTTAGCTCAAAGAAAACAAAATTTCGTTCCTTTTTTTTCTGTCACTTAGGCTGGAGAGCAGTGGTGCAGTCTTAGCTCACTGCAGCCTCTACCTCAGGGTCTCAAGTGATCCTCCCACCTCAGCCTCCAGAGTAGCTGGGACTACAGGCACGCACCACCACCCCCAGCTAATTTTTGTATTATTATTATTATTATTATTATTATTATTATTGAGATAGAATCTCTCTCTGTCACCCAGGCTGGAGTGCAGTGGCGCAGTCTGGGCTCACTGCAACCTCTGCCTCCCGGGTTCAAGCGATTCTCCTGCCTCAGCCTCCTGAGTAGCTGGAATTACAGGTGCCAGCCACCACGCCCAGCTAATTTTTGTATATTTAGTAGAGACAGGGTTTCACCATGTTGGTCAGGCTGGTCTCGAACTCTTGACCTCAGGTGATCCACCTGCCTCAGCCTCCCAAAGTGCTGGGATTACAGGCGTGAGCCACCACGCTTGGCCATAATTTTTGTATTTTTTGTAGGGACGAGTTCCCACTATGTTGCCCAGGCTGGTCTCCAACTCCTGGGCTCAGGCAGTCCTCCCACCTCAGCTGTCCAAAGTGCTGGGATTACAGGCGTGAGCCATCACACCAGGCATTGTTCCAGGTGTGGTGGCTCATATTTGTAATCCTTTCTTTTTTTTTTTTCTTTTTGATAGGACAATTAGGACTCTGATCACCTTTGCCTGGCTAGTCAACTCAGCTAATCTAGTCTAAAATATTTCTTCCTTTGGGAAACCTTTTGAGGCCTCTCCCAGACAGAATGAGTCCCTTGACTTTCTGTTCTTAGAGCCAGTGCCTCCATTCTTGCTGCTGGGGTAACACTGATCCCATTTCATGAGAGTTTGTGGCTCTCCTAGACTGTGGACTTCTTGAGGGCAAAGGCTGATTAATCCTCACATTTATAACCCTCAGAGGTCTCTCCTGGATCCTGACTCCAATCAGCTCTGAATCAGTGCTGGCTAAATGAATTGAAAATCATGTGAACACGTTTCTGTTCCAAAAAGCAAAGCTCTCATTTTCTCAGATTGGGCAGGCTCCTTCCTGTGCCTGTGTCATCCTGACAGCCGTATTTATCTTTTTTTTTTTGAGATGGAGTCTCACTCTGTCGCCCAGGCTAGAGTGCAGTGTGGTGATCTCAGCTCACTGCACCCTCGGCCTCCTGGGTTCAAGTGATTCTCCTGCCTCAGCCTCCCAAGTAGCTGGGATTACAGGAGCATGCCACCACGCCTGGCTAATTTTTTTGTATTTTTAGTAGAAATGGAGTTTCACCATGTTGGCCAGGCTGGTCTCAAACTCCTGACCTCAAGTGATCTGCCCGCCTTGGCCTCCCAAAGTCCTGGGATTACAGGCGTGAGCCACTGCGCCCGGCCCTGACAGCAGTATTTATTAGGCTGTCCATCCCAGGTTAGGACTTGCACCTGACTGATATCTGGAATGACTTTTGATTAGGATGGGCATGTTTCCTCGCTGACTCTGGCCAGGCTCATGACGAAGCAGCCTCCACCCTTGCTGTCTGGGATGAGACATTGGCCTCTGTTGTTACCAGCCTCTTCCTGTAGCAACTGCCTCACAGAGAGAGAAGCTGTCTATAGCATCATTTCCACGTGGGACCTTGCCAACTTGTCCTTTTCTACAAGGACATCAGAACAACGAATTTCAGGAAATGAGAAAAGCAAGCAGAGATTTGAAAACAATTTAAATCTGTTTATTTTTGAATAAGTAACACATTCACACGGTTCACAATTCAAAAGGTACAAAATTATACAGAGTAAAATTCCCCTCCCAGTTCTGTTCTTCAGCTGTCCAGGGGCCCTCCTTGGAGGAAACGGCATCTAAATGTGACTGTAGATTTGAATGTCTCTATTGTCCTCACTCTTTACCTTTTCTGGATGTTTCTCATCTCCTCCATAGCAACATTCATTTCATCCTGCCCCCATTCCAATCCCTGATACCTAGTTGCATGCTCTGGATAGGCACCTGGCAAATGTTGGGGATCAGCTGACAGCTTGTCTGTAATCCAAGAATATTTGTGGAGTCCGGGCTTATAGTATTTTTGTTTGATAGTGAATTAGATGCATTTTCATTCACTTATGTTCCTGTTCTTCCAAGAGAAGCCAAGAAGCGTTGATTGTCCCATCAGCCTTCCTTGTACTGTCTTCTTTTCATAAGCCATCACTTCCATTTGTATTGTTGCCAGTTGTGCATGGTTTAGGGCTCACTCACACATTTTTCAGGGGATGATTGTGCAAGAAATGTTGATGTTTTCCAGTACTTTTTTGGTCTCCTCAATGGTTTCTTCTTTTGGCTTGTGCAAGAAAAAAATCTTTACCCCTGTCCTCACTCCCATCAACACACATCCATACATGCTTTGGGGCCTCTCTCTGCCCTTCTCTTCTGGAATCCACTGACAATGAGCAAAGAACTGAAAGGCAGAATCCTGTCTTCTCTAGACAGGCACTTTTCAGCTTTTACTTATCATTGTTTTGAGGTGTCAAGAGTTTTGGAGATTTTTTTCCCCTCCTCTTTCTCTCTCAAGTCAGGCCCCTCCAGAAGCCTGCCTCTCCCCTTGGCAGGTGTGGAGAATTCACCTGCTTTTTCGGTCACTTCCTGTGCACTCTACTGCCTTCCCTGGCTGCTCAGAAAACATGGGCCTTGGAGCAACTTCCCTCGACTTCCTCTCTCCTCTAGATTCCTAGCCAGCAGCCGGTCAAGAGGCAGCCCCACAGTCCTCTGGGCGGCAGTGGCCGGTGATTAAGTAGCCAGGTCTTTAGCTGATTCCATCCTTGTTTGTCATAACTCTGCTGCAAGTTATTTTGGTCTCTGTGACTTGTGGCGGCACCATGATTAGGGTTTGATTACTATCACCAAAGCGACTAAAAGATGAAAATAGAAGCCACAACAGGAAATAAACAACTGCAAATGAGCTATTTTATTCCATATTCCCTGCCAGCAAATGATTAGAATCAAACTCATTCACAATAGTTTGGTGAACTCTTAAACTTTTTTCTTAAGGGTCAGAATAGTCTGAAACTGCGTGTTTGTTGGCCTCCTTTGTGCCTGTGGAAGGGAAAGAAAGAAACTACCTTTCTAGGCACACCAGCCTGCTGGGAATTCCTCTACTGCCAGGCTTCTGGCTTCTTTCTTGGAGAGGAGAGGGATAAGAATGTGATGGGGTGGGGCTATCAGGAAAGCTGGGATGTTAACTGATTCAGGGGATGCCAGGGAGCTATAAAGCAGCACCAATCATTGTAGCTACTTGCTCAGCACCGCACCCAGCTTCTACCTAGGGTAGCAAAATGGAAGAGGAAAGCCGTGTAGAGAGGGGTGACACCTGAATTAATACACCTACAATTACACTATACGGGAACATATCTCTGCAAGTACATGCATGTTCCACCCAGACAAACCGTGACGTCAGACTCCACTCTTGAAACACCCATGAAACCTACCTGCCCTGTGTGTGCTCCGGCCTCTCATTACAGAGCCTTAGCACTACTGGCCAGATCTCCAAAAGATTCTTCAGATTCTCCATTTAGCCAAGAAACTGAATTAGAATTATGACCTCTACTTTCTCTGCTTATTTAAGTCCTTTCTGTTGCTATGAAGCCTGGTCTGACCACTCTCAATAAGTGAAGATCTTTTAGGGAGATCCAGAACAGAGAGGGAATGGGACCCTAGAGAGCGGAAACTTGCCCAGAAAATCTTATAAACTCTGCCAAGTGCTCGCCTAACGTGGGGATTGCTGTTGGCCCTAGTTGCTTAACCAGTGAGCGGCAACGCCCCAGCCTGGAATCAGGTTTTCTGACCTCTAGTCTGGTACTCTTTCTAAGCCTTTCTAAGGTGAAAATATGATACATTTCCCAGACACCTTAAAAATCCCATTTCTGGGCCGGGCGCTGTGGCTCATGCCTGTTATCCCACACTTTGGGAGGCTGAGGCGGGTGGATCGCCTGAGCTCAGGAGTTCGAGACTAGCCTGGGCAACACGGTGAAACCTTGTCTCTGCTAAAATACAAAAAAATTAGCGAGGTGTGGAGTGCACGTGTAGTTCCAGCTACTAGGGAGGCTGAGGCAGGAGAATTGCTTGAACCCAGGAGGCGGAGGTTGCAGTGAGCTGAGATCATGCCACTGCCCTCTAGGCTGGGTGACAAAGCAAGGCTCCATCTCAAAAAAAAAAAAAAAAAAAAAAATCCCACTTCTGTCTCTTTCGTCTTCCCTTGCCTATCATGATAGGCCTCCCAAAGTGCTGGGATTACACTCCTTCTCCATTCTCTCCTGTGCTTTCTCAGCTGCTGTCTTCACAGGTTGCTTCTTAGAATGTTTTTTTAATACACACACAAGGTTTCAATGCCCTTTTATACAAGCCATATTTTAATTTACAACAAAATTATGATGTTATACAACTGCAGCTTATGTGGCCTTACACAGTAAATGTTCAGAATGGCAGCTTCTGTCCGTCCAGTAGGGTTCTGCACTGCTTGGCATCCTACTATCTTCCAAGTCAATAAGTGTTAGGATCTCCTTGCCTGGAAATGATCATGTAAGCAATGTTGCTGATTTCCTCTTGAATTTATATTACCAAAGGTACTTTTGGTGGGGTGGAGGAAGGGTCCAAATGCCCCTTAAGCCCTAAGTGTTGATTTCTAAATATTTATTAAGCATCTACTATTGTACTAATATGTTAGAAATCTTTTTAATTGCTAGAGGGGGAGAGGACTTGAGCTCTAAAGGCGGCTAAGATTCATTCCTGCCTTTTCCTTTTAAGAACATATAATTTAGCCGGCAAGATGTACATTTCATCTTTACTTTTCTTTTTTTCTTTTCTTTTTTTGAGACAGAGTCTCACTCTGTTGCCCAGGATGGAGTGCAGTGGCGCGATCTCAGCTCACTGCAACCTCCGTCTCCCGGGTTCAAGCAATTCTCCTGTCTCAGCTGGGATTACTGGCGCGCGCCACCCGCCTGGCTAATTTTTGTATTTTTAGTAGAGACGGGTTTCACCATGTTGGCCAGGCTGGTCTCAAACTCTTGACCTCAGGTGATCCACCTGCCTCAGCCTCCCAAAGTGCTGGGATTACAAGCGTGAGCCATCGCACCTGGGCACATTTCACCTTTTCTAAAGATTATTTTAAGGCCAGGTGCAGTGGCTCACGCCTGTACTCCCAGTACTTTGAGAGGCTGAGGCAGGTAGATCACTTGAGGTCAGGAGTTCCACATCAGCCTGGCCAACATGGTTAAACCGCGTCACTACCAAAAAATACAAAAATTAGCCAGATGTGGTGGCGCGCGCCTGTAGTCCCAGCTACTCCGGAGGCTGAGGTGGGAGAATCGTTTGATCTGGGGAGGCAGAGGCTGCAGTGAGCCGAAATCGAGCCACTGGACTCTAGCCCGGGTGAAGAGTGAGACTCTAAAAAAAAAAAAAAAAAGAAAGAAAGAAAGAAAAAAAGATTCTTTAAAGCCCCCAACGAGTTTCACTGCTGGCCTGATCTCACAATTCTCAATGGCTTTTTAAAAAAATCGTATTTCACTGAATATGAAGTGAGGTTAGATCACCATGCCAACTAGTGGCCTCATCAATACTGATGTGTGTGTATTTAAATCATTACGTTTCTCGGAGCCATCAGCTTTCACGCTGTAAATGCGTTTATGCCCTAGCAATGCCATGCCCGTTTCTATGCAGTAACCCGCCAGCTTGGGTATATGTTTCTTCGGGACCTGGGGTCAAGGAATAAACTCTCTGACTCTAAGCACCTTGAAAGCTACGAGGCCCAGAAACAGGGCCTGCATGCAAATGAATGCCCTAGGCAGGTCTGCTCGCTGGGTAACCTTCCCGCGCCGGGAGGCAGGGTGGCGGGTGGCGGAGGTCTTCCGGGCCCGGGAGGAAACCTGCCCGCGGCGCGCAGGCGAGCCCCCACCCCCGCTCCCCTTCTCCCGCCGGGATGCTGCCCCTCACAGCTCGTCAGCCGGCCAAATGCATTCCAGAGCTGTGCACAAGACACACTTCTCCAGGCAGTCCTAGAAACCGGAGCCCGGAGCTGAGAGGGCGGGAGGGAGCGCGCGGCCGCCGCTGAGGTCATATTCACGCCGCCTCCCCGCCCTCGGCGGCTGTTCCCCTCAGCGCACACTTCCCAGGGCCTCGGTCCAGTCCGGTATAAATGTCTTTTAAACCGAGACAGCGCTCTCCTCCCCTTGCCCTCGGGCGCGGCCAAGGGATCCACCGCCAGGGCCTTTAAAACAAAACCAATGAATGAAGCGCTAGGGCGAGCGCGCGCGAGATGGCCACCGCGAAACCCAGCCGGGTCGAAATCGGGCCACCGACCCGCTCGCTCAGCTCCAAAACTCGCGGCGAAGCCCGCTCGGTGCTCCCTGCTTTTCCAATTTCTCCATGGCTCCGGCCGGGGCTCAATCCATTCTGGGAGCTTCTCTGCCCCCCACCTATCTCTCTCCCCTCCATCGGTACCCCCTCTACAGACCCGGGAGGGGGTGGCGGTGGCGGGGGGTTGGGGGGAGAAATAGCTTTTAGAAACCCGATCTGTTGTTTGCGAAACACAATCGCTTTTTTTTTTTTTTTAAAGCGACAGGGTGTCTAGACGGCCACGTGACGAGGCCGGAGCCGGGCGCGCCACTGCGCAGTGGAACCAGCCGAGCAGAGGGCCGGAGGGGGGGTGCGGGGGGGCGGGGAGGAGGCGGCGCGGCTGCGGCGGCTGGGGGCGGGGGAGGGAAGGGGGAGGAAGGGGGAGGGAAGGGGGCGGGGGCGGGAGGCCTTGCGGGAGGCGGTGAGCCCCGGGCACACTCGCTTGCTGCTCGGCGCACGGAAGATCCTGTCCCCGAGCCGCGCCAGCCGAGCCAGCCGGGCGCCGTGCTCGGTCCGCTCGCCGCGCGGGAGAGAGCTGCCCGAGACAGAGCCAGTCCGTCGGCGCCGAGCCGCCGAGCGCCCGGCCCCTGAGCCCCTGAGTGCGGCGCGGCGAGCCCCTGGCGGCGGCAGAAGGACCGGAGCGCCAGGAGAGGGCGGACCGGGGACAAGGAGGCTCCCGGGCGCGACGAGGAGAGTCTCGGAGGAGGAGGCGCCGAGAGGACACCGGGGCCTCCTGCCGCCGCAGCTGGGTCGAGGCGAGCAGCCCATGCGGGGAGCCTCGGCGGCCAGCCGCGGCCAGGGGAAGGGACATCGGCGGCCCCTGCACTAGCAAGCAGCTTGTGCCCGGGGGGGGCGAGAACGCGCGACCCGTCTGGGGCCCTCCGCCGCCGCCGCGCCACCCTCCCCCGCGCTGTCAGCCCCGCCGGGCTCAGCCGCCGCCGCAGCATCTTCTGCCCCTGCGCCCGCGCCAGCCTCGAGGAAGTCCCCGCCGAGGACCTGGGCCCCCAGGAGCGCAGGGGGAAAGACCAGAGACTCCCCTAAACCACCCAGATGCGCAGGATTGAAGCGGTCTAGCCAAAGCTTTCTGTGGATTAAAAAAATACACGATTTTTTTTTTTTTTTTTGGCAGAAGAAAAGGAGAGGAAGACCAGCGGGGCTTTGCAAGGAAACGGGGGGATGTAACTCGTGGATACATTTTTCCACCCATCAAACATCTTGTTATACTTTGTAAACATTTTCTTTTTTTAAACCCCAGTTCCAGCCGGACGCCCCCAGACCTCTGAGGTTCGAGGAGGTGGTGGTTTTCATTTGGGGCTTTGCATATTTGGTTGTTAGGTTTTGCGAGAGCCTTCTTATTTTGCCAGACGTCTCATGCGGGGTGAAGTCCACTCGGCCCCCTCCCCTGAGTCTTCGTGTGCGCGGAATTCGAGGAGATCCGGTTACTAAGGATATAGAGGAAAAAAATAAATCGCTTGCTTTTTTTTTTTTAATTGCCTGCTTCTCCCCACCCCCAAATTAAGTTGCTTAGCAAGGGGGAAAGAGGCTTTTTCCTTCTTCCAACAGCCCAGCCGAACGCCTTTCGTTTTTTGCCCCCGCGGACCTTCCATGTAGGAAGCCGAGGCTGGCGAGCCCGACATTCGGGAGCCACTGCGGGGGGGCCTCTTTTTGGGGAGGCGCCGACGGGGGCAGGCTCGGCCGTCCCCAGGGAAGCGGCGGCCGGGTTCCTCCGGGGCGCGCCGGGGCCGGAGAGCCGCGCAGGGCGCGGGCCGCGCGGGGTGGGGCAGCCGGAGCGCAGGCCCCCGATCCCCGGCGGGCGCCCCCGGGCCCCCGCGCGCGCCCCGGCCTCCGGGAGACTGGCGCATGCCACGGAGCGCCCCTCGGGCCGCCGCCGCTCCTGCCCGGGCCCCTGCTGCTGCTGCTGTCGCCTGCGCCTGCTGCCCCAACTCGGCGCCCGACTTCTTCATGGTGTGCGGAGGTCATGTTCGCTCCTTAGCAGGCAAACGACTTTTCTCCTCGCCTCCTCGCCCCGCATGTTCAGGACCAAACGATCTGCGCTCGTCCGGCGTCTCTGGAGGAGCCGTGCGCCCGGCGGCGAGGACGAGGAGGAGGGCGCAGGGGGAGGTGGAGGAGGAGGCGAGCTGCGGGGAGAAGGGGCGACGGACAGCCGAGCGCATGGGGCCGGTGGCGGCGGCCCGGGCAGGGCTGGATGCTGCCTGGGCAAGGCGGTGCGAGGTGCCAAAGGTCACCACCATCCCCACCCGCCAGCCGCGGGCGCCGGCGCGGCCGGGGGCGCCGAGGCGGATCTGAAGGCGCTCACGCACTCGGTGCTCAAGAAACTGAAGGAGCGGCAGCTGGAGCTGCTGCTCCAGGCCGTGGAGTCCCGCGGCGGGACGCGCACCGCGTGCCTCCTGCTGCCCGGCCGCCTGGACTGCAGGCTGGGCCCGGGGGCGCCCGCCGGCGCGCAGCCTGCGCAGCCGCCCTCGTCCTACTCGCTCCCCCTCCTGCTGTGCAAAGTGTTCAGGTGGCCGGATCTCAGGCATTCCTCGGAAGTCAAGAGGCTGTGTTGCTGTGAATCTTACGGGAAGATCAACCCCGAGCTGGTGTGCTGCAACCCCCATCACCTTAGCCGACTCTGCGAACTAGGTGAGAAGTTGTCCCCCTACCCCCAACATTTTCCGGAGCGCCAGTGCTGGAAGAAAAGCCCCTAGGGCAGTGCGTTTGTGCAGCCATCCCTCCAGGGGGAGTGTGCATACCCTCCTGGGAGAGTGTGCATACCCTCCTGGGAGAGTGTGCATACCCTCCTGGGAAGAGACTGGGGGCTGAAAGTAGAGAAGGGACAAGGGGAAACTCAAAGGGCATTCCCTGGGGGTTCCCTTCCAGGTTTTCTCCTGTGTTGCCCCGAAGGGGTCTACGGGCACTGCTCCTGCAGTCTGCGGTTAAAAATTAGACGCCTTCATTTCCGGATCAACAAGGGGGTGCAGAGGGAGGTGGGGGGGTCACGCCTCCCCGCACCCGGAAAGACGTTGAGGTGTGTGGCCGAGTTGGATTTGGTCCAGGCCCGCCAAGGAAGGCTGGGAGAGGCGTGCTATAAAGGCTGGAAGGTCTCCGTATTTACTCCTTTAGTAAATACGGAGAATCACGTCGAACACCAGTGGCCCAGATACTGTCGTGGCCGCGCACCTTTGGAGTTTTGGGGCAAAGAGAGTTGGATGGAAGGCCGAACTGGGTATCTGTCTCCTTTCAACTCTGCCAGCCCCAGGGTGCAGAGGAACAAACAGGCAGGAGAAGTTGGGTGTCCCCTACTTTTTCCTTCCTTCCGCACAGATAAGTCTGTAGATTAGTGGGGCCCCGGCGCCTCAGTGACGTTGTCGCCTCTTACTGCGCTGGGGCCTGGGCTTCTCGGCTGAGACCCTGAAACTCCTTTCCTTTTATCCTCTCAGCTTTCTCCATTCCTTCCTTTACTCTACGTCTCTGTACACAGAGTGTGATGTGAGGGTTCACCCCGGGCGCCCGCAGATCCCCCACGTTCCCCAGCACGCTTGGGATGCATCTCCCGAGTGCGCTAGGAATGGGCAGCCCCGTGTCCCCCGCGCGAGTGCCGAGCGGACCGGCGGGGGCAGAGGTGAATTGCACGCCTGGGGGGCGGGCCGGGGCGGGGAGCCGAGGTTGCTGGGAGCTGGGTCTGGAGTCCGAGGACGGGGAGGGGGCATGGTCGCCCCCCGCCCTGTGAACTGTGAAGTGCGCGGCTCCGGCCGAGCCGGTGGTTTCCAGCCGGGCCAGCCGAGCGCGGCGGCTGCGGCCGCAGACGTGGAGGAGCGGAGCGCCGAGGCTGGCGCCAGGCGGCCTCTTTTGTTTATCTGACAGCTAAATATCAAGGCAATCACCGCCTCGCGGCCCTGCCTCCAACCCCCACAGCTAAGACAAACAGTTGGGCTAAAAGAATGCCTCTGTTATCATAAGTTTCTATCTCTCTTCTCATGGCTGGGCCTTTATTTTCTCTTGCTTTTTTAATTTCAGAGTCTCCCCCCCCTCCTTACTCCAGATACCCGATGGATTTTCTCAAACCAACTGGTGAGTAGATGATTTTTAAAATATCCTGCTTATCTTAAGTTAGAAATAGAGCCTCTAGAACGTGGCTTTTTGTGTGTAGGCAAAGGCTTGGGGAGGTGCTGGGCTTCACGTTGGTTCTAGGTTTCCTCTGTTGGAAGTTTGGTGAATTTTTCTGTTGTGGCTGGGTTTTTTGCTGTTTTTGCAAAGACGTTCCCTTGATATGCTTTACATTTTGTTCCTTTTTCATGTATTTGTGCTGTGTAGCCGGTGGGCTCAGCTTTAACACGTGGAAGCTTTAGTCCAGAGAGAAGTGTCTTGGGAACCAAATAGGACTGGTTGATGGGGATAACTCGGAGACTTAGTGAGTGCCAGGAGCATCAGTGGGAATAATGGAAAGGGTGATTCGATAGATGGGAAGACGGTTTAAAAAGGTGCAAAGAAGACTTTGGTCTGGAGTAGACACTAGAACTTTTCAGAAGTATAGGCAACAGCCAGTAAAAGGGGGGGGGGGGTAGGTTCCTCCTGCTCCAGTCACCTGCAAGTCAGTCCTCTCCCGGGGTTTTCTCAGTATTCGCCATAGGGACTATCAAAGTTTGAAGCATAGCTCTGCCTGTCTGCTGCTTTGTCACTGGCTGGCATGAAGCCATGGCAGAAGCCCATTTGAGACTGGCACCAGCCCTGTTGTGGTTGTCTGCATTCAACTTCTGGCCGGCAGCAGCACAGGGGTCCATCCTCTGGACATCACAGTGCTGGGGACAGGGTCAGCAAAATGAACTTGGGGGTGACAACAAGGACAAACCCAAATTCCTGGAGCTCCCTCTTACAGTAGGAGATAGATCTGTTTGCTAAAAGTACAGGTTGTATGTAACCTTGGTTTTTGTGCCTGTATACTGGTGCCTGAAAAAAACATTAATACTTGGGACATTTTTATTTTGCCAAGGTTCTGGGAGAAGGAAAAGTGAAGGGTTGGGCACCATTTAGCTCCTGGAATTCTGCAAGTCCTTCCGCCTCCTGCGTTTTGGCTGTTGGGCCTTTCCCCCCACTAATTAAAAGTTTTGCTGGGGCGTTGTCATAAATTAAATACTTTAATGAACGTGTAACCGAAGCCCATACTCTGCAGCCAGTCCTCCTGGGACTCTACCAGCTCCCTCAAGTTGGGAAGGCGTTCCTGCTTGCCTGGTGCCGGTCTAATAAGTGGCCCGCAAAGCATGTGATATTTTGCTTTCGATTTACAAAACACCAGATAAATGGTTATTAATAAGGAGATACCCAGCTCTCTGTATTTGTAACAAACGTTAACTGGAATTACCAAGCTCTGTTTTCCTAAAGACTGTAACTTGACTGGGTTTTGGCTTAAAGAATCAAGAATTCTTTTATGAAGTTCATTTTCCAAGGGGCCACCTCTGACCTGTTTTTTTTGTCCTTCCATATTCTTCAAATTTGGAGGTTTTCCTTAAAAGAGAGAGAACAGTGACCTTAGCCCCAGGGATAAAGACCAGCAGGGGTAAATGTTCCCAGAAACCTCCAAAAACCATAGAAAAGAAAGGCCATGTTCCCTTGGGTTTCCTGCAGAGACACTGGGATAAATCTGTTCTCAGGATTTAAGCAGTCATTCTGCCAGGCCAGGGCCTCATTTTCGGTGAGTGGAGTGATATATTTATTCATTAGCAAGTGTTGACATTAGGTAGCAAAATGTGTGTAAACAGAGAAGCCACAAAGACAGGAATGTGCCATTTCCAAGGGGGAGAAAAGTTCTCCAGATCAGCCAATAGGAAGTGATTAACCTGCCAATCGGAAACTAAGACAGCTGGTTACTCACCCAAAACGTTTTGTTGAAAATAGAACAAAAAAAGAAATGAGAAAAGGCGCTGCTGTGTAAGAATTTAGCATCAGTAATAGACAAAGCCCCCACGAAGGGAATTGTCCTGCCACATTGGAGGACAGCCAGGTCTGGAGCTGGAGCACACCCCCCCCGCCCCCCTCACAGGTCTGGGGCTGGTTTTGCCAGCTGCTGTGGCCGGGGGCATTGAGGTCAGACCACAGATGGGCGCTGACCCAGGTCTTCATCCCCATTTTGCGTATGGGAGAATGTTTGGCCCGGGAATCTACATGGACCATTTACATTCTTCAGTTTCTATGTCCCTTAGGTTGAATTTTTGGTCTTGGGTTACTAGATGAAACAGGCACAAAGTTTTACAGTGGACAACTGTTAAAATCTTAACCAGTTGCACAACTAAAGGAATACATCCTGTGAAGTCTCCATCTTAGGAAAAGGTGGTGGGAATGGGGCTGGGGCCTGGTACCCTGCAGCCTTTGGAGACACAGAGGGCTCAAAGCTAGGAACTCCATTTTGCTATAATTTAAGCCACTCCACTCAGCATCTGGGAGGCCTGGACTTTAGACACCTAGGTACTGTGTGGTCCAACCAGGAGAGCCTTCTTTGAAAGAGTGTTCACATGACTGAACCTAGGGGAGGCCAGTTGTGACTTGTGGCTGTCAGAAGTCAGAAAGACACCCCCACCTCCACATCCCACAAGAAGTCAGAATTTGCTGTTTAAAGCTGGATCTCGGGGATAGCTGTGTGGGCTCTGCTTCCCGTGTTTCATTGTATCTGATGGTCTGAAAGGTTTGAGGAATGGCTGGCCTTGGGGGGTTGCTGGGTGAGCTCTTGAGGGACCCAGGTGGCCAGTATCCATGGGCAGATCCAGCCTGCAAATCCAGATCGGAAGTCTGGTGTCTTGACCTGAGATCTGGCACTGCGTTTCTCTCTTAACCGAGGTCCCTCTTAACTTTTCTAGGCCTCTTTTAAAATCAGCATGATGAAAGAGATTAGGTCATTCATTCATTTATTCATTCATTGGTTCAGTCATTCATTTTACAGGCATGATGATGTGCCTACCTAGAAATTTGAGGATTCCGATGCAGTGCTGTGTTCTTTTTTTTTCCGAGACAGTCTCATTCTGTGCCCAGGCTGGAGTGCAGTGGCCCGATCTCGGCTCACTGCAAGCTCCACCTCCTGGGTTCACACCATTGTCCTGCCTCAGCCTCCCGAGCAGCTGGGACTACAGGTGCCCGTCACCATGCCCAGCTAATTTTTTGTATTTTTAGTAGAGACGGGGTTTCACCGAGTTAGCCAGGATGGTCTCGATCTCCTGACCTCGTGTGATCTGCCCACCTCTGCTTCCCAAAGTGCTGGGATTACAGGCGTGAGCCACTGCACCTGGCAGTGCTGTGTTCTTTTATAACCAGGGTTCATTTGAGTTCTGGGTTGGTTGAACTACCTGGGGCAGAGCTGGGACCCTTGGGGTACAGTGGTGAGTAGGGGCTCCTCTGTCTTTAACAGTACTTAGGAAGCTCAGAACGCAGTTGCTGAGACTATCGTGGGACTCCCAGCTCCTTTACCTTGTACTCATTCTCAATAGTTCGCTCCTTGGCTGCTCCCCAGGGTTGGGTTTTCAAAGACTCTGTTGGAGCTGCTCGGAGAAAGGAATGAGTCTTTTTCTCTCGCAGAACCTAGTGCTTACCAAGTGCTTGATAACACTTAGTGTTGCGTGAGTCAGGAGTGGCCTAGAGCTTCTGTCTGCCAGCCAGCCTGGGCTCTGGGGAACAGGCGACACAGGCCTAAGGTGAGACCCTGACTTCAGAGATCTGTCTATGCGGAGCTTTTCTGTGGGTGAGAGATGGAGGTATGGCTCCTTTAACCTTGAGGCCAGTCTGGATGGCCTGGCCACCTCCAGGAAAGAGGGTAGGGACTCCATAGCCTGCCTGGGGAGTGAGAGCCATGGGATAGGGCTGGACTCTTGGGAATAGCCCAGCTCACTGGGTGGCCCTTTGAGCTAGTCAGTGACGCCTCAGTTTACCTGGCTGCCTATGGAACAGGTATACTTTGCTTCTTCACAGGGGTGGTAGGGAGGCTTAATTAACGTTTGTAAATCCCTCTTGAGATCAAAGCCACTGCAGAAGGGCAGAGCACCATTTCACAAAAATGCTTGTGGTTGCCTGTGTGGAGCTGGCTTACCTTTGATCTGAGATGGGCTGACACCCTGAATGTGGTCTCAGCTCTGCTCTGAGATGCCCGGCTTTTCCTTTGAAACACACCTTGCCCCTGGGATTCTGCCAGCCAAAGGTGGCGGGGAGTGGCTGTGGATAAGTCATTATGTTTAATGTGGGGGTGTCTTCCATCTGGGAGGAGTGGGTGGAGGAGAGGGTTGAGAAGCCTATCTCTAGAAAATGATGAAGGCCATCAAAATGGTTTAGAAAGTGCAGGGTATACACCATTTAACAAGTAACTCCATTTCCTGCCTGCCTCTATTGTTTTCTGTTTGATTAAGTGTATCCTGTAAAACTGTATATTCCTGTTAGGAATTAGACTTTACCCTGATAAAATGAGATTACACACACAGTCTTCTTTCCCCCTACCCACCGCAGCCACCTCACCCCCACGCCTGCCTCCACTTCTGCCCCTCGCCCGCTTAGGAGAGTTCTTGAAAAGTTGTCCTTCCAGCCTTGAGAATGTGGGAGAGGGAGTGACCCTGAGTTAGAGAGAGAAACTTAGCATTAAGAGGGCAGACAGCAGAAACCCAGAGATGGTTTGGGGCTATGTGTAGGCCACTAAAGGATTCCCATGGGCTACTTGCCCGTCTGCTCTTTTTTTTTGGCTTTCCTATTTGCCAGCATGGCCAAGTGGTTCCAACTGGAAACCCACAGGGACATTGTCCTGGTGGCCTGGGGTAGGAGGCCTGGTGTCTGCACGATCCAACCTGTTGTGTTTGCTGCGGACCTGGGCAGCACCTTTCCTTAGCCGGGCTCTCCGCTAGGACTTCAGGGAGTTTGGCGCTGCCAGTGGTGCATGACAAGCTTACAGGGTCTTGTGTATTTGTGTTTCATGGGACTAATGAGTTGTGGTTCATGGACATTAGGTTTTGCTTTAATTGCTTGGAGGGCGGTTGTGGAGACTGTTTCTCAGCTGGAATTGTCATTATCCTCATTAACGGTGAGGTCACTGTGCAGAGTACCTGAGGGTGACAGAAGTTGAAGAGAAGTCTAGTTAAGGGCAGATGCAATCTAAAGGTAAAAATCAGTGAGGAAACTCCGAGTGTTGGGTGCCAAATGTTTTATAGGAACTGAGGGCAGAGAGCCTTAGCAGGTCTGGGGTTGCCTGGGAAGGTTTCCAGAGATGAGGGGTTTGGACTAGCCTGGGAGAGGTAGAACATTTCCCCTCCGGCTCGGAGCCTTGCTGAGAATGTTCTCTGTCTTGATCTGGTGGTGGTTACACAGATGTATACATGAGTAACATTCATTGCGTCTACTTGGGATTTTGTATACTTTGCTCTACTTAAGTTAGTCCTCAATTAAAAAAGGGGAAAGAAGTCCCGGCAGCCCAACATCAATCTTGAGAATGTTTTCAAGAACTGGGAAACCTGTCTTTAAAAGGATGAAGGCAGAGAGGACATGGGCTCCAAGGAGAGAGCCTTCTGCCCTTGATGAGGGATGACAGAGCAACCAGGGTTGAGAAAGTCCAACCCAAACCTCCTTTGACCTTGGGAACCACCTGGTATCCGTAATGGGGGACTGGTAATGCAAGAGAAATTCCAGCCAGTCTCATTGAGCCTGACTCGAGTAATGATTAACTGGCTGCCCGGAGCCCAGACGGGTGACAAGGTGCTGTGGTCTGTCTTACGATGGGCAGTGAAGCCTGAGCAGACCATTAATAATCAGCATCAAGGCCGCGAGTCAGCCTTTTGGAATGTGTGGTTTGTCTTTCATGCTGTTTAGAGCGTGCTTAAAGATGGATCTTGGTGTTTTTATTTGTGTATTTATTTCTTTCTCTCCCCTTTTCAAATCCACAGCAGACTGTCCAGATGCTGTGCCTTCCTCCGCTGAAACAGGGGGAACGAATTATCTGGCCCCTGGGGGGCTTTCAGGTAAGATGCTTTCTCTTATTTTCCTGGCAATTCCAACCTTTTTTGAAATTGCTAAAGACTGGAGGAATGGGGGTGGCCTTCTGCCACCCCAGCTGGTCTGGACTTCATTCTCATTTTTATATGCCTTAAGTTGGATGCATCGGTGGTGACATTGTGGTGCCCTTCAGCTCCTCATCCTGCAGTCCTTTACGCTCTGGACACTGGATCCGTTCCGTGGACGGGGAGACAAGAGCGAGCTGGGGATTGCTTTGGTGTGTGAAGTGTTGCCCGGTTATTTTTAAGCAGCTCCTGGCTTGGGGGGCTTCAGCTTGGTGACTTTGGTGTCATTAACTCATGCATTTGAGCTCTTTTTTTGCTTTTGCTCTTTGCGCATGGGGGATGTAAAGGGAATGGACCCACCTTTAGGGAACTTGTTGAAGACAGATCCCAAGCATACGATGGGATTTCAGAGTAGATCTGAGGCTTCCCTCCCAAGTTCTGATTCCCAGCCCAGCCTGCTGCAGGATTTTGCAGCACATGTCTGGGGCTGGGAGCACCAGGGTGGGAGCACTGCCAACAGTAGGAGCTGTAATTGTTCCCTAGCGGGGCAGGTTTTCCTCAGGGCTCACAGGTATGCGTGAAGGCCTGGAATGCCAGTGCTGGGGGGTCACGGGGCTGGCTGACAGGCACGGGGTAGCCAGAGCATTGTTGTTCCTGAGGATGCGAAAAGAGGGCAGTACTTAGAGAAACTCACTGGTTATGTACATGGGACGCATTTCATGTTGTTCTGAAGAAATCCTATTTCTACCTGTTTTTCCATCCCCACCATGTCATCACTAGATTTTCTAAGAACTGGCTGAAGCAAGAGGGAAAACGACCTTAAAAACAGAAATTCCAGCAGAGTTTTGGGCATTTGGCATTTCCTTGCCTGTAGGATCACGTGGTAGCAGCTCGAATAGAAGCTGTGCCCTGTTGTGGTGTATCCTCTTGTGTGAGGGGCACCCTTTTTTGTGGGGTACCTGCTCTGACTACTTGGTGGTGTGTCTTCCATGGCTGGCTCAGGCAAAGTTCATTCCCGGACGGCTCCCTCCCCGGCTCTCCTCTTCAGGAACTGAGCTTGCTGAGAACGTCTTTAGGGAGACCCTTGTTTGTTTTCATTTCAATGCAATATATACTCTGTTATCTGAGACTGAGGGTATTGTTTACTCAAAGCTTCTAATGAGAATTGAGCAGGAAAAAGAGGGACCTAGAGAAGGGAGGGGGCTTCAGGCAGTACGGTGGGAGTGGACAGAGGAGTTGAGGAGGGAGAAAAGGCAGCAGTGTGTGAACTGCATCTTTTCTGCTTTCTAAGGCTGAGAGAGTTCTTGAAAGAAAGAAGGCCAATGAGAGGAAAGGGTCTCAGCAGAATAACACGCTCAGGATGTTGTTAGATGGTTTTATTTTTTAAACCCTGAATGTGCAGGGAGGAGCCCCGGCCCCTCCAAACCACATGAAATAAGCAAGGGAAGTGGCAGCTTTTGAAAGGGTCCTTTCGGAAGGTTTGTCTTCTTGATAACATCTTGTCTGTCTCCCCTGCCGGAGGAAATGACGACACCAGGCTGAGATACCAGCCTGAGTGCCTCCTCACCCGCCCGTGCCATGTGACCTGTGAAGCCCTCAGGAGATGGGTGGGCTTTTTTTTTTTTTTCTTTTTTGACAAAGTCTCGCTCTGTCGCCCAGGCTGGAGTGCAGTGGCGCGATTTCGGCTCACACAGACGGAGTCTCGCTCTGTCACCAGGCTGGAGTGCAGTGGCCCGATTTCGGCTCACTGCAACCTCCACCTCCCAGGTTCAAGCAATTCTCCTGCCTCAGCCTCCCAAGTAGCTGGGATTACAGGCATCCACCACTGTGCCCAGCTAATTTTTTGTATTTTTAGTAGAGATGGGGTTTCGCCATGTTGGCCAGGCTGGTCTTGAACTCCTGACCTCGGATGATCCACCCACCCTTTCCTCCCCAAGTGCTGAGATTACAGGTGTGAGCCACTGCGCCTGGCCGATGGGTGGGCTTTTTTTCCCCAAAGCTCTTCCAGTCCTAGAAAGAAACTGGGGGTAAAACAATCATTAACTCCTTCCCCTCACCCCTCCAGGTAATTGTAGACACAGATATTAATAAGGAGCTGCCAGGAAGAAGCAGTGACTCTCTGAAGGGCAGTGTGGCTTCAGAAGACTGCAGAGAGAAGAGGGGGCCTTCCACATGGCAAGAGCATTTGTTTTGAATTTCAGCTCTTGATTTACTAATTCCAAAGGCTTCAAAGTTTGAGCTCCTTCTTCTTTCCGTTCAGAGTTGGTGCAGTGTATTCATAATGGGCCATGGTGGGGAGGGTACACTGTTTTGGGGGTTGATGTCACCGGCTTGGGGGCGTCTGGAGGGGAGGTGATGGGCACGGAGAAAACCTAGGGCTGTCCTCTTTGTAGCGAGAATGCCTTCCAAAAGGGAACTTTATTGGCCCCTGTCCAGGGCAGAGAGTTTTGTAAATGGAGAAAGCCCAAACCTCCTCCTTTTCAAGAAGTTGATCGTTCCATGGGGGGTGGCCTGGGTGTGTCTGCCTTGCTGTGGATGAGGCCAGTGACTGGATGTGGCAGGGCTGGATGGGGGAAGGGGCATAGCAGACACTGAGGTTGGGGGGTGGGAGCCTGGCAGCAAGGTGGGGAGCAGTGAAAACTGAGGAGTTTCTCCCTCCTCCTCCTTGAAATAACCTCTCTGAGCCTCTTTCACAGGCCCTGTGTGCTGTTTTCCTTCCTGTCCTGCCCTGGCTGAGAGCGGGCTTAATGAATGGGGCTCAGTTTAGGGTGGGAGGAAGGTCGGCAGCAGGAGCCAGGGCTTGATTCTCTTGGCAAGGGAAGAAGGGAAAGAAAAAACAGCCGAATGTGAAAATGTGGTGCCTCGGAGGTGGGGGTGGGGTGTGCTCAAAGGCCGGTCCTCTCCTGAAATGCAGGGGTGACTCCAAGGCTGGCCCTTCCCTTTCCTGCGCCCTTGCAAACTGCCCGGGAGGAAGGGGAGTGGGCGGGTAGGAGCCCGGGGGCGGGGCTGCTGGCTGCAGGTTGGAATTCCAGCATTGCAGCTTTGTTTTGGGGGGGTGTGGGGGGGTGGGTAGACGACAGGCCTGGTCGTTAGGGACTTGCAGTGAAACACACCCCACCCTTGCAAGTTTCCTCGGTCTGGGAAAATGGGACATTTTTAGAAGGCAGTGACTTGCTTCCAGGAGATTGTACTTTCATTTTTGACAGCTGGCTCTCTGAGACAGATGGATTGCTGGGTGCAAGCTTGTGTGTGTATGCGTGTGTGTGTGTTGTGGGGGTGGGTGTGTGGGTGGGTGGGTTTTGCCGCAGACGTACAGATAGACAATCCCGTGCGCAAACACATGAGAGCGTGCGGATGCCCACAGGCAGGCTCTGGGATAGGGTGGGTCCCTGTCGCTGGGGTGGGTTGATGTCAGGGCGGCCTCTCCAAGAGGTTGTGGACTTGTGGGGTGGAGTTTGTGGATTGATTCTGCTTTGTGATTTGGCAGTCTGTGCCTGACTCTCTGGGATGGGTGTCTTTTGAAAGGCATGCAACTCCAGAACAGGTCCTTGCTGCTGCTTGGACATGGATGTGTCATGGCTCAGGAAGATCACCTGGGAGAGGTCTGATGTAGCTGGGAAGCCTCTAGGCTCAGCTCCGTCGTGGAGATGGAAAGGATTTGCTCCCAGAGCTTTCCGGGGATCACTGGGAATGCAGAGCATGTGTTGGAAGCTATCATCTTTGCAGCCTCCATCTGGAGTTTCTGTCTGGGGGCTTTCATTTTGCCTGTCTGCTGTCCTGGTTTGAGTGGGTTGAGGGAGCAGCATCTCCCTTGTGAGTTGTAGGTTATTCAGCTGCAGACTCATCTTCTAGCCTCCTCCTTTATATATGAATGTCTGGAGCTGGCTGGGCCTCAGCCATATGGACCTGCCCAGTTAGGGTAGGGATTGGAAGCCAGCAACCACTTGTAGTTATTTAAACTTCAAAAGAAGTGCTCCCATGGATCTCAAGGAGGGAGGTAGGAGGCAGTGGAGACAGAAGTGCTCACGTGTCCTGGGAAACTCCATCTCTTGGCTGTGCGAAGTCATGCTTGTTGGAGAGACCCGGCACCATGCCTCCAACCCAAGGGTGGCCAACTCTTTGCTTGAGATTCATATGTGGCTACTAGTCCCCAAGTCTGGGGGATGGGAGCGTCCTTGAGTCAGTATCCATTCAGCATCCAAGGATGTTTCTGTCTCCTTCTCTTTGATCCTTGCTGGCATCTGTCATAGTCTCAGAGGAGAGCCTTCAAAAATACCTATATAATCTGAAAATGCACCCCTGGCTCAGTCCACAGTTGACTTGGGCTCAAACCAAGTAGCTTAGGAAACATTGCTCCATCCTGTTTTAAGGAAAGTTAATCAGCTGCACGTGAACAATTATTCATTGTCTGGCTTGGAATTGTGATCATGAACTGGGAACCTGGGCCTGGGCGCCTGTTGCTCTGCTTTTAAATTAAGTCACCTCCCCCTGCCTGGCTACAAAACAGCTCATGGTTTCACTGAGGTCTCTAATGCCATTGTGGAGTGAGGGCAGGGGGCACAGGTTGAGCTCACAGGCATGTGGGCCTTTCATCCAAATGCTCATGAGCGTGGACTTTGGGGGACTCAGGTGGACAGGTGCTTGTGACCATGAGCAAGCTCCTTCCTTCCCATCCCCTTAGTACCCTGCAGGCCACTGTGAGAAATGACGGCCTAGAACTCAGGGGACACCTTCTGCCTCTCCTTAAACACCTGCCAACAGGATGAGTCAGGGCTGGGGCGGGCTCACCTGGTGCACACCCACACCCTGGTGAAGACCAGTCCTGGACCCCGCCTCTTCTGCAGTGCCCCAGGTCATGCACTTCCCCCTGGAGAAGGGCTTACTGATAAAACCCCTTTTGTCCTGGAAAGAATGAGGCAGTCCGGCAGGGGTTAAATACAGGGTGACAGCATTTAAAATCTCTGGAGCAAATTTGGGCTGCTCTGCCGGCCAGACAAGATGGTCTGCTGCCGCCTCACGCATCCTGTCCCCAGGCTGAACTGGGCCAGCAAAGGGAGAGGGCCAGGTGAAGGCCAGGCTTTGGGTGGTGTCACTTTTGGTGACACTGTAGCATGCTGATTGCCCCTCACTTCCTACACACACACACACACACACACACACACACACACACACACACATGCCTTTACTTAGCAAAGCCTGACTGTAGCTGCGTAGACTTGTACACCTATGGGACCTCCGTGGCAAGCTCAGAGCCGGTGGAGCAGTGAAAAGGGAGGAAATGCCGAAGAATTCATGATCAAGTTTGGCTTCCTTTGCTTCTTTTTAAAATTTTTTAATGTTTTAATTTTTTTTTTTTTTAATTCGAGATGGAGTTTTGCTCTGTCGCCCAGGCTGGAGTGCAATGGCAGGATCTCGAGTCACTGCAACCTCTGCCTCCTGGATTCAAGGGACTCTCCTGCCTCAGCCTCTGAGTAGTTGGATTGCAGGCGTGCACCACCACGCCCGGCTAATTTGTGTACTTTTTTGTAGAGAGAGGGTTTTGCCATGTTGGTCAGGCTGGTCTTGAACTCCTGACCTCAGGTGATCCGCCCGCCTTGGCCTCCCAAAGTGCTGGGATTCCAGGCATGAGCCACTGCGCCCGGCCTCTTTGCTCCTTTATTATTGTTGTTACTGTGTCATAATTCCTTGCAGAATTATGATGGCCAGGCTGGTCTTTACTTCCTTCGGTCCAGGCCTTGAACTCGGAGCAGCACTCTCAAAGCAGTTGTCTTCACCTGGCAGAAGAAAAAAAAGGTGTAAAGTGCTGGTTCCTGGACTTGCTCGCACACTAAAATCCCTCGGGATTCAGCTTCCCAGATAACTTTCTTGCTTCTTTGTAGAGACATTTGAGAGAAAACTATTATTAACTATACATGGTCCACTGTTTTGCTTTGCTGTCATGAATGGGATTGTAAAAGGGACCCATGGGACCGGGTTTCCTTTTGGGACGATGAAAATGTTCTGGAACTGTAGAGTGGTGATGGTTGCACAGTTCACCGAATGTATTCAATGCCATTGGTGGCACATTTTAAGTTATGTGTATTTTACCACAAGTTTGACCAAAAAATGGCCAGCGGTAGGTTTTAAATACATGTAGATACTTGGATAATCTATAAGGAACAGTGATTGTGGAGAGTAAAATTGGAGAGACTTCTGTTAGTTGCCTAGGACCTGATGATGGTAGACACTTGTTTTGGTGGCAGCCCTGAGGTCACATGGGAAGTACATTGATGGACCAGGGAGCAAGGCTGGTAGCCTGCCTGGGATCTCGTGTGTGTGTGTGTGGTGTGTGTGTGTGTGTGTGTGTGTGTGTGTGTGTGTGTGTTTTGAGATGGAGTCTCACTCTGTCACCCTGGCTGGAGGGCAGTGGCGTGATCTCGGCTCACTACAACCTCCACCTCCTGGGTTCAAGCCATTCTCATGCGTCAGTATCCCTAGCAGCTGGGATTACAGGCGTGCCACACCATGCCTGGCTAATTTTTTTCTAGTAGAAAGGGCGTTTCACCATGTTGGCCAGACTGGTCTCGAACTCCTAACCTCAAGTGATCCTCCCGACTTAGCCTCCCAAAGTGCTGGGATTATAGGCGTGTACCACCACGCCTGGCCTTCTGCTGTGTGTTACCTGAGCAAGCAGACACATCTGTGCTGATCCTTCGACCTTCCTTTTTTCTTCGTGGGTTCCAGAAATGAGAGACAGGAAAGTTCCCTCTGGTTTGATTCCCGGCCTGACTTTTCTGCTGGGGGAAGTGAATATGCTTGTTCTCACTCTGCGGGGTCCCCCTGGCCTGCCCATCCCAGTGACTGCGAACCAGGATGGTGCCAGGGTTGGCTCCAAAAGCTGGTGATCCAGACCCTTCCTGGGCCCCTGGAGACCCCAGTCCCTGTGATGTCCTTGCCCAAGTTCTAGGGCTGCAGTGGCCGTAGGTGACTGGCCCGGGCACCCTCCCTTTGCGGGAGCCTCGTGAAAGGATACTGTAAGCACAGCCACAGGGAGGTCACCACTGGCCCTACCACCTCTCGCTCGGTATTGAATGGCTAGCCCCAAGCCTGGCTGCCTGCCTACTGTCACACAGAGGCTTCCTCTCCGGGCTATTTTCAGCGGGAAGATATTATTAACTGCTGAGGCACAGTTCTCAATTTAGTGGTTAACACACCAAGAAAGCAACACTCACCTGATCCCGGCCACTCTACCTAAACCTGTTGGCTCACTTGGGGGACTCGGCTGCCCCCCAGCCTCTCTGTTTCTCTCTGTGGGTTCACCTGGGAGATGTGGGCTTCCACTCCCGTGGAAGGTGCCCCGTGGATTCAGTATCTGCTAGAGAGAGAACCAGGCTTCTTACGAAGCCAACTCTTAAAAGGTGTAGAAAATGATCGTATTTATACTCTAAGATGGGGACATTTTTTGATAGGGGTGGGCACTGGCTGGGAAAAGGGACTTTCAGCGGTGTTGAGGACAGTTATTTAAAACAGGGTGATAACTTTCACCTTGTAAGTTAACAGGAAATATTGGGACAAGACAGGAAATTGCATCATCTTTTTTTTTGAGAATAACTCCAGAGAAAAGTGGTTCGTGAAAGGTAGTGGCTGAGAAACGGCTAGCCTGTTTTCTGTTTTGTGTTTTTTTTTTCTTCCCTTCCACTCCCACGAGAACATGTAGGCCATTTTCTTTAAGAAAGAGGCTGTTTGAGAACTTTATGTTATTTTTATTATTTAAAAAAATATTTTACCAGAAGGGTCACCTTCAGTTGAAATGTTAACTGCCGCCTTATTTCCCATTTTACTAAAGAATCTTTCATGACTTTTTCAGCTTCCTTCCCCAAATGGTAAGGCCAAGCAGCTCTTGGCTGGAAGCTAATTTTGGTTTGGCTGGGGAGTCCTCAACACTGAGCCCCACCCAGTGTCATTAGCTCAGTTTTAACTTGCAAAAAAAAGATTGTATTTTTTTTTTTGATGGGGGGTACGTAAGAATTTACTCACGCCTTTAGCCTTTTTACCCACCCCCGGTACTGCCTTCCCCTAACAGAGGCACCTGGCACTTAGCCGCCGGGAACTCAGGGCTGCCTTCGTGTTTTCAAGCCACCGTGTCCCCCTCATCCTGCAGGAGTTCTGTAACTTTCCTGAGACTATTTCTAGGGTGCTAGTGAGGAGTGGAGGGGAAATGGGTCTCGGAGCTGCCCTGGTACAGCTGTGTCCAGTAACGGTGCTGTGCTTTGGAGGAAGGAGTGATATGGTTCACCTAGAAGCATCTCCCAGAGAGGGGGCTTATCACAGCCCTACAGTGGTGCAGATAAGGTCCAGTTCCATTTTTTGTCTCTGGGTTTCTAAATCCCCTCTTTGTTGATGTCATTGTTCTAATGACACAGGGCATGGGACAGTGCCCCGGCCCGTGCTGCCAAGGAGCCGTCTTTAGGACAGAGACCAGAAAGAAAGAGACCTGTGTGTGTGGCTGGCCCGCTCTCCACTCACGCTCACCCCCACCCTCCCAGCTTTTTCCTTAGCGTGCTTTGTTTTGTTTTCATAACACAACAAGGGCCCTGGGGTGTGTAAAAGCATTGTTGAACACTTGGTGAGGGCAACTTGTCCAAACAGAGCAGGACGCCAAAGCAGAATGCTGTGGGCAGGTGGTGTGCCCACAGAGGTTGGTGGGCCGGCGCCGGCCTTGGAAACACCTCTCAGTGGCATATGCCGCGGCGGCTGAGTGTGACCTAGCGCAGAACAGGGCTTCCCTCTTGTGTCCTCCGTGGGGAGTCCAGGAGAGGGACTTGGTCCTTCTGGCTGACTCCGTGCTTGGAAGGTGTGCTCCCCTCTCAGGTGGGTTCACATGTGCCTCCCTCTGCCGGGTGTGAAGCTAGGTGGGCCCGCTGCTTTGGAAGAAGCCAGTGTGTCCCTGTGGTTTGTTTATGGAGCAAATATGTATTGACACCTATTATGTGCCAGGCTGTGTGCTGTGCAGAGGACCAGTTCCTGGGCTGGGTTAGAATTAAGAATTGGCAGTTGGAATGGCTTGTCCGAAGGTGATGTTGAATCCATGGGGATGGAGCCGGCGGGAGGGGGGATTGACTAGGAGTTGCCTCTACCTGGAGGCAGGCAGGGGCAGCTTCTGTAGGACAGAGGAGCCTGGTCCCTCCATGAAGCCAGGCCATAGGTGGGGGAGGTGCAGGGTGGGCCCCCTGGGATGGGCCTAGCTCTTGAGTCATCCACTTCTACTTCTGCTTTGGTTGTGTGGTCTGTTGAGAATTGAGATAAAGCAAAGCTTGTGGATAAACAGAGGTAGGTCTCCCGGGTTTTGGTTCCAGCCCGCCTCCCCACCCCGCTTCTTGCTGATTGTAAGATGACAGCAGGAAGAACAGGAGCTGTGGTTATAATCCACCCTCCAGACCCTGGTAGTACCTGGGGCACAGCACAGAGTGGAAGTGACCAGCCTAGCGCCAGGCTCCTCAGTGGACCACGGCCAAGGGGTGGGGAAACATCTGGAAAGACAGTATCTAATGTCTTGACAGCCAGAGGAGAAGTGGGATGTTTTCAAAGCCCAGGAGTGACTTTCCCTTTGTAACTCCAGAGGACTTGATTCGCAACGAAGACCATCTGGGGGATGAAGGAAATTCTTGCTTTTTAATTTTAAATCTGAGGGTTAAGCCCGTTTCTGAGGTGTCAGCCCTGTGTGTGAGGCCCTGGCCTGTCTGGGGTTGGGTTTGGATGAAATAATCTAAGATGCAGTTACCAGGGTGTTTCCTTTTCACATTCATCCTTCTCTGTCTGTTCCCCCGGGGCCAACCGATGGCTTCCAAGCTCTGTGGAGTTCACTAATTGAATTACTCTTCTCGCTCCTCCGTGAAGCCCCACCAGGAAGAAAAGGCGGGGAGAGCTGCTTTTGCTGGGGGGTTTGATCAGAGCAGAAAGGGAAGATCTGGTCTCAATTCCAATTTCATCTTGCAAAGTCGGGACTTTCTTTCAGCCAGAAGACAACTCAGATAACCAGGCCAGCGACTGTGTGCTCATTTCAGTATTGCTTTCTTACGTTTTGATCTGCGACTGTCACTCAACAGGAACAAAAACAATAAGACGCCAAGATATGACTGTGCCGTTGGCAGATTAGCTGTCTGCATTTTCTGGGGTGGCTCACTCGGAGGTTAAATGATTGTCCCTGTCCCCTGTCCCACCTTCCAGTCACCTCATGAAGCTGTTAAGTGTCTCCTTCCCCTGCAGGCTAAGTGAGGATCATCAAGAGCTGGGCCTGGGGACCTTGTCAGCCTCACTGCAGCCTCTGAGCCAGCCCTGCCCCACCCCCTCATGAATCAGTAACCAAGAGGGAAAATTAAAAAGTTAGTTATCAGTGTGATCTGAGTGCACCATACCGTTCTTACAAATAGATGGGCCCCATCTCCTGCTCAGTGGGGGCACAATCAAAACCCTGCTGGGGGGGCTGTTTTCTGGGGAAGAGCCCAGGATCGTGGGGCCTGCAAAAACTCAGAAGCCCCCCCACCTTCCCCCCAGGGTGTCCAGGATGCCCTAGTCCCAGGAGGGGGCTGGGAGAGAATTACAATGTCGGGGCCAGCATCCTCCACTTTCCTGTCACTAGAGGCTGGCCTGCTCTCCTGGGTTGAGGCCGAGTGTCTCAGCCCCTGGCTGGCCACATGGCCTTGCAGGAGCCATTTCTGTGTTCTGGGCCTCAGTTTTCTCATCTGCAAAATAAGGGCTTGGGCTTGGCTGCCAAGTCCCTTCGGTGATCTGTGATCTTTGTCTCTTGGATTTGAGGGGTGTGGGAATGATCCCCCTATTGATGAGATATCCCTATGGAAGCCAAAGACTGCTTCCATTTTAAAATAAAAAGGTTGTAGTTCTTTCTGTCTCTTGGCTCGCAAACTCTTCCAAGTATGGGTGAAAGCTGAGGACTCTGTTCAGAAAAATGCATGCTATACCACAATTTGTATACATCTGCAGGGGGCCGATATCTTTGCTGAAGCCCAGTCCCACCCGTGGAATCCCCAGTTCAGGAAATCTATGCTTATGAGGACTAGTTATGGGGGTGCAAAGGAGAGCCTTAAGAGAGCTGAGGCCTTTTTCTTTTATTGTGGTAAAATATACATAAAATATACCATATTAACAATTTTTAAGTGTATAGTTCTGTGGCATTAAGTACATTCATATTGTGCTATTATCCCCACCGTCCACATCCAGAACTTTTTCATCTTCCCTAGCTGAAACTTTGTTCCCATGAAACACTAACTTCCCTTCTCCCCTCCCCCAGCACTTGGCACCCACCATTCTTTCTGTCTATGAATTTGCCTCCTCCTCTAGGTACTTCATAGAATAGTGGAATCAGACAGTGTTTGTCCTTTTGTGATCGGCTTATTTCACTTAACATAATGCCCTCAGGGTTCATCCATACTCTAGCGTATGTCAGAATTTCCTTCTTTTTTAAGGCTGAATAATATTTTATTGTATGAATATTCCATGTCTGGTTGATTTATTGCTTGATGGACACTTGGCTTGCTTCTACCTTTTGGCTATTGTGAATAATGCTGCTGTGAACATGGATGTGCAAATACCACTGGAGTCGCCGCTTTCAGTTCTTCTGGGTATATACCCAGAGGTGGAATTGCTAAATTACACTGTCATTCTGTGTTTAATTTTTTAAGGCATCGCCAACGGTAGGGCCTCCTTGACTTGTGCCTCATGTGTCGGCACACACCGATCGCATGCGGTGGGGGAGCCCTACCCACCGGGGTGGGCTTGAGGGCGAATCCTGGGGCAGAGGGAGTGAGAAAGCGGGGAGGGGACAGTCTGTCCCTGCGCGGTGGGGGAGGGGCAGTGCTGGGCTGCTGCAGTCACCAGCCAGATTGGAGCTCACATTTATGGGAGCCCATGTTTATGGGAGGCCTGGAGGCTCTGAAAGGTGGGGCACCCAGCACAGAGCAGCTGGCCGTGTATGTTGGACTCCAGGGCCTTGTGACAGCAGCTTCTGGGTGGGGGACCCTTTCATTCTTCTTTTATTCCCTTGACCTCCTAACTGGAGGTTAGGAGTGGGAGGACCCGCCAGAGGGAGTGGGGGCTTGGGTCTGGGAGGTCCTGGGTGCTTTAGGGGTGAAAGGGCTGGGATGGCTGAACAGTGAGTGTGTCCAAGCGGGAGAGATTAGATTACGGAGGCAGACAGAAGTAATGATTAACTTTTCCAGTCTGCACGCTGTCTCCAGGCTGTCGTACTGTTGTTTTTCCCTCTAAGTACAGTGCGGCCCTGGCCTGGCCAGGCCCTGGTATTGGGTTGTAAAGTGAGAGATGGAATGAGGGCTGGGAGTGCACGGGGAGGGGGGCCAGGGAGGGAGCTCGCAGGAGAAGAAGGAGCTTTTCCATCGGATCCTGCATTGGAATTTATTGGCCGGAATGCAGTAAATGTTCAAAATGCCATCCCATCCAACAGTTTTCATAATTGTTATGGAACAAGGGGAGCCGGGGGAGGGGAGGAATGAAAAGGACTTTTGTTTCTCACTGTATTTTTCCATGTCTTCGGACAGTTTTCCTACCCTCTAGAAACTGGAGTGGAGTTGGATCTGTGGGGGATAGGGTGGGAGAAGGGTCTGCCTTTGGGTCCTGTGATGCCTTCCAAGGACTAGGGGTCCTGGTAGCCTGGGGCTTTATTAAAACGAGGCCCACAGCAAAAGTAGCTTGGTTTCTTGCACACACAGAGCCCCCCCACCACCTGCAAAACCAGGGAAAAACTGTCCTGTCCTTCTAGGGGTTTTGTCCTTTTGGAAAATTGGCTTAATGATGCAGTGGTTTGTATTAAGATTTTCATGATGCTTTAACGTGTGTGTGTGTGTGTGTGTGTGTGAGTGAGAGAGAGAGAGAGAGAGAAAGAGAGAAAGAGATTGAGAGAGAGAGAGAGAGAATGAATCAGCATTCAGTGCCAGCTGCCCAGTTGGGAATCCAGATAGGGAATTTGGGGAATCTCCTACACTCTCAGGGTGGCAGGTGGGTAGGTGGGTGAGGTAAGAGACTTGACTTGGTAGTTTCTCTTGGACACGACAGACTTTCTGTTCCATGCTTGTCCCAGCCCTTGTGTCTTCCTGGGGGTGCCAGGGTCATGCCCAGAGGGAAGGCAGCTGAGCAGACAATGCCATGCAGGGCTGAGGGCTTCTGTGCCTGCTAATATGTGAACCCCCTTTCTGAAGAGAGCTGCTCTGAGTTACTTGGGGGGTAACAGTGGGAACCTGGTTGGTGTACCATGGAGGGGAAGTATCTGGAAATTTGAACTCGAGAAATGATTCGACTGCATGCACACTAAACAGCAGCCAGAGAGGCCCTTTACTGTCAATATTATGAATGGAGTTGGCTGGGTCGGGAGTCCCCACCCTTCCTCTGAGGCCTCTCTCAGAGGAGCCTGGGCAGAGTGGGCCTCCTCAGACAGCAGTGGCTGCAGGCAGCTGGGTACACGCTGTAATTTGCATGGCTGAATGCTGGGGCACAGGAAGCCGCGTCAGCCTGACTGGCGAGACAGACAAGAGCTTTTGATTTGTGTGGCTTTCCTCCCCTGCCCCGTGCCACCCTCAATTACATTCTCCATGGCGAGATAAATGCTCTTAGGAGCATTCATCCCCAGGTTGGGGGCTTCAGACTCAGATGCTTGGGGGGTTTTGGGAGGTGGTGTGGGACCAGTTTGGGGAGCCAGGGAGTACATTTTAGTTCTAGGAATTGATTATTTAACATAATTTGTAAGGACACAGTCACTAATTAGTGTTCTAGACCAGCAGGATCTGCGAAATATGTAGGCTTGGGAGAGGTGGCAAGGAGGGCGGTGATGGGAGGAGAAACTTCAGGGAACCAAGCCTGGGCAGACAGTGGACGGATGACAGTGATAAAAGAGATCCTCTCTTGGGGGCTCACCGTCTCTTGAGGGTGATGAATAGTAAGACAGAGTAAAAAGTCATTTCTGACTCTGAAATTAAAGAAAAAAAAAAGTTGGTTTAGAGATGGACACAGCAAAACCTGACTCAAACCTCCTTTCCCTTTTGATTTTATTTTGTTTTATTGTTGCAAATTAAATGCAAAAATGTACCCTGCTCCTCAAAGTGGTTTTCTTACTCTCTGGAAGGTAGTAAAAATAAATGGAACCAGTGTTGTTTAATACTGAGAATCAGAGTCCAGCCAGAGACCATGAAGGCAGAAGGGGGCCCATGGGGCCATCTTCCCTTGTCCCCTTTACATTATTTATGGACAGGTCAAACTGAGACCCTGAGAGGGCAAGCCACTTGGCCAAGGTCACAGAGCAGCTTGCTGGCAAAAAAGCCGTATCACCCCCCACTTCTTGCTGCAGGGGAGTTGCACCCCATGCGCAGCTCTAAAAGCTGGTGCAGCATTTCCAAAGTGTGTTCTGAAGGACACTTTGGAGAGGAACAGTGGGCTTGGTGGCTTTAGAGGCCTGTGTCCACAGCTCACACCAGGCAATATTCTGGGCTTGAATTGCAGCTCTGCACTTCGGCCAGTGACTTGTGCCTCACCCCTACTACTCCCTTTTTTTAAGATAGGCTGGTGATAGTATGCAGCCTCAGAGGGTTGTCATGAGCCACTTAGAGAACACAGCCTATGCAAAGTAAATGCTTATTAAGTGTAGGCATTGGCCCAGAACTGTTCTACCATGGGGTGTGGGGATGTGGAGACAATCAGGAAGACTGGTGGGCATTTTCTGAGCGGCTGGAGAACCCAGGAGCCTCAGAGATGAGACCAACGTGTGTGCAGCACTCTCCACAAGCTGGCCCCAATCACTTTTGCATCAAATTGGTACAGCAACCTTATGAGGCTGGCCTTGGGGGAACCCTGTTTTAGGGATGAGCTGAACTTACCGGGAGGCTGCATGCGAGGTTGGTGTGAAATGCATATCTGGCTTTGTAGCTGGTCGGCTCACCTCTGGGGTTGGCACAGGGGCGGGGGTTCTGCCATGGCTAGAATGCGCTAAGGGGTGGAAACGAAGCCTGCTGGGCCCGGGAACCAGAGAGCAGCCTGGCCTTTGAAGGAGACCCTGTGGCACCCCCTGCCCACCCCCAAGTCCAGCCATCTCACTTCACTGGAGATGCTGCAAAGCATGAAAAAAAAAAAATCCAGTGTTCTCAGGTCAGCCTTCCACCAGCCAGGATTCATCGTCTGATCTGTTTGGGGAGAGAGCATGGGGTGGTGGAGATGGGTTGGGCCCCAGTGTTTTCTGATTAACTCGCAGTTTACCTGAAACATTTTGGTTTGTTTCCTCCATGAGGAACTCACTCTAAACCCCAGCATTGTCTGTGTTTCCTGAGGAGTCTGAGGGAGCTCTGGGGTCCTATTTCCTCTTTTGGATGAGGCTGTGAGCATGGTGGATTAGAGACAGCCCCTTAAAGTTAGCCCAGATATCTCAGCAAGTTTTACGCGTCTCTATTTGGGGGAGGGATTCGCCTATTGAAAACAAGAGACCAGCAAGGGTCCTTGTGAATTATGATGGTTTGGCGTGAGAATAGATGGGATGGATTGGCACTGGAGTCCCCTTTTATCTTAGGCTTGTCCCTGAAGAGGGCTTGTTGATATCAGAACAGCCAATTTCCTGACAGGGTTGGGAGCAGGGGATGGGTGCTGTTAACCTTTGAGATGTCCGTTGTGGAGGGAGAGACAGGATGAGGCAACCGTTGGTGGCGCCTGGGTCCTGAGGAGGGAGGACCCTGGACCTGGCGTTAGCGAGGCGTGGTGATGTTTGCGCTCCCAGGTTGCCAGGTGCAAGCTGTCTGTGTCCACATTTCTGCCCTTCATTTGCCCCTGATTGGCACAGGGAGCCTGCAGGAGGCGGCCGTGCCTGCCCAGGCGCCCTTCCTCCCCAACTTCTCCGTCCTCAGCCTTCTGCTCTGCTGGACCATGGAGGAGGGGGCTGATAGGCCCGTGGCCCTGTTGGACTTTGGCAGAGGAATATCACTTCATTATCCAAGTGCCTCACAGAGATGAGAGCCGGTGGAGACCCGTCCTCACTCGCCTTTGACCCCAGCTCCCGGTACCCTAGCAATTGGGCACATTTAACCGTGGGTCATCAGCTGATGGAGCTCATGTCTTTACTGGCTTTTTTCCCCAAGCTTGCCCTTGTTCCTAAATGGAATCTTGGGGGACCCCCTCCCCACAAGTACGTTCTTTGTGTGTCTGGGCCCAGTCAGGCCCAGATAGCTTCTCTTCCACGCGTGCCCGTGTTCTCATAACCCCATGGCTGTTCTTGGAGCTGCTCTGCCTCTCTGCCCTCTGCCTTCAGGTGGAGAATGGTATTGTTGAGGCACTGAGCAAGGCCTTTCCCCCCTCCTCCCATTTTTCTTCTTTCTCATCTCCTGACGCCTTCAAATTAAAAATTTAAGAAGGGGTCTGGGTGCGGCGGCTCACGCCTATAATCCCAGCACTTTGGGAGGCTGAGGCTGGCGGATCACGAGGTCAGGAGATCGAGACCATCCTGGCTAACACGGTGAAACCCTGTCTCTACTAAAAATACAAAAAATTAGCCAGGCGTGGTGGCGGGTGCCTGTAGTCCCAGCTACTCGGGAGGCTGAGGCAGGAGAATGGCGTGAACCCGGGAGGCGGAGCTTGCAGTGAGCCGAGATTGTGCCACTGCACTCCAGCCTGGGCGACAGAGCGAGACTCCATCTCAAAAAAAAAAAAGAAAAACATTTAAGAAGGGGAAAATTCCTTGCTTAACCTAAAATGTGGCCTTGAGGCCTGGTCACCCTGTGCCATTGAGACCTGGGGTGTGAGGTTCATTCACGAGCCTCTGGTCTCCTGGAAGGGTCTGGTCTGTTCATTCATGAGCAGGGTAATTAAATAACTCTTTGTAAGAGTCAGGGAGCTCCTTGCTAAGTGGTCTTCCCCAGTTGGAGCGCAAACACAGGCTGAAGTCCTCTCCTTTCTCAACACCCACCTCCCCCTTCCCTTTAAAGGGAGGATTTTATGCTTTAAGGGAAATGGGGAAGGTTGGGGGGGGGCAACACCTTAAAGGAATTTTAGGCAGATTCAGCATTTTTCTGGTGTTGCTCCAAAAATTCCCCACACTGTAATAAAAAGATACAACTGTGAGCAGGCATCTGATTAGTGAGCTTTTTACAACACAGCTTTTCTTTTGGATGCTTTAAAATGAACACATACTGTTTTAAAACAAGCCCCTGTACAGTTTTCTGGGGAGGGGGAGAAGTTTGTGGAAAATACCGGAAAAGGTTATAAAGCTGAGGGAAATTAACAAAGGACTGTGAGTTTTGCCTTCAGAGGTTAACTATCAGCGAGAGGCCAAGGCTCTTCCTTAGTCCTTGTACTGACTGAACTTCCCAGCCCCTCGACACGTGGCCCGGGAAGTCCCTGGGAGCAAAGCGTCCACACAGACCTTTGTGGGGAGACTCGTGTGGGCTGTGGGCCCGATTCAGGGAACTGTGTTTCTGTGAAGATGAAGCTGAGCATTTCCCAGAAATGAGCCCAAATGGCGGGGAATTCAGGGCAAAGGGGAATCTCTGTAGTGGCAATGGGGGATGTCGTGCGGGGTCCCCAGAAGGTGTGATGTCCACACAAGGGTGTGTGTTCGAGGGGCCTTTGCTGTTGCCGAATGGTTTTGCTGGAAAGCTTGTTTTTTGTGTGTGCTTAGAGATAGTCCCGGCAGGAGGAGACTGGAGCTGTCCTAACGGGAGGACAGAGGCTGCTGGTGGGGGAGCTGGAGGGGACAGCGAGGGAGGAGCAGGCAGGAGTCTCCCTGCGGTGGGTTAGGGCACCAAATGGACTTCAGGGCCCTTGTTCACACACAGCAGCATTCACGACATCCATGCATTGCAGTTTTTCTGGGCTGGGCCATTAACCTCAGCAGAAAAATGCTTTTTCCAGGGGGTGTCTGGCAGCACATTGCTGGCGGGCTGCACAGATGAAACAGAAACCCACCTGACACTTCCCCGTCCTGCTACAGATCTCAGGCTCCAGTCCCCACCCAGCTTCCTCTGCCCCCAGAGGCCCCCACCCTTGGCAGACAAGGCTTCCACCCCTTGCCTAGGTGGCTGACAGGCCTGGCATGGGGGCACCTCGATCTCAGGTCCATACTCCACTCACTCCCTTGCTCCTCCTCCTCCTCCTCCTGTTGGCCGGTGCCAGGTTTCAGTGGGTCCTGGCTGCATGAAACAAAGCATTGTGAGGCTCTGCTGAGGGTCTCCCACCCACCCTCCCTCCCGCCTCCTTCCCAGCAGCTCCTCGAGTCTTCCTTTCCAGGCCAGGTTTGTTGTCCCGAATTGGGAAAATAAGCAAAAGCTTCTTGTGTTTCAGAACACCCTCCTCCACACCAAAAGGGTGGATGTGCTGTGCCTCCCGGAAGAGGGCTTTCTCCCCCGCTTCACACTTGATGCCAATGTGTCCTTCCTTCCCTGGGCGTTCAGGTCTTTGGTGTAGCCTTCAGAGCTGAGTTCCCTCAGCAAGAAAGTTCAAAGATTGCCAGCGCTCACAAGTTTATTAGCAGTTGATGGATACTTTGCAGAAACAAGTGAATGCCTGATGAGTCACCTTCTCCCTGTCCCTGTCTTGTTTTCCATATGTTCCAGTACGTATGTGCACACAGAAACACACATAACACACACTCGTACACACTGACATCATGGACACAGTCTTGCACACGCACATGCACAAGCACTGGACTTCCAAGCTACATGGGGGGTGGTGACCGGCCAGTTTTCTGGTGTTGATTTTTAGTGGGGGTTGGGGGTTGAGGGAAAGGAATGAGACCTCAGTGTCCCCTTTTTGTGGAGCTTTTGGGGCAGGCATTTGGGAAGGCCAGCTTGGGGTGTCTGTAGGGAACCGCTGCTCTGGGTGTGTGTGTCTGTGGCTGCCCCAGCAGGCCGCAGTGTGCACATTTGTATGGCCTTACTGACGGGCACCTCCATCCAACACTGGCTGCTACTTAAAACAACAACAACAACAACAACAACTGAGTGGAGCCAGTGGGTTCCCAGGTCCTAACACGCCTGTAAAAGTTGGAGCCAGTTAGTGTCCTGGGCTGCCCCAGTTACCCAGCCTGCTGGGGCAGCAGGATGCGGCCCCATCTTCCGCCATGGACCCCCTGCAGGGTGCAACCCATCATCATTGACTCTGAACCCAGTTACTCCAGAAACACAAAGGCCACACCAAAACACATCTCACACTCAACCCCTGCTTTGTGCCCCCCAGGTCCCCAAGAGGAGGAGCTGGGGCTGCAGGGAGCGAGGGCAAGGCCCTGACCGACGTGGGGCCCTTCCCCTCTGCTTTTCCCCCTCTGCTGTCCCCATTTTTGTTAACAAATACAAGACTTCCGGTCTCCACCCTGCTGCCACAAACCACAGCGTTCCTGCAGTCTGGCTGGGCTGGGGAGATTTATGGTCCCAAGTCTGAGGCCTGCCCGCTGGCTCCTACTTAAGGAGGAGTCAGAATGCCCGCCGCCGGGGCTCCCTTTCCCTCCGTGTGACCCCCCTTTTAAAGTCCTCCAAGTGCCTGTTGAGGAAAATTACCTTACCAGAATCACCCCGGCCCCCAGGCTGCCTGTGGGAAGACTGTGTAGGGAAGCGGGGCGGGGCCTGCAGGGGAGGGATGAGGGCGGAGCAGGGCGCCCTGCAGGCTCCAGATGCTTCTGTGGAAGGAGGGGAGAGAGGGGGCACCCCTGGGGATGGGGGTGCCGGCAGAGAAGGGGAGAAGGGGGACGCATCTATTTGAGACACATAATCTTCTGTCTGGGCTGGAGGAAGCTTTGTTAAGGTAGCCCGGGTTAATACCGGTCTGCATGTTGTGATTTGGCATTTTGACATGAATTCACCCTTTGTGTACAGGGCTGCTGCTGACACACTGAGACTGTTTTCCTATTAGGAATATAGATGTTTTTGTCCCAAGCCACCCTCATTTTTATTTTTACCAGATAGGTTCCTCATGACCACGGCACTGATTTGAGAGCTGGGTGACAGGCACCCAGAGACCATCGCATAGGTGGTCCCAGAGTCTAGACACCTGGGTTCTAGCTCTGGCTGTGTCATCCCCTGGTACTCCAGCAGCAGGCTTTCTGGGTCCTGGTTTTCTCATCAGGATGACAAGGGGCTGGAGGAGCTGGCCTTCAAGGTTCCATCCAGTTGAAAGATCTGTAACTCCAGGACGTTGCTGAGGCTTTTTGAGGCCCTAAAAGCAGACTACCCAAGCTATTAAGGGTCCCTTTGCATCTGTGCTCTGCAGAGAAGAGGCTTTGTTGGCCAGGTGGGCACAGATGCTGGTGTACTGGACTCCTGATGGGCAGGGGCCTGGAGAGAAGCAGCACCCAGCGCTTCCTATGCTTAAAGAAAGGCAGGGTCCTGGTCAAAGGGCTGTAAGAGCCTGGGCAAGTCCAGGACTAGCCTCACCGCCTCCTTCTTTCTGTCTCGTCCTGAGAGATGAGCTGGTGACTGGGTGCAGTGGGGGGGCGGGTGTCTTCATTCTAGGAGTCACCAATGCCTGTCCCCACTAACCCTCTCTGCCAATGTGTTTTCTAGATTCCCAACTTCTTCTGGAGCCTGGGGATCGGTCACACTGGTGCGTGGTGGCATACTGGGAGGAGAAGACGAGAGTGGGGAGGCTCTACTGTGTCCAGGAGCCCTCTCTGGATATCTTCTATGATCTACCTCAGGGGAATGGCTTTTGCCTCGGACAGCTCAATTCGGACAACAAGAGTCAGCTGGTGCAGAAGGTGCGGAGCAAAATCGGCTGCGGCATCCAGCTGACGCGGGAGGTGGATGGTGTGTGGGTGTACAACCGCAGCAGTTACCCCATCTTCATCAAGTCCGCCACACTGGACAACCCGGACTCCAGGACGCTGTTGGTACACAAGGTGTTCCCCGGTTTCTCCATCAAGGCTTTCGACTACGAGAAGGCGTACAGCCTGCAGCGGCCCAATGACCACGAGTTTATGCAGCAGCCGTGGACGGGCTTTACCGTGCAGATCAGCTTTGTGAAGGGCTGGGGCCAGTGCTACACCCGCCAGTTCATCAGCAGCTGCCCGTGCTGGCTAGAGGTCATCTTCAACAGCCGGTAGCCGCGTGCGGAGGGGACAGAGCGTGAGCTGAGCAGGCCACACTTCAAACTACTTTGCTGCTAATATTTTCCTCCTGAGTGCTTGCTTTTCATGCAAACTCTTTGGTCGTTTTTTTTTTGTTTGTTGGTTGGTTTTCTTCTTCTCGTCCTCGTTTGTGTTCTGTTTTGTTTCGCTCTTTGAGAAATAGCTTATGAAAAGAATTGTTGGGGGTTTTTTTGGAAGAAGGGGCAGGTATGATCGGCAGGACACCCTGATAGGAAGAGGGGAAGCAGAAATCCAAGCACCACCAAACACAGTGTATGAAGGGGGGCGGTCATCATTTCACTTGTCAGGAGTGTGTGTGAGTGTGAGTGTGCGGCTGTGTGTGCACGCGTGTGCAGGAGCGGCAGATGGGGAGACAACGTGCTCTTTGTTTTGTGTCTCTTATGGATGTCCCCAGCAGAGAGGTTTGCAGTCCCAAGCGGTGTCTCTCCTGCCCCTTGGACACGCTCAGTGGGGCAGAGGCAGTACCTGGGCAAGCTGGCGGCTGGGGTCCCAGCAGCTGCCAGGAGCACGGCTCTGTCCCCAGCCTGGGAAAGCCCCTGCCCCTCCTCTCCCTCATCAAGGACACGGGCCTGTCCACAGGCTTCTGAGCAGCGAGCCTGCTAGTGGCCGAACCAGAACCAATTATTTTCATCCTTGTCTTATTCCCTTCCTGCCAGCCCCTGCCATTGTAGCGTCTTTCTTTTTTGGCCATCTGCTCCTGGATCTCCCTGAGATGGGCTTCCCAAGGGCTGCCGGGGCAGCCCCCTCACAGTATTGCTCACCCAGTGCCCTCTCCCCTCAGCCTCTCCCCTGCCTGCCCTGGTGACATCAGGTTTTTCCCGGACTTAGAAAACCAGCTCAGCACTGCCTGCTCCCATCCTGTGTGTTAAGCTCTGCTATTAGGCCAGCAAGCGGGGATGTCCCTGGGAGGGACATGCTTAGCAGTCCCCTTCCCTCCAAGAAGGATTTGGTCCGTCATAACCCAAGGTACCATCCTAGGCTGACACCTAACTCTTCTTTCATTTCTTCTACAACTCATACACTCGTATGATACTTCGACACTGTTCTTAGCTCAATGAGCATGTTTAGACTTTAACATAAGCTATTTTTCTAACTACAAAGGTTTAAATGAACAAGAGAAGCATTCTCATTGGAAATTTAGCATTGTAGTGCTTTGAGAGAGAAAGGACTCCTGAAAAAAAACCTGAGATTTATTAAAGAAAAAAATGTATTTTATGTTATATATAAATATATTATTACTTGTAAATATAAAGACGTTTTATAAGCATCATTATTTATGTATTGTGCAATGTGTATAAACAAGAAAAATAAAGAAAAGATGCACTTTGCTTTAATATAAATGCAAATAACAAATGCCAAATTAAAAAAGATAAACACAAGATTGGTGTTTTTTTCTATGGGTGTTATCACCTAGCTGAATGTTTTTCTAAAGGAGTTTATGTTCCATTAAACGATTTTTAAAATGTACACTTGATTTCATGTTGTCCTCCAACTCCTTTTTCTTCTGCTGCTTGGAGGGAGTGGGGAGGAGTGAGTATTCATCCAAATTCAGTTGAGTTGGCGTCTTCCCAGCCCAGTGCTTGGAGGATGGGAGACGTGGGCCACAAAAGAGACATCTAGAACAGCCCTGGTCTTCAAGAGTGCTGGAAAGACCTGCAGCCACCCAGACATCCCTCCTTCTTGTGTCTTGAATTTGTAATGGGAGACAACCTACAGGAGCTCTGTGGGTGATAATTCAAAGCTTGTAGAATTGAGGACAGGGAATTACATCTAGGGTAATGGGAAGGAGACAGGATTAGAGGATGGATGGATGGAGAAGTTTAGCCCCAAGAACCTGGGTCCATCTGGTTCTTGCCAACTCCTCACTTGGTATTAAATCCTAAGCCTACTGTACCCCTGCTAGACTGGATTCCAGGAGAAGTTTCCTGGGGGCTGAGACCCTGGAAGGGTGATGAAGGTGGGGGTTGAATGTCAGTGGTGTTCAGAGGGACTAGGCCACCTCCTGGCGCCCTCCCAAATACTGTCCTGGGCCACAGAAGTCACAGAGTACAAGTTCCACTCTGCAATATCGTCCCTTGTCTGCTGGGACTTAAGTGACAGTTCACTAGTCCCCTTCCCCAGCCTAGCTCTGGTGGCACTTGCAGTCAAAATGCCTCTTCAGTGCTGTCTTTGCATCAGCCTGCCTTGGTTCGCTGCTGAACCGTGATCTGAGCCATGTTTTAGATTTGGGAAATCTTGCACAAGAGATGGTCTAAATTGGGTACCAAACAAACGGCTGTGCAGGTGTCTATGTAAGGGGTTTTGAACCTTATATCCAGGAAGGGGGTCCTTTTGAAGTGGGGGTTAAGATTTGAATATCATAAGCCTGTACAATTTCATGAAAGCTTTTTGGAAGGCCAATGTAGGACAGCCAACTTTCTATTTTGCCAAAAAATGACCAAAAGCGCTACAGCCTACTGGCGCCACCACTTCATTAAAGGGAATGACAGTACAATTGGTTAGCAAGAAATATTAATACATGTTGATTGCTGATTTATGCTCCAGGGCATTAATGCCAAGTGGTCATCCTGGCCAACTTGTTTACATGTGATAGGGAGCTTACTACCTCTAAAAGTAGCTTTTGCTTTTTTTTGTTTTTTTTGAGATGGAATCTCGCTTTGTCGCCCAGGCTAGAGTGCAGTGATCTCGGCTCACTGCAGCCTCTGCCTCCCGGGTTCAGGCAATTTTGCTGCCTCAGCCTCCTGAGTAACTGGGATTACAGGAACACACTACCACACCCGGCTAATTTTTTGTATTTTTAACAGAGATGGGGTTTCATCACGTTGGCCAGGCTGGTCTTGAACTCCTGACCTTAGGTGATCCACCCGCCTCGGCCTTTCCCAAAGTGTTGGGATTACAGGTGTGAGCCACCACGCCTGGTCGCTTTTTGCTTTTTATCATTGAACTGAAACTTGCTTACATCGTAGTTCTGTAACCCAGAATAAGTGCAAAATCTCATCTCTAGAAAACACCCAAGGAGGGTTCTAATTAACTCTAGGGTGGTAGCGGCGGAGGAGGGGCAGGGAGGGAAGGTGTTTCACTGGGGGCTGTCAAAGTTATTTTAGTTTGCTCTAAATTGCGTCGGCATGCCCGGAAGCTCTTTAATAATTGTAGCTACCATTTACTGAATGCTTCACTAGGTGCCAGGCATAATGTTCAGGCGTTTGAGGGAATTCTCATTTCATCTTCATTAGGACACGCTGCAAAAATGGAGGCTTTGAGAGGTGAAATGACTGGCTCAAGGTCACACAGTGAGATAGTAAGTGGTTAGGGAGATCAGGATCTGACTCCGGGCTGAGTGGTTCTTCCTGCTTGGTCCACGCCCTGTTGAGATGTTTATTTGGTAGGATCCTGTGTGGCTCCAGTCCCACAACTCCCTGAAATGGAGAGAAGGTGGGAGGGTGGTCCGCCACGTTTCCTCCTGACCACTTGCGCAAGGCCTCTGGATTTGGGAGGCAGAAGCTGTGGCTTCTGGAGGAAGGAGAGGCTGGAACAGGGGTGGAGGTGTGTGGGTTCTGGCAGCATGGCTGATTCCGGGTGGTGGGGAAAGAGGAGTGCTTAGGAGGAGTCTGGCATTTGCTGGTTTCTGACACTTCCCTCTTTTTGCCGGCAAGCCCGTCACCCACAGTCATCTCCTGAGCACCTTCAATGTGCCGCAGCGGGCACGGAGGTAACGTGGACCTGGACGGTGCCTGTGAGTGATGCTGGGGGACAAGACGCCACACCTGAGATGATCAGCAACAGAGCAGGCAGAAGAAAAGGCGAGGACCCAGGAGGAGGCCTGGTCTTGGGGCCACAGGTGCTTGCAGAGGAGGTGGGACTTTCAGCTCAGATGGCATTGAGATTAGCAGAGTAGGGGGAGAAGGTACCCCATTGGAAGGAAGTTTTCCTGCCTCTTGGTACTCCTTCCTTTCAGTTTGCCCCTTAAATTTCAGGGTATCTTATATAATTCGATCTCAGGCTCTGCTCAGGCTACACCCTCTCCCTGGATGACAGCATCACTCTGGTGGTTCTGTCTCCCTCAGACCTGTAGATGCCTCAGCTGTCCCAACCAGAAACCTGGATTCCCCATCCTTGCCCCTGTCCCCCATAATGAAAAAAAACAAATTCCCTCCATCCTGTTTCACCCGATCAATAATTATAAAATGCAAATATCTCTCTCAGAGTTCTGTTTTCTCTACCCCCACTAGCATGACTTATTTCAGGGCCTGTAAGTTTTCCCTGGGTCTCCCTTACCTCTGGTGAAAGTAGCCCTTCAGCATCCACCTCTGCCAACCTCTCCCCTGAGTCCCCAGCCCTCCACGCACAGAAACCTTTTGTTCCAGGCATGCAGGGGGATGCACTGTGCTGCAGGCCCGCCGTGCTCATGCGCTTCTGCAGCAAGTGCTTTGCAGCCACTTCAATTAGCTATCTCCTCCTTATCCTTTGGGATGTGATGCAGGCAACACTTCCTCCAAGAAGCCTCCTCCCTTTAAAAAATTTCTGTCTGGGCGGGCGCGGTGGCTCACGTCTGTAATCCCAGCACTTTGGGTGGCTGAGGCGGGCGGATCACCTGAGGTCAGGAGTTCGAGACCATCCTGGCCAACACGGTGAAACCCCCGTGTCTACTAAAAATACAAAATTAGCCTGGCATGGTGGTCGGCGTCTGTAATCCCAGCTACTTGGGAGGCTGAGGCAGGAGAATCACTTGAACCCGGGAGGCGGAGGTTGTGGTGAGCCAAGATTACGCAATTGCACTCCAGCCTGGGCGACAAGAGTGAAACTTTGTCTCAAAAAAAAAAAAAAATTTGTCCTGAAGAATGTTCAATAGTGTAAGATTCTCTCTTCTGCTGAACTATAAGCTCTTGGCACCCTGGGGTCTCAACTGGAGTCTCAGTTAGGATTCACTGCCCTGACAATTCCTGGTGTGGTACTCAGACAGGACTTGTCTCATGAACGAGGCATATTTGTGGGCTTAGCTTGGGCTGGGAATAATTGTCATCATCTTCATCATCAAGAGGCAACACTGAGTATGTCCTGACTCTGTGCTAGGCAGTGTTCTAAGCACTTTACACTGGGATTGTCCCATATGATCCTCACAGCCACTCTGCGAGTGGATACCATGATCATCACTCCCATTCTACAGATAAATAGGTTCAAAGAATTGCCCACAGTCTCCCAGCTGTTAAGCGATAGCATCAGATTTCATCACTTCTGTGTTATCTAATCTCTCTGGGCAGGCCTGGCTCAAGGAGTTGGGTATATGTTTTTTCTAAAACAAGTTCTGGTTTGGAAGGACCAAGCTGATCTGACTGCTGAGCAACAGAAACAACACCTGCCATTTGTACTTGTCAGTGCATACCAAGGGTCATGCTGCCTGTGCCCCCACGCCGCAGAGGACGTGGGCAGGCCTTCCCTGATTCAGGAAGGGCCTGACCCTCCAATGGGTGAGTGATTTGCCCGGGACCACCTATGCACAGCCTGTGATGGAAGCTGGATTTGCACCCAAACCTATAGCAAGCGATGACTTCTCGCTGGGTCTATTAAGCTCCCAACACTCAGCAGCCTGCAAAGGACCTGTTTGTCAGCTCAGCCGGTGTGCCCTCAATGAGCAACTCCTGATTGTCCCTGAGGGTGTGCTGGGGGCAGGCAAGGTGGGGGCCTGATGTGAAATAGGATGTGGCTCACAGTCACCGGTTTGGGGGTCAGACAGATCTGGGTTTGAGCACTCACTTGGGCAAGTCACAACCTCTCTGAACCTCAATTTCCAAAGCACAAAGTGTGTATTATACTTTCATGAGGCTAAAATCGGGACTGGGGAGAAAATTCATGTGAAGAGCTGACCATATGCTAATTAGGTTGAACCACGTGGGATTGCTAATATCTGATCATGTTGACCCACAATAATGGCAATTTCAGATACTTTATGAGATACTTAATCCAAGGCAGCCAGCCGTAATCAGGGGTCCCCACCCTTCTTTTCATCCCGCAGCTGCAGTCAGAGGCTGGTGGTGCCCTCTGGGTGGTGGATTTTGCAGCAAGTGAGAGAAGACAGTTGGAAAGCCAGTCCATGGATAGTAGGGGGGTGGCCAATATTGAGGCGATTCCTTCCTGCTCAAAATGTCATCCAACTGCTGAGTCCAGGCCAGGGCAGGAAGCAAAGACCACCAGCAGCCAGGGCTGCAGGGTTGGGGTGTCCTGGCCTCAGGAGGAGGGGTGCGTGGGCCCAGGCTGCCACCCTTGGAGCCAGGAGCAGCCCGCACAGTCCCTGGTTTCCTGGCGGCTCTCAAGCAGGAGGCCCGAGCTGCTAGCTCAGCAGTTTTCCCTCAGCCAGAAGAACCCCGCTCTCTTTCTGAAAGTAATGATTTTCTAAAAATGGATTCCCTCCCCTCCCCCAGCTGCAATTAATCTACCCAACACAAAGTGGCCGCTGGAGGAGGACTCTGGTGAGTTGGGACTAGTGCAAGTGCTTTGATTAATTCAGGGACAATTTCCTGGCTGGGCTGGGGGTGAGAGGCTGGGCAGGGACGCGCTGCCTGGGTCGGGGGTGGCCCACTGCAGGGTCCATTTAAACAGCTATGAGAGCCACGGAGACCTGGGAGAGCTGGGAGCCTCTTCCTAGGGAGCCTGTGCCCGCCTTCCTGGGGATTTGAGAGGCAGAGTCTGCCATGGACATGTGCCCAGGTGCCAGGGGAAGCTCTTGCTAAGCCTGGAGCTGCCTGGAGCTGCCATTTTAGTGGAAGCTTAGGGGGAGAAGGAATACAATTGTTTCTACCATAAGCCCTTATATCTTACGTAGTAGAATGCAAACTTGACCTGAATTGTTGAGAAAAAACAAGACACTTCAAGGACACGTGGTTGCCCTTGATGTTGCTTTAGGTGGTGGCCCCAGGCCCTGGCAGTTTCTCTTCTGCAGTGGGCATTTTAGTGGAAAAGTGTAAGATCAGTGGGACACAGAAGCGCTGGGGACAGAAATAGAGTGTGTATATTAGGACTGCTTTGAACCTTAAAGAAAATAGAGATGTGTCATAGACAACTGTATTGAATCCATTCTCCGCAGTGTAGACTGCCCTTTGATACACGTTCCTCTAATGATTCTGGATGGGAGCTCTGACTACCCCCATTTTAGAAGAAACTGAGGCTAAAAGAGATGAGCGACTTACACAAGTCACCCAGCCAAGAGGTGGCCGAGCAGTTTTCCTTAAGCCTAACCCAGGGCTCTTTTGTCCAAAGCCTGGTGCTCACCACTCTGTCCCATGCCCATTTCAAACTCCAGGTCTTGCACTCTGCCTGCCCAGATCCCAGCAGTAATGAGTGACCTGGGGTCGAGACATTTCATTCCCAGGGAATACTTATGCATTTCCCTCATTTCCCAGCCTCCCTTGCAGTTTGTTTGGGACCATGTGACCAGTTCTGGCCAATGGGCTGTGAGAAGTGCCATGTGTCACTTCCAAGCTAAAGCATTGAAAAATTGGTGCAGGGTGACCCAGCTCTCTCTCTCTCTCTCTCTCTCTCTCTGCCACAGGGACCTGGAAGATATGTTTTAGGATGATGGAGACAGAAGATGGAAAAGCGTTCGGATCCTGAATGGCTGCTCTGGAGAGCCCCTGGGCCCGCTGCAGACTTTGTTTGAATGTGGAACTTTTTCTTTGTGGCTGAGATTTGGAGGTTTGCCTATCCAGATGATTATGTGACCTGTGCCCCACACTCAGTCCCTTGCAGAATCTGGCTTGCTTCTTTCTTTTATGGAGGTGGGTCTTGTATCTCCAGCGTCTGGGAGCTCCTTGAGGTCAGGCACGAGCCCAGCCCTCATGCTTACTTGAATCCTTTCACAGTCACAGTACAAAGCCCAGCACTGGGCTCGTAGTAGGTGATGAGTAAATACCTGCTGTAATTGGCATGAAGTGCCTCTCCAGTGGTGCCCCATGAGGGACTGCCACCAGGTGTCCTCCAAGGGCACAGTCTCCCACCTGGTCCAGGGCTCCTCTCTGATGAAACCCTGCCCTTGCCTGCTCCTCAGCTACGTAGTCTTTGAAACGGCTCTTCACCTTCTCCTCAACCTCATCTGGTTGAGGCCAGGGGCCACTTTAACCTGGCCAAAGCCAGTACCCTCTGGGCAAGGAGAGAGAGGCTCAGAGCAGAGCTCCGGCTCCAGTGAACACATTGATTAGAGTCATCAGACCACGTTCCCAGCTCCTCTTGCCTATCCTGCTTGATTTTTCTTCATATTGGTGGTTGACATTATACTTACTGTATTATATACACATTTGCCTTTTTTTTTTTTTTTGAGACAGAGTTTTGCTCTTGTTGCCCAGGCTGGAGTGCAATGGCATGATCTCAGCTTACTGCAACCTCCGCCTCCCAGGTTCAAGTGATTCTCCTGTCTCAGCCTCCGGAGTAGCCGGGACTACAGGCGCACACCACCATGCCTGGCTAATTTTGTATTTTTAGTAGAGATGGGGTTTCACCAGGTTGGCCAGGCTGGTCTCGATCTCTTGACCTCATGATCCGCCTGCCTTGGCCTCCCAAAGTGCTGGGATTACAGGTGTGAGCCACCGTGCCTGGCCTATGTTTGACATTTTATTATATATCTGTTTGTTGGCTTGACTATTATCAGAGGCCCCTAGTAGAGTGTGAGCTCTGTGACAGCAGGGACTTTGCTCTGGTCACTGCCATAACCCCAGAATCTAGAACAATGCCCAGCACATAGAAGGGATAGAAGGCACTCAACCGATATTGGATGGATCAATGTTGAATGACTATTTAACTTTTCAACTAAAATATATGAATTTAAGTTCCAGGTGAATTCCTTTTTTTTATCTTTTTTCTTTTTTTTTAGAGACAGGGTCTCTGTTGCTCAGGCTGTAGTGCAGTGGCATGATCATAGCCTTGAACTCCTGGGCTCAAATGATCTTCCTGCCCTCAGCCTCCCAAATAGCTGGAACTAAAGGTGAGCACCACCCTGCCTGGCTAATTTTTTAATTTTTTTGTTGAGACGGAGACTCGCTACATTGCCCAGGCTGGTTTCCAACTGCTGGTCTCTAGTGATCCTCCTGCCTTGCTGGGATTATAGGAATGAGCCACTGTGCTCAGCCAAATTCCCTTTTCCCCAAGAAAAGTGGGTATGGGACCAGGTGCAGTGGCTCACGCCTGTAATCCTAGCACTTTGGGAAGCCGAGGTGGGCGGCTTGCCTGAGCTCAGGAGTTTGAAACCAGCCTAGGCAACATGGTGAAACCCAGCCTCTATTAAAAATTAGCTGGTGTGCACCTGTAGTCCCAAATACTCGGGAAGCTGAGGCAGGAGAATTGCTTGAACCTGGGAGGCAGAGGCTTCAGTGAGCGAGATTGCACCACTGCACTCCAGCTTAGGGGACAGAGCGAGACTCCATCTCCAAAAAAAAAAAAGAAAAGAAAAGTGGGTATGTACTTACTTTATAACACTAGTGAAAATAAAAAGCACATTATTATATTCTTTTCTCCCAAAAGGTGAATGCAAAACTTTACCTCTTAGGGTGGTGGTAATAGCGACAACTACACCCACAATAATAATAACAAAAACCTGCGTTTACTTAGGGCTAAGTATGTGCCAGGCACTCTCTGCAAGGTACTTTTTTTTTTTGTTTTTTTTTTTGAGACAGTTTCACTCTTGTCACCCAGGCTGAAGTACAGTGGCATGATGGCATGATCTCTGCTCACTGCAACCTCCGCCTCCCAGACTCAAGCAATTCTCGTGCCTCAGCCTCCCGAGTAGCTGGGATTACAGGCGTGAGCCACCGCGCCTGGCCTACGTTGTGTTGTCTTTAAGGTAAGCGCTCTCATTAGCTCATTTTACAGGTGAAGACTTGCAGGCCCAGCGAGAGACTCACAGCAAAAGCGTGGTAGAACCGAAGCCCAGGTCTGCCTAACTCCACAGCCCTTGCTCTGAGCCCTGGGTCTCCAGGGGAGCCTAGAGACACCAGCAGCCTTGAAAGAGTAGTTTTCCCAGCTTCTGTTCCTTAAGGTCGAGACAGAAACACGCTAAGGCCTGATCCCACTGAGGCAGCTCGAGACTCTGGGGGTCTCTCTGCAGGAAGGGCTTGCTCCTTGGCCAAGCTGTCCTGTCCCAACCGGGGCTGTAATGTTCACTGTGTATGGGCGTCGTGTCATCAGCACCAAATCTTCTAATGACACACTGCAGCCAGGGAAATTACAGTGCCCGGGAGACTTGTCCCAGAGGCCCTGCCCGAGGTAATTCCAGAGCAGGAGCGCATGCTGGGAAATAACAAGAATGACAGAGTCTGGCTGCCAGCCTTAGATAATGGAATGGTGAGTGATTTTATTTTACTTATACAGATCTTTTTCTTGAATTTTAAAAATATTGAAAAATGGTATCAAAAGTAAAAATTAGCGCTAACCTCATCATTTAAATTATGCCCTCCAACTTCACTCCCCAGAGGTGAGCATGCTGGAGACTCAGATATGTCCCCTTTCTGAATTGGCTTCTGCCTCTACATATGCACATATACAATTCTCACCAATGGAGTCACATTCTACATATCAGCCTGCGCCCTGCTTATGTCACTTAATGATACATCACAGACATTTTTGGAGATTATTCATTTTCATGGTTGTCTAGTAGTGGAGCAGAATTTAAAAGATGCTAGTGTTCATTTAAAGATATGCTACTTAGTACTGAATGGGAGTGAGGACGTGGTGCAACAGGAACTCTTGTGTGATGATGCTGGGGGTATAAACTGGTTAACTTTTTGGCAGTATCTACCAAAGCTAAAGAGAATCATACCTGCATCAGAAATGCACACATATATTCACTAAAATATATGTGTCTTTTAGTGAATATATTCTTGAACATGTACAAGAATACTCACAGCAGGCCGGGTACAGTGGCTCACACCTGTAATCGCAGCACTTTGGGGGGCCTAGGCAGGCAGATCACTTGAGTTCGGGAGTTTGAGACCAGCCTGGCCAATATGGTGAAACCCCACCTCTACTAAAGAAAATGCAAACATTAGTCTGGCATGTTGGCACATGCCTGCAATCCCAGCTATTTGGGAGACTGAGGCAGGAGAATCGCTTGAACCTGGGAGGCGAAAGTTGCAGTGAGGTGAGATGACACCACTGCACTCCAGCCTGGGTGACACAGTGAGACTCTGTCTCAAAATAAAAAAATAAAGTATATTAATAGCAGCACTATTGATAATAGCTCTAAACTGAAACAACTCAAATATCTGTCAAAAGTCGATGGTTATTTACACAGTGCACATCATGCAACAATGGGCATGAAAGAACTCCAACTCTACACGGCAGCAGGATGATCTGCACAGTTATAACGCTGGGCCAAAGAAGGCACACACAGAAAAGTCTACACTGTATGATTCCCTTTATATAAAGTTCAAAATCAGGCGAAACCAATTTGTGGTGTTAGATGTCAGGAAGTGGGCACGAGAAGAACTTCTAGGGGCTGATGATGTCCTGTTTCTTGATCTTAGGGCTGGTTACACGGGGTGTACAGTTTGTGAAAATTGTGCACTTTTCTACATGTGTTATACATCAGTTAAAGTCTATATATATATATATATATATATATTTTTTTTTTTTTTTTTTGAGACAGAGTCTTGCTCTGTCGCCCAGGCTGGAGTGCGGTGGCATGATCTCGGCTCACTGCAAGCTCCGCCTCCCGGGTTCACGCCATTTTCCTGCCTCAGCCTCCCGAGTAGCTGGGACTACAGGCACCCGCCACCATACCCGGCTAATTTTTTGTATTTTTAGTAGAGACGGGGTTTCACTGTGTTAGCCAGGATGGTCTCGATCTCCTGACCTTGTGATCTGCCCGCCTCAGCCTCCCAAAGTGCTGGGATTACAGGCTTGAGCCACCGCGCCTGGCCAAAGTCTATATTTTTAAAGAAGTGTCAATGGCAGGCATCCCCTCCAAAAATTCAGTCTTGTTTACCCTAAGTTTGTCCCCTTCTTCCTTTTCTTCCAGCACCTAATGAGCTGCATGTAGGACAGTGCCTTATGTATGATGTGACCCAGGGAGGGAATGGGAGTTGCACGTTGTGGTTTTTAATCCCTGGGACCAGGTGGTCAGCCTCAGGTGATGACTGAGCCTGTGCTGTCCCCACGTATTTGCTCTCAGGTAGTCAGTGAGCAATGGGGTAGAGAGAATGTCAGCGGGAGGGGGTGGGAGGAGGAGGAAAAAAAGGAGGAAGAAGAGGAGGAAGAAGAGGAGGAAGAGGAAGAGGAGAAAGAGGGAAAGGTTGCTGTTCTCAGGACTGCTGAGGGGACTGTCTTGCACATGGGCACTTGCATGAGTGGTGGAATTTCTGGGGTCCTAGCTACTATTACAGCAATGACAATAACAACAACTACTACTATTATTAATAGCATCCAACTTTTCTTGAATTCTTACCTATTGCCAAACACGGAGCTGAGTGCTTTATATGCATCACTCATGTGGATCCTTTTAACACTGTGTAGTTTTTATCAGTACCCATTTGCATGTTGGAGGCTCACATACATACAGTAAGCCCCTGACCACCACACCACACAAGCCCCTGCTTGTTTTGATTATTCAGTTGTTTATCTGGAGACCTATTATGTGCATGATGCTGTCGAGGATTGAGGTATAAAAATGGATGTGTGCCAAGCATGGTGGCTCACACCTGTAATCCCACCACTTCGGCAGGCTGAGGTAGACGGATCACCTGAGGTCAGGAGTTCGAGACCAGCCTGGTCAACATGGTGAAACCCCATCTCTACTAAAAATACAAAAAAATTTAGCTGGGCATGGTGGTGTGTGCCTGTAGTCCCAGCTCCTCAGGAGGCTGAGGCAAGAGGATCACTTGAACCCAGGAGGCGGAGGTTGCAGTAAGCCAAGATCACACCACTGCACAGCCTGGGCAACAGAGTGGGACTTCATCTCAAAAAAAAAAAAAAAAAAAAAAGTATGTGATACAGTCTCTATAGTGTCTGAGCAGGTTAATAATTGGGTGCTTATCCAAACCAATTGTCAGTGCTTTATTTCTTATTTTGGGAGTGCTCAAAATAGGTGATTCATTTCTTTTGCTATTTACTTTTATCTCCTTAGCAAGATATGTTCCCTCTTTAAATATTAGAGACTAAATTAACAAATACAAAGGGAGGGCTGGGCTCAGTGGCTCACGCCTGTAATCCCAGCACTTTGGGAGGCCGAGGCGGGTGGATCACCTGAGGTCGGGAGTTCGAGACCAGCCTGACCAACATGGAGAAACCCCATTTCTACTAAAAAATACAAAATTAGCAGGGCATGGTGGTGCATGCCTGTAATCCCAGCTACTCGGGAGGCTGAGGCAGGAGAATCGCTTGAAACCAGGAGGCAGAGGTTGTGGTGAGCCGAGATAGCGCCATTGCATTCCAGCCTGGGCAACAAGAGCAAAACTCTGTCTCAAAAAACAAAACAAAACAAAACAAAAACCACCAAATACAAAGGGAGAAGAATTTTGTGAAAATCACCTCTTGTGTTTTTTACAGAGAACTTCTTGACATCTGAACACAACTCATTTCAGACTTTAAAAAAATACATTTTTATGTGCTCACTATATAATAGGTGCTCACAGAAAATTTGCTGAATGAATGCTTAAATTGTTACAAAATGACACTATTGTATGATTTTTTAAACTGCTCATTCCCTGACACAAACACACTTAATGCTGTAATGAGAACATATTTCCAGGTTCATGAACACGCAGCTACTTCTGATGCTTTCGTTCATCATTAGTAGGGATGATTTTTTTTTTCCATGTGTTTGGGAGACATTTCTGTTTCTTTTGTGGATTTCTTGTTTATGTCCTCTGCCTATTTTTTTCTCTGGGTTTGTTACTCTTTGTGGTCATTTGTCTTAAAAATTTTTTTCAAAGTAATTCATACACAAAATTTTAAAAGTCGAGTAGTATTGAAAGTCTTATAATAAAAAATTGCAGTCCACTGTTGTTTCTCTCCCACCCTAGGTTTATTCCCCAGAAGTAACCCTTTCAACTTTTCAAGCTGTTTCTTTCAGTATTTATCACTATAACTTTTTAGGGATATATAAAATATTCATTAAAAATGTAAAAATAGTATATATTCATCATCAAATATTCAAAAGACACAATAATGCATTAAATAAAATGTTAAAGCCCTTCTTAATTTCTCCAATGCTACTTTTCAGGGGTAAATTTCATTAGAATGGATTACAATAGTCCCTCCTTATCTGCAGTTTTGTTTTCCACTGTTTCAGTTACCTGTGATATATATATATATCATTTTTTATATATATGTGATATATATCATATATGATAGATATATGTGTGAGATATATATATATATGTATTTTTTTTTTTCGAGACAGCATCTTGCTCTGTCACCCAGGTTGGAGCGCAGTGGTGTGATCTTGGCTCACTGCTGCCTCGACCTCCTGGGCTCAATGCATCTTCCCACCTTAGCCTCTTGAGTAGCTAGAACTACAGGTGTGTGCCACCACACCCAACTAATTTTTGTATCTTTTGTAGAGATGTTTTTGTTTTTGTTTTTTGTTTTTTGTTTTTTGAGACAGAGTCTTGTTCTGTCTTCCAAGCTGGAGTGCAGTGGCGCAATCTTGGCTCACTGCAACCTCTGCCTCCTAGGTTGAAATGATTCTCCCACCTCAGCCTCCCAAGTAGCTGGGATTACAGGCATGTGCCACCATTTCCTGCTAATTTTTTTGTATTTTTAGTAGGGATTGGATTTCACCATGTTGAACTCCTGACCTCAAGTGATCCACCCACCCTGGCCTCCCACAGTGCTGGGATTACAGGCGTGAGCCACTGCGCCCAGCCTAGAGATGAGGTTTTGCCACGTTGCCCAGGCTGGTCGCAAACTCCTGGGCTCAAGCCATCTGCCCACCTTGGCCTCCCAAAGTGCTGGGATTACATGCGTGAGCCAGTGTGCCCAGCCATGGTCTGAAAATATTAAGTGGAAAATTCCAGAAAGAAGCAATTTATATATAAGTTTTAAATTGTGTGCCATTCTGAGTAGCGGATAAAAATCTCGTGTTGTTCTGCTCTGTCTTATCCGGGACGTGAATCATCTCTTTGTCCAGTGTGTCCATGCTGTAGGCACTTCCCACCCATTGGTCACTTAGTAGTGTCTGTTAGCAGAGCAACTGTCATCGTATTGCAGAGCTTGTGTTCAAGTAACCCTTATTTTACTTAATGATGGCCTCGAAGCCCAAGAGTAGTGATGCTGACACGTTGTCTTAGGTATTCTATTTTATTATTGTTGTTAATCTTTTACTACATCTAATTTATAAATTCAACTTCGTCATAGGTATATATGCACAGGAAAAAATATGTAGGGTTCTGTACTATCTGTAGTTTCAGGCTTCCTGGGCGTCTTGGAACATATCCCTCAAGGGTAGTGGGGTACTACTGTATATCACCATATTCCAAAATAATATTCTTATTCTTATGTTTCTTGATACATCAATTTTAGATATCATCTAATAACCTCCTAGCTGGGGATTAGCTCTCTTGCAGCATCACATTGCTTCCCTTTCCAGTGGCCAACACTTACATTATTATGACTATGCCCGTATTGTACACCCTGAGTCATATAGTATACTATGATTGCATCTATTATTTTTACACAATGTGTTGGTATTTCTGAAGTTGAGTTGTCTAGGTTCTTTTCATTTGCTTCAAGTCCATTGTATTTTTTGCCATTGGTTTCCACACTCTTCAATTACTTCTCAATATAGTTTTTCTCAATGTTAAACCTACCAGATAGTTTGTCAGTTCAATTTTTTCCCCTTCTGGAGTCTCCAGCCCTCTGCCCTAGTCTGGACAGGTTGCCTCATAGGCCTGATGCACAGCAGTCACCCTGAAGCATCCCTCCACCTTCTATTGGGTGGGATCCCTCGTTACCGGCATCCCATGACTTTACCTTTCTTGGTTTAGTCCCTCATTTTGGTGCCAATTGTCTTTAAGTAGCCTGCCTGCCTGCCTGCCTGCATTCCTTCCTTCCTTCCTTCGTTCCTTCCTTCCTTCCTTCCTTCCTTCCTTCCTTCCTTCCTTCCTTCCTTCCTTCGTTCCTTCCCTTCCTCCCTTCCTTCCTTCCTTCCTTCCCTTCCTCCCTCTCTCCTTCCCTCCTTCCTTGCTGCCTTCTTTCCTTCCCTCCTTCCTTCCTTCTTTCCATCTCCCTTTCTCCTCCTTCTCTTTCTTCTTCTTCTAAGCATAACCAAGGGCTTCACAGCAAGAGACAAGGGAAGAAGGACCCACTGGCAGCTTCAGCCTCTGGTCTGTTGTCTCAGCAATTCCACTCTGGCCCTGGACTTGCACTTAGCAAAACTAAAGCCCTGCAAATGACTACACCCACCCTGTTCACAAGGTGAGGGTTTTTTAGGGGCCACCAGGTGTTACCAGAGCTTGCCTGTTAGGGATTCACTCCCTGCCCATTCATGCCTCAAACTATATGGAGAACCCCCTGCAGGGGAATACTCTATCCTGTTGCTTTCTTGATTACTTTTGGTTCCACTGTGTAAAGGGACCCTGAGGACTGAATCCAGCACCTCAAAAGCCACCTGCCTAAAAAGGCAGTCGCATTCTTTCCATTCCCCTCTGCTCTTCCCCATGTGTTTTTCCTCTCTCCCTGGACTGGAAATTTTTGGATGTCAAGTTGTTTTTGTTTTGCTGGCACTGCCTCAGCTTAGGCACTCCTGGCTTCTGGCTTGAACAATTCAGGGGCCTCCTGGGCACTGTCTCGATTCGCATGCTGCCCCCTGCTAATCCATACTTCTAGTTAGGGCAGAGAGTATGTTGTAACATCCAACATTGAGTTATTTTGTTTGTAAAAAACCACATCTCCACATCTCCACACAGGCCCCTTGGCCTGAAATGCATTTCCCTGCTCTCTAGCTGATGAAACCCATCTCTTCTTTCAATGTCCAGCTCAAACATCTACTCCTTCAAGAAGGCTTCCAGTCTCTTCTGTCGGAATGAATCACATCCTGCAGCACTTTATATGACATTTTCTTCTAATCCCTGTCCTTGTCTGCCATGGGAAAGCAGAGAGAGGAGTCAAGTAACCCAGGACAGATCCTGTGGCCAACTAGCAGAGCCACAGGCCACCTCAGCTGGCCCATCTGCGTACTTGTCAGGGAGGAGAGCTTGACTTTGTTCAATACCTATTAAGTGCCATGTCCTAGGCTAAGAATTTCACTGACATAGTGCAATTACATGCTGAACCCCAAAGCTCTTTCAGCAACAAACTTCTCTGCATATGTCCACTTTGAGAGTCTGGGCAGATAATGAGATAGACAAAGAATTGGAGGTGGGGGAATGAAACAGAGAGGACATTTGTTTTTGTAGATTAGCCTACTGTCATCTGGCTCTCTATCTGGTTTAGGGGAATTCTTACTTGAGTCTTTTTTTGTTTTGTTTTTGTTTGTTTTTTATTTTTATTTTTTAAATCTGAGACTGCGTCTCACTCTGTCACCCAGGCTGGAGTGCGGTGGTGCAATCTCGGGCTCACTGCAACCTCTGCCTCCTGGCTTCAAGCCATTCTCCTGCCTCTGCCTCCTGAGTAACTGGGATTTCAGGCATGCGCCACCATGCCCAGCTAATTTTTGTAGTTTTAGTAGAGACAGGGTTTCACCATGTTGATCTGGCTGGTCTCGAACTCTGGACCTCAGGTGGTCCACTGCCTCGGCTTCCCACAGTGCTGGGATTACAGGCATGAGCCACTATGCCCGGCCCTTACTTGAGTCTTATTGAGAGGATAATGAGCAAGATACTTGCTTTCCCAGCTTCCCTAGTGACCAAGTACAGTCATGTGACCTGGGATTGGCCAATCAGATGCCCTCATCCTGGTCCTGGGATCAGGGTCTGGGAATAGAGAAGCAGGGATGTAGGAGAATCATTCCGGAGGTGGACAGTGGTCACATCCTGTTTCTAGGGGGCAGCAGGGACGGCTAGGCCAACAGCAGCGTCCAGCGTTTGGTGTCTAGTGCTGATGTCAGTGGAAAGAGAGGAGCCTTCTGGGGCTCTGTGGCAGGGCCAGTGCGGGTCTCAGGAGGCCAGCACTGTGGTGTGGTTTGGCAGCCACCCCTGCTGTGGAGAAGTTCTCTGGCATGTTGTTGATTCTGTGACCTACCCAGGATCCCCTCATGACTTTTCTTTTGTGCTTAACTCAGCCAGAATAATGTTCTGTATTTTGCAACTAGGAAGACTGACCATGGATAGAGGCCTGGAGAGGCATAGGGACATGGTTGGCTGCAAAATCTCCCAGAGGGCTGGGAATCTCTGTGCCTCCAAAAGGTGTTGATGACCATGGTGTCTTCTCCACCCAGGTGGTCACTTAGGTCCTAAGCAGAAAGATACCACTCACCAAGGGCAGAGTCGCAAAGTTACAGAAGCCCCGGAAATGCTCCAGGAGGATGCAACTGAAAAATAGAACCATCCTAGGCAGTGGCCCTTCATCATGACAGCCACGCAAGCTGAAGGAGAAGGCCACTGTTCAGAGCAGCAGGGCCTAGAGTCCCATGGGCAGGAGGCATGGGCTCTTACCTTGCTGCAATTAACTCGCTGGGCAGCGTGGGCAAGTCCATCCTTTTCTCTGGGCTGCAGCGTCCTCATCAGGAGCCCTGGAATGTGGGCAGATAAATAGGGAGGCCTTGTCCGGCGCCACAGCTTCCAGGACCAGCACTGAGAGCTTCTGAGCTGCCCATGCCCCATGCCCTGAACTCGCGTGCTCTCCCTGACAGCAAGTCCTTGCCTTTCAGAGACTGGGTGCTCAGAAAGTGTGGGTTAATGGACCAGGGACTGGCTGGCTCTGTTAGGTGTGTGGGGTAGATGGCTGGGGTCCTGACAAGCTCCTTCTCCTTGGGTCCTGGGCCATGCCTAATGATCTTTTTCTGGGAGCTCAAGATCTGCCTTTCCTCGGTCTCTACAGAGGAAGAAGGGGAGAAAAGGGGATGGAGAAAGGGGAAGGAGGGCGGCTGGCCTGGCAGTGGCCCCAACGCAGCCTCGGCAGGCACTTTCTGGGAAGCCGCCCCCGGAACCTAGCCCCATGAAGGCCTAGAAGGCCCCGTCTCGTCTCCAGCCCGTTTCCCTTGAACCGGAGCCAGGCGGTCCTCACGCATTACTCACTGGCGGGGCGGCCCTGGCCCGGGGCCAAGGCAAACAGGCCTCCAGCCTGCCTGGGGGCTGGTCGGGCCGGGCTGAGGAGGGGAGGGAGGCACCCGCACAGCCTCCTGCCTGCCTGCGTCCTCCTGCCAGCTCAGCCCAGCCCCAGCCTGGTTGAGGGTCGGGCTTGGTCCCAGCCTCCCCCAGGGTTGGCCTGGCAGTTCCTCTGAAGCTGGCATGGCTGAGATCTTCCTCCTGCCTGTGCCCCTAGCAAGGGCTTCACCCGGGTCCTCCTTCTCCATCAAGGGAGAGATTGTGACTCCTGCCTTGTAGCCAATGCAGTGGCTTCACCCCCTGCCTGTCACTAACCAGCCCCTAGGACAGCAGAGGAGGAGGAAGCCCGGCCCTTCCCAGGCTCCAGGTCTGCATCTCAGGAGCATCTATTCAGGATGACCGATGTGATGATATGGGTTGTCCATCAATATTGTGAATTAGGAGTGCAGAAGAGAAGCAGACCACATGAGCTAGGAAGGCTTCCTGGAGGAGTGGGGCCTGGCAAGGCCTTGAAGGATGATTTAGACAGCCTTGGTGGAGGAAGACAGGAGGGTCTGTACAGTGGGTGTGTTTCTCAGGATGTGATGGGTCTGAAGATGGGGACCTGGGTAGAGGCTGAGGTAGGAAGGGGAAGATAGCTAGGTGAGGAGGATGACACCAGGTACTGTGCCTGGGCAAGCCCAATCAGCCTTTTCCCAGAAGCTCCCTTTCCACTTATGCACCTACCCATTCAACCCACCCATCTGTTCATCTGTCCATCCACATACACATCCACCTATCCATCCATCTACCCATCCCCACATCATCCATCCATCCATCCATCCATCCATCCATCCATCCATCTATCCACTCATCCATCCATCCATTCATCCATCCATCCACTCATCCAATTATCTACCTATCCACACAGCCATCTGCCCATCCATTCATCCATTTACCTATCCATACACTCATCTACCCTTCCATCCTAGCTACAAATATCTGTTGAGCATCCACTTATGAGCCAAGCCCTGTACTAGAATATTCTCACCGACCTTTGTGCATGCAGGCCTGGCTCACAGTAGGCTCAATAAATATTTGTTTAAATATATGGAGAAGTGATGATCAGAGGTGACCTGTCACTATCGTCAGTGAACTTATCATCTTGCAGAACAAAACATGTAAAATTATCAATTGTGATAAGTGCTATGAAGGGAAAGACCAGGGTGCTAAGAGAAGCAAGGAGGAGGTAAAAACTAAGGGCTCTTAGGCTGCTGTGTGATCCTGGACAAGTAACTTGACCTTGTTCTTCCTCACTTTCTGCATCTATATAATGGGAATAATGATAGTACCTTATAGGGACGTCCATTAAGTTTTTTGCAATTATCAAAATCAGAAAGCTTTAATATTAACACAACTTTCTAGTCCACCATGCACATTTAGTTTCAGTTGTCCCAATAATGTCTTTTTCTTACTAGCTTTATTGAGATATAGTTCACATACCATACAATTTGCTCACTTAAAGTATACAATTCAAGGGTTTTTTAGTACAATCATAGGTATGGGCAACCATTACCACTCACCACTGTCAACTTTAGAATATTTTCACCACTCCAAAAAGAAATCCTGCATGCTTTAGCTACCACCCACTTTCTTCTCTCCACCCTCTCCCCTGCACCAGCCCTAGAAAGCCACTAATATGCTTCTCATCTCTATAGATTGCCCTGTTCTGGATATTTTATATACATGAAATCCTACAATATGTGGTATTTTGTTACTGGCTGAAAATAATGTTCTCAAGGTTCACTTGTGTTATAGAATGTATAAATACTTCATTCCTTTTTTTTTTTGACTTTAAAAAAAGTTTTAAGATTTTTAGAACAATTTTAGGTTTGTAGCAAAATTGAGTGGAAAGTACAAAGGGTTTGCATATACCACTTCCTCTCCCTCTCAGCCTTTCCAGCCACCAACAATCCCATATCAATGTGGTACACTTATTACAATCAATGAACCAACACAGACCCATAATTATCAATCCAAGTTCATAGTTTACATTAGGGTTCACTCATTTTGGTTGAGTAAATATTCCATTGCATATGGATGTACAACATTGTGTTTACCTATTCATCAGTTGATAGGCATTTGGGTTGTCTCCATCTTTTGTCTATTATGAATAATGCTGATATAAACGTTTGTGTACAAGTTTCTATATGACCATGTGTTTTCATTTCTCTTGGGCATATAACTAGGAGTGGAATTGCTGGGTCATAGGGTAACTCTATGTTTAATCTTTTGAAGAACTGCCGGACTATTTTCCAATGTGGCTGCACCATTTTACATCCCCACCAGCAGTGTATAAAAGTTCTGATTTCTCCACATCCTTGTCAACACTTGCTATTATCTGACTTTTTGAGTTTAGCCATCCGAGTGGATGTAAAGTGGTTATCTCATTCATTGTAGCTTTGATTTGCATTTTACTGATGACTAATGGTGTTAAGTTTCTCTTCACGTGCATGTGCCTATTGGCCATTTGTATATCTTCCTTGTGGAAATGTCTATTCATAGCCTTTGCCCATTTAAAAATTGATCTATTTGTCTTTTAATTATTGAGTTGTAAGTGGTCTTTTTTTTTTTTGAGATTTGCTCTGTCACCAGGTTGGAGGGCAGTGGTGCGATCTCGGCTCATTGCAACCTCCGCCCATTGCAACCTCCGCCCCGCCAGGTTCAAGCGATTCTCCTGCCTCAGCCTCCCGAGTAGCTGGGACTACAGGTGCGTGCCACCACGCCCAGCTAATTTTTGTATTTTTAGTAGAGACAGGGTTTCACCATGTTGGCCAGGCTGGTCTCGATCTCTTGGCCTTGTGATCCACCCGCCTAGGCTTCCCAAAGTGCTGGGATTACAGGAGTGAGCCACCGCACCTGGCCTAAGAGTTCTTATGTATTATGAATACAATTGCAATTTTTTTCTCCCACTCTGTGGGTTATCTTTTCATTTTTTTTGTGTCATTTGAAGCACAAAAGTTTTAAATTTTCATGAAACCTGATGTTCTATTTTTTTCTTGTGTTGCTTATGTTTTTGGCATTATATCTAAGAATCCTTTGTCAAATCCAAGGTCATGAAGGTTTATTCCTATATTTCTTCTAACAGGTTTATAGTTTTTAACTCTTACATTTAAGTATTTGATTGAAGTTAATTTTTATATATAGTACGTGATGGGGATCCAACTTTGTTCTTTTGTATGCAGAAATCCAGTCGTCCCAACACCATCTGTTGAAAAGACTATTCTTTCCCCATTGGATGGTCTTGACACCCTTGTTAAAAATCAGTAGATGCATGGATTTATGTCTGAACTCTCAATTCTATTCCATTGATCTGTATGTCTCTCCTTGTGCTGTTACCACATTGCCTTTACTACTGTTGCTTTCTGGCAAGTTTTGAAATTGGGAAGTGTGAGTCCTCCTACTTTGTTCTTCTTTTTCAGGATTGTTTTGCTTATTTTGGGTCCCTTGCAATTTCATCCAAATTTTAGAATCAGCTCGTCATTTTCTACAAAGAAGTCAGCTGGGATTCTGACAGGGATTGCATTGAATCGGCAGGTGAACTTGGAGAGTACTGACATCTCGGTGATGTAAAGTCTTCCTATCTATGAATAAAGGACTGTTTTTCCAGTTATTTAGACCTTCTTTAATTACTTTCAAGGCTTTTTATTTTTCAGAGTATCAGTTTTACCCTTTTTTGTTGTATTTATTTCTAAGTTATTCATTCTTTTTGATGCTGTTGTAATGGAATTGTTCTCTAATCCCATTTAATTCTCCACAAATGCTTATTGTGCTCAGCACCGTTAGAGGTGCCAGGGATATCGCAATGAGTATGTTGTGAGGATGAATGAGATAATCTCTGCAAAGGGTGATAATGTATTTTGTATTATTGTTCTTCCTGTCTTTCCCCTTTTCATCTTTTTTTTTTTTTTTTTTTTTTTTTTTTTCTGAGATAGAGTCTTGCTCTGTCACCCAGGCTGGACTACAGTGGTGCGATCTCAGCTCACTGCAACCTCTGCCTCCCAGGTTCAAGCAATTCTCTTGCCTCAGCCTCCCGAATAGCTGAGATTACAGGCGCCTGCCACCGTGCCCTGCTAATTTTTGTATTTTTAGTAGAGATGGTGTTTCACAATGTTGGCCAGGCTGGTCTCAAACTCCTGATCTCATGATCTGCCTGCCTCGGCCTCCCAAAGTGCTGGGATTACAGGTGTGAGCCACCGCGCCTGGCCTCCCCTTTTCTTTAAGCAGGTCCTAAGAAAGCATCCTGCAGAGGCAGGAGGGAGCTCTTTTCCTTCAGGAAGAGAAGACTTGCCAGTTGGCGATGGTTCCTGAAGCAGCGGGAGGAGCTGACTGTTTACCAGGGAAGCATACTTGCCTGCTTTGTGTGACTGTGAGGACAAGACTGCAGGAAGGCTGAGGGAGCTGCTCCCGGGAAATGGGCATCCTTCAGAAGCCTGGGAAGGCCAAGCTGAAGGAAGGGCCTAGTGGAGGCCCTGTGCCTCCTGCTAAGAGGTTCCTGGAGGGAGCAGCATTGCTCCCTAGGCCCAGGCTTGGCTACCTCCTCCACAGGCTTTCATCTTTCATCTGTGGCTTCTTCTCAATTTCACATCCCTTTGAGGATCTCCTCCTGCCATCCTTCTCTCCTTCCCCGCATGCCTCTCTAGCACCCAGGAGCTGGGCAGCAGGAAGTCTTGGGATCCTGGATTGTGCAAGACCCTGCCCATCGGATTAAGTTGGGAGAGGGAGCGGTGCCTCCTCCTTGCTACCAACCCCCTAGAAACACTGGGCCAGCAGGTGGGGAGATTTCTCACCACAGCAGCTGGCTCTTTCCTGCATCTGGCTCCGGCCTGGACCCCTTACCCTGGCCACAAGGGGGAGAGTGTCTGTTGGCCTGGCCAAGCAGGGGCCTGGGGTCTGAGACGGCCAGCGCCAGTCCGGGCATCTCCCTCCCTCTACACAGGGCCTCTTCCTCCTCCCCACTGTCTGGAAGGCCCCAACAGGTTCCTCATTTCAATAGTGGCTTCCTCTCTAGCCCAGGCCCTGTGGCGCCTGGGGGCAGTCTGATGGCCCCAAGCCTCACATCTGTCCACAAGCCACCTCCATCTTTGTCTACACCAAAAACACCACGCCCACTGCCCTCATGTCATAGGCCAAACCACAGAGGGCTGACTAAGGCTCAACTGTGTGTTCAGCACCCTGGGTCTGGAGGGGTGGGGACACAGGAGGAGGTGTGGCCCTTGTTCTGGCCCTTTTCTGTTCTCCATACAGGGCCCGGCACCACACATGGGGTGTGACCCAGGTCAGAGAAGGGAGGTGAGCGTGGGAAGCCGGGCTGTGGTAGGTTCGGGGCAGGACGTCTGGGTCCTCGAGGTCAAGCAGTGTAGCTAGGCACTCAGGGATCCTCATCAAGGCCCTGAGGGAGACAGTCCTCCCTCTGCCTGGAAGCTGTGGGTAGGCCAACAGCTCCCCCAAGGAGGGGGGTCCTGGCCAACAAGATGAGGTAAGACTGCTACAAGGTGAGGCTGAAGAGTGGAGTGGCCAGAGCATGGACTGTGGCCCAGAATTCTTGGGCTACAACAACCTGCTGCCTGTGTGACCTCGAGAAAGTGACTTTGCTTCCCTGGGCCTCAGTTTTCTCAGCAGTAAAATGGGATGATGACCTTACCTTAGACTCTAAGGCTTAACGCAGGGGTTTTCAGCCTAGACATTATTGACATTTGGGGCTGATGATTCTTTGTTATGGGGCCTGTCTGATGCATTGTAGAGTGTTAAGCAGCATCTCTGGACTCTACTCATTAGATCCCAGTAGCAACTCCCTGTCCCCAGTTGTGACAACCAAAATGTCTCCAGACATTGCCAAGTGTCCCCTGGGGGCAAAATTGAGCCTGAATTGAGAACTACTGGGATTGTGTAGTACTTAACTGAGTTACTATATTCAATGCACTTAGAACAGTACCTGATTCAGAGGAAACACTCAATAGTTCTTAGTGTTATTGTTACAAGCAGGTGACAGAGGCAAAAACAAAACAAAAACATGAGACAAAGACAGAAGAACATGTCTAATGTTCTTGGTTACTAGAGAGTAGGGTCCGGGATGAAGAGGAGAAAAGACTGTGTTTTTAAAAATTCCATCGCTGGGGCCAGGTGCGGTGGCTCACTCCTGTAATCCTGGCACTTTGGGAGGCTGAGGTGGGCAAATCACCTGAGGTCAGGAGTTTGAGACCAGCCTGGCCAATGTGGTGAAACCCTGTCTCTACTAAAAATACAAAAATTAGCCAGGCGAACCCAGGAGGCGGAAGTTGCAGTGAGCCGAGACCATGCCATTGCACTCCAGCCTGGGCGATAAGAGCAAAACTCCATCTCAAAAAAAAAAGAGAAAAAGAAAAAAGAAAAATTCCATTTTTGAGGGTGAGCACAGTGGCTCATGTCTGTAATCTCAGCAATTCAGGTGGCTGGGATGGGAGGATCACTTGAGTCCAAGAGTTCAAGACCAGCCTGGGAGAGATGGTGAGACCCTGTCGCTACAAAAATTAAAAAAATTAGCTGGGCATGGTGGTGCACACCTGTGGTCCTAGCTACATGGGAGGCTGAGGCAGGGTGGTCGCTTGACCCCAGAAGGTCAAGGCAGCAGTGAGCCCTGATTGTGCCACTGCACTCCAGCCTGGGTGTCAGAGCTAGACCCTGTCTAAAAAAAAAAAAAAAAATTCCATCATTGGCTTGCCCAGTTCCTCCCTCCCCATGATTGGGTCTGTTAACCACAATGTGAACTGGGGCTCACAGTCAGTGCACTAGGATGTGCTGGGGCCCCCAAAGACACAAAGGAAGGGGAGACCCAGCCACCCCTGGCTTCCAGGGTATTAATCTTGACTCAAAGAAAAGCTTATACACTTTACATTACTTCTCAAAAGGTCAGGGGACAGAGTGACCAGCTAAAGCCAGGGCCAATTGGCCAGGCACTCAGCCACTCATTCATTCGTGCCTTGCTCATTGAGAGTCTGCTATGTGCCAGACGCAGTGCTGGTTGCATCATAAAAAGACGGAATTTGAGCAGTGATTTAATGGCTGGCCAAGCTTCAGCTAGATGGAGAGGAGGAGAAATAATGGCATCGAGGGTGGGAGCTGGGGGTTGGCAGGAGGTGGGAGGAGGCGAAACTGATCAGGCCAAGGCCCTAAGAAGTGTGGTGTGATTGGAGGGGTAGATTGGGGTCAGCTTGGGGAGGGCCTTGAGTATTGGCTTAGAGACACAATGCCAAGGCCTTGCAGGCCTCCCCAGGAAGGGGCTCTGGGGTGGCCCTTTATTTGTTATTTTATTTTATTTTTTTGAGATGGAGTCTTGCTCTGTCGCCCAGGCTGGAGTACAATGGCATGATCTTGGTTCACTGCAACCTCTGTCTTCCAGGTTCAAGTACATCTCCTGTCTCAGCCCCCCGAGTAGCTGGGATTACAGGCGGGCGCCACCATGCCTGGCTAATTTTTGTATTTTTAGTAGTGACGGAGTTTTACCATGTTGGCCAGGCTGGTCTTGAACTCCTGACCTCAGGTGATTTGCCTGCCTCGGTCTCCCAAAAAGCTGGGATTACAGGTGTGAGCCACCACGCCCAGCCTGGTGGGCCCTTTAAGCAGGGCTTGGGCTTGGGTTCCTACTCCCGCCTCCCAGCCCCAGGGCAGGGGCCAAGCAGAGGGGCTGCTCAGGGCAAGCACTGGTCCTGACTCATCCTCCATCACTGAGGGATGCTCCGCCTCAGTCTCCCTAGCTGAGAAATGGGCCTGTTCTATTTGTTCTATCAGCGATGGTTCCCACCTGCCTCCCAGGGCCCTCCACCTGGGCGTAATTAGACGCTGCCTCCAATTGCTTTAACTGCCTGCGGCAGTCAGGCAGCTCAACAGGAGGAAAGCATGGCGGCCCCTTTGCTAGTGAAGCAAACACCAGGCCTGACTGTCAGATGCAAGGTAACTGGGACCCAAGACAGAGCCAGGGGCTCAACGGGGATGGGGCGGGGCTGGACAGCAGGAGGCCAAGTGTGTGTGAGCACCTTCTCCTGGCCTTCATCTTGGCCACTCGCCTCCTCTGGGGCCCTTTGCTCTTGCCCAGGGTGCCAGGCGGGCAGCCGGCCTGGGCGGGACCACACCCACAGGGCTGTTAAAACCACCTGCAGCAGGCTTGGCCATGGGGAATGAGCTCACTGAGTCGCCGTCCTATGAGGGAGCCAGGTCCCAGCTGCATGAGCGTGACTGGTCTGCCTTGAAGCAGGGGTGCGGGGCCAGGCCTAGAGAGGCTGGCCCGAGGTTGTGCAGCTCTCCGGAGTCCAGCCTGCAGAGCCACACTGTAATCCCATGGGCGCAGGCATCCTTTCGGCTTCAAAGGGAATTTGGAAAACATGAATTGGTCTTTTGAACCCTGCTTGCCCCTTGGCCTGGGGCCCAGGCAGCTATAGAGAGCGTGAAGGGTCAGGTGGAGCCCTGTAGGAGGCTGGAGGAGGGCTAGAACTCCAGGCCAGCACACAGGGCGTCTGGGATCTGACCAAGGAGACGTCTCTCACCCACTGTGCGTCCCCTTGAGCAGGTCCCCTCCTCTTGAGCCCCGGTTTCCACTGGGGCCAGTGGGAGTCAAGAGGCCTGCCCGCCCTCCCTTCAGGGAGGTACTGGGGATCAAAAGAGATCACAAAGATAAAAGAGAATAGAAGAAAAGAAAGCTCAGAACACACGGACGTGGTTGTTATTGTCACTGTTGTTATTATTAGCTCCTCGCCAACCCCTCTCGGAACAGAGCCATGAGGGCAGGTTCTCAGCCCTACCTGGGAGCCCCAGAGGGAGCCGGGCTGTCCTGGTCCCTGCCAGGATCCCTGCTGCACCCCAAAGCTCTCTTTGGGAGCACCTCTGTCCCCCACCCCCATCTTCCAGCACAGTCCCCCTAAGGGTGAAGAAGGGAGAGGCGAGGGGCTTCGGTCTCTGTCGGGGATGGGACCCTCCTGGCACTGCTAAAGACACGTGGAAACACACACATACTTCCAAACATACACAATGCTCACACCCAGACATCTCAGACACACATCAGCGTGACTGAGCATTTGCACTTAGATCTTAACACAGGCACCTCTTACACACACACACACATACACACACGCCAGATACCATCTCTGAAGCAAACTCCATCATCACCTCCATCCATCAGAAGGCCATGGATAGGAAAGGGGCAGGCAGGGATATGAAAGGATATTATTACCTGGGTGGTTGTTGTTATTATGATAGTCCTTAGAAAAGTCTCTACTCGGCAGAAAACATCAAACGGCGGCCAGCAGCCTCAGATAGCAGAGGCGACAGGCCCTTTGGGGCCCTTTCCAGTGCAGACCTGCCTCCTCGTTTGCAAAAATGACTTATTATTAATCTGCGATTGAAACTGTAATTATGCCATCACGGTGTCAACAAGCTGGAACACGGCGAGGGCTGGCAGTGCCGCCTGGAAGTGTGTTCTTACCCTCCACTGTGGCCGTGCTGGCACCCGCACCAGCATGCATGTGTGGAGGGGGCCTCATGCACACCTGCCAAATCAGGGCCCACCTCCTCACGGGCGCCCAGCCCTGTGTGTGTGCACATGGCTTTGTGCCTCTCTTACCCGTGAGAGTCTGGCTGGAGGAGGTGAGGTCAATGCATGTTCCTGATGGGAGAGCAGCCCTCAGAGAGCCCCAGGGAGCTCCAGAGCCTCAGTCAGTGGATCCAGCGGGGATTGAACGTCAGAGTGTGCACGAGGGAGTCAGGGCCCAGGTGCAGGACACTCCCAGCTGTGCCTTTCTGAGTGGTCATTGTCCCAGCCTGCCCTCCACGATGGGGCCTTCTTCAGCACCCTTCATAGACACAGTGCCAGGGTCCTTCCAGCCCTGTCCCTGCTCTGCTGGGCCCTGATGGGTGGCCGCCCTGGGGCCCATTCCCCTGCCGTGTTCACCTGCTGATGACCAACCTGTATTGACCACTCATGACACGCTAGGTCTGGGGGAAGATACTTTATGTTCATGATCTCATTAAAAATTTTAAAACCATTTATATTGAAATGAAGTAAAATGTAAGTGTTAGCTCTGCAAATGAGGATGCTGTAGCCCAGTGAGGTTAGGTGGACTCCCCAGGTCTCACAGAGCCGGGGTTTGAAGCCAGGCGATCTGACTCCAGACTGCCGGCCTCCTGCCCCCTCCTCCCATGCGGGGAGCTTGGGAAGGCAGAGTCCTGGCTTTAGGTCCTCTGCCTCCCTGCCTGGAGTCTTGGGTATAGAAGATGCTCAGGAGATGGTCAATGAATGAAGGAATGAGGTGAAATTCAAAAGTTTAGAATTGGCTTGAGAGACATGAGCTTTCCAGAATTCATGGTGACCTGGGGTCACTACCTGAGGGTGTGCCAGGCTGAGACTTCTGGGTTGGGAAGGTGTCCTTTGGTGCCCAGAGACCACTTTTTTTTGCCACATAATTGGGCTGAGTTTGGGTAGCTAAGAAAATGGCAACCCTAACTGGCCCAGAAGGAAAGTGTGTATGTGTGTGTGTGTGTGTCTGTCTTATTTTATTTTATTTTATTTTATTTTATTTTATTTTATTTTATTTTATTTTATTTTATTTTATTTTATTTTATTTTATTTTATTGAGATAGTTTGCTCTTGTCCCCCAGGCTGGAGTGCAGTGGTGTGATCTCGGCTCACTGCAACCTCTGCCTCCTAGGTTCAAGCAATTTTCCTGCCTCAGCTTCCCAAGTAGCTGGGATTACAGGCACCTGCCGCCACGCCCAGCTAATTTTTATATTTTTAGTAGAGATAGGGTTTCACCATATTGGCCAGGCTGGCCTTGAACTCCTGACCTCAAGTGATCAGCCCACCTCAGCCTCCCAAAGTGCTGGGATTACAGGCATGAGCCACTACGCCTGGCCTTGTCTGTCTGTCTTCTGTCTGTACCTGCAAATGTGTTGTCATGGTTTCAAGAGACAGCAGAGCTGGAAGGGCTCAGAGCTAGCAGGCAGCCAAGCTGAGATGAGGACCTGGGCCTCCTGACTGCCAGCTGGGGATCTTCTATGCATCTGACTGGGAAGGTCACAGGGCCCTGGGCTGGCCAAGGTAGAGACAGCTTCAGGGGGCTGGTCAGAGAGCTTGGCCCTTTCAGATCTCCTCTGGAGGGTGACCACAGACTCGGTGGCCACATTCAGCCACTTCTCACTGCCCTCAGGGTCACTGGGAGAAGCCAGAAGTAGGAGGACTGTATTTGAGGCAGAAGGCAATGAGGCTCAGGAGAAAGAGGAATGGCTTTGGAGTGAGGTGAGACCTGGGGTTCAAATCCTGACTCAACCACATTCTCACCGAGTGCTCCTGGGTAGAGTAACTTTTCTGAGCCTCAATTCTTTCATTTGTAAAATGGAGATAGGCAGGTCTGCCTTACAGGGTTACTGGTGGGAAAAAATGAAAACATGGTTCCTAGCCCCCTGTGAGGAGAGGCACGCTGCCCCGATGGTTCCCAAGGCTACATTCTACGCAGACTCGGAACTTCTGCGGCACATACCCGATGCCTAACTACAAGTAGTTTTGGGTCTGGAAACTAAGTGTCTCAACCCTGTGGCGTGCCCCCCACCCAGACCCAAGGCCACTGTTCACCACCCCACGCCCCACAAATGTCTCAGTGCCCTGCCAGTCCTGGTCCACTCAGTTCCCTGGTGTTTCATTACTTTGACTTGAGGCTTACTGCAGTCTCTTTCTATTAGGGCCTAGGCCTTGTGCCAAAACTGTTGAGATGCAAATGTCCCCCTTCATTGGTTTACTTATTCATGCACTCACTCACACATTCATTCAACAAGCAATGAGTGGCAGACACTGGGGAAACTGAGACACAGCAGGGCCCCAGCAGGGCTTTCTGGGATCTGGAGCTGCTGGCAGGGCAGAGAGGGGGAGGCCGGCAGTTAGGGTGCCTGAGACCCTGCAGGAATAAGAAGTGGCCAGGAAAAAGGGGCAAGCAGGAGGGGCGGCTGCGCTGAAACCAGGCGTAATTGGGCTTCATTGATTCTATGTTAATGCCGCTGGAGCAGCTCAGTGCATGGCAGAAGGACCCAGCCAGGCTGGGTGGATGCTTTGAGGCAAACAAAGTCCTCTTTGGGGACTTTGTTACTACAGGGAGAGCCAAGGAGGGTCCAGGAGAGCCAAACCACTGTGGCTGTTTGAGGCCCACATTCTCTGGGTGGAGTGGGTGGCAGTGGTCCAGGTGGTCCAGGAAATAGGCACGAGGGGTGACCCAACCTGTAGATGTCACAGTTCGGGGGGCCCTCTGGGACTGTTCCCAGGCTGGGCCTCATGTGGGGAGGCTCGGATGGAGTTGGGGAGGTCGGGCCCCAGGAAGGCAGCAGGAGCAGGGTGCAGAGTGCGCGGCAGGTGGGTTGATGGGGAGCAGGGAGGCCACGGTGATGGATGGGCCCTGCTGACCTTGCCTGGGAACCAACGCCCGAGACGCCTCCCGCCAGCTGGAGAGAGCCAGCGGGTCAGATGGCAGCCCCTCCCCCGGGAGGCCGGCCCTGCTAAAGCAGGAGGGAGCTGGCAAGCCATGCAGTTCTCAGGCCAGGCCGCCCATCCTCCCCTCTCCCACTGCCTCTGGTCCACACGGATCTTAGGGCTGAGATGGCTTGGAATGCAGGGGCCCCTAGGGCCTTGGAGAGGGCTCACACCCCCTCCCTTGACAGAAGGAAGAAATTGGCTTTCAGAGACCTGGAAAGGCCCTCCCAACCCCCTCCAGGACTCCCAAACCAAGCCCCCAGCTTTTCTTTACAGGGGCAGGGAGCTTGTGGACAGCACTCCTTGTGCCCAGAGAGGGGAAGTGATTTGCCCAAGGTCACACAGGCAGGGAGAGGCAGACTCTCCCTGGAGAAGAAAGGAGGAAAAGACTTAGTTTGTCTTCAGGTCAGGCCTCCCTGAAAAACATACTTCTGTTTCCATAGAGGTGCATTTATCCGACGGCTGTGGCCTTGGGAAAAGACCAAGCCATTTGTACCTGGCTAGGTCAGAGAACCCAGGTTGTGGGGAAAGGTGAGGGGGCATGGCAGGGATGCTGGGGGCCTTGGGAGTGGAGCAGAGGCCCTGCTTGAGGGCACAGCAGGTCAATGGGTTGGTTGTTGCCATGGTTTGAATGTTTTTGCCGCCTCCAAAACTCATGTGTTATTAATGCCGCTATAAAAAGGGCTTGTGGGAGTGGGCTCCCCCTCTCTTCTGCTCTTCTGCCATGTGAGGACACGGCATTCCTCCCCTCCAGATGATGCAGTGTTCAAGGCACCGTCTTGGGAGCAGAGAAACCAGGCCCTAACCCGCCAGCACCTTGATCTTGGACTTCCCAGTCTCCAGAACTGTGAGGACACGTTTCTGTTCCTTATAAATCCCCTACTCCCAGGTGTTCTGTGACAGCAGCACACAAGGGGCTAAGACAGTTGTGAACCTGATTCTCCCCAGAACATGGAACAAAGGGCTCAGCACACGTTCAATTGTGGGCCACACCTGTTCAGCAGCCCTGAATGCAGCTAGTGTGCTCAAACACGCCTGTGTGTGTGCTGGGGGTTCCTAGCTGGGTGATGGGGTTGCTGGAAGAACAGCTCTACTTCCACCCTGCAGCCCAGGACTTGACCCCTTGCTGGGGGGCTGGACAGGCTGAGGGGAGGACAGAGCTTCTCAGGAGAAGGGGGGCGGAGAGAGGTCTTCTTACTGGGAAGGTGCGGATGTCCCTCTCTATGACAGCCCCCTCTGTGCCAGCCTCACAGCATGCCTGTAAGGTAGGTGCTGCCACCAGCATTTCACACCTGAGGAAACAGGCCCAGAGGAAAGCCGTGCGTGCGGGGCTGCCGGGAGGGAAAGGGGTGCCGGCGAGCAGCCCCGTCCTGCCTCTCCCGGCAGGTGGCGGGCAGCAGAAGGAGCCTAGGATTCCAAGCTTGGTGCAAATCTCCTAGTAACTGTGCCTTTGGATTAAACACTTCCCCTCTCTGCGCTCCGGCTTCCTTTTCTGCACTGTGGGAACAATAGTATTGTCTCCTTCTCCCAGGAGTGTCTCAGGGCCTGCATGGTGACAGATGTGAAAAGGAACTACAAAGCATGAGGTGCTGTCCCTGTAGCCCAGGCCTGCGGCTCCTTGTGGGGGAGGAAGGGCTCCCCTGGGGCCCTCTGCTCCAGGAGCACCATGCGTGTGCCCTGGCCCTATTCCCACAGGAAGAGGATGGGAGAGGTGGGGTTCTCACCTCATCCTGAAAGTAGGGCCCACTGTCCAGCAGCCTAACCCTCATCTCATTCCGGCAAGGGCAGATGTTTTAGAGAGGTGGGGCCTGTCTCCCCAGGCCTCATGACCTCAGGTGGGAGAGTCGAGTCCCTACGCCTGATGTCGCGGCCTGGAGATGCCGCTAGTTGGGTTAAGCGCCTGGCCCTCAGTTCACCTTCCAGTCCTGCTCACCTGCTCTGAGGTCATGTGCGTACAAAGGGCAGACTGGAACACTTACACAGGCTCAGGAAGCAGACGAGGCAGGCAATGAACTTAATTAATAGAATCAGGGCCTATAAATAATCTCTCCCTGCCCCCACCGCAGCAGGCTGTGCCCAATGGCTGGCTTGGCATTCCGAGGACTTGCCCATCAATCCAGGGACTTCTGTGTGCTCTGCCAGTGCTCAGGGAGGTAGAAGGCAGGACAGGCCTCTCAGGAGCTCAACGCTGAGCAGGGATGAGGCATTGAAACCACTGAGGTACCTTCCTGGGTGGTGGGATTCCAAGGAGGGAGAGGGCTGTGTGGCTGAAGGCCAGGAAGGCTTCCCAGAGGAGGTGGCTGCCAGTCTGGGAGATGCTCTGATAGGAAATGGTGAAGAGGGGTAGTAAGAAAGGAGGAGAAGAGATGGGAGAAGGGGAGAGGTCTGTGTGTCCCCCTGCCAGCAGCAGCAGATGCAGGGGCTCGTTTCTTTCCCTAGTTGAGAACTCCTGTGTGTGTCAACCTCAGGAGTAAGGGGGACCCCCCACGTGCAAACCTACTAACTAGGCCCTGTGAGTTGCTCTCCGCTAGTAGTGACAGACTCCTCACTCCTTCCCTCTGAGGTGGGTGCCTTGTTGCCAAGGAAAGGGAGGCACAGAGAGGCTGATCTTGCTGCCTGTGGCCCTGCAGGAAAAGGAGGAGATGTTGGATGGGCATCTTCTGACTAAGCACGGGAACAGAACTGATTGAGGGGCCCCCTGGCTGTGTGTCCTGCAGGCTGATCCCAGCCCACAGGCTGCTGTTCAGCCTGGCAGGGACACTGAGGCAGGCTGGTTGCTGGAAAACACCAGACTCCCAGGGGCTGGCTTTGGCTCAATGACTCTAGGTGGACTTGCCCACCTTCCTTAGATCTCAGCGGTCTAGGATACTTTCACCTGGCCTTTCCTCCTTGGTCTTTCACTTTCTTTCTTTTCTTCTTTCTTTCTTTCTTTCTTTCTTTCTTTTTTTTTTTTTGAGACAGAGTCTTGCTCTGTTACCCTGGCTGGAGTGCAGTGGCACAGTCTCGACTCACTGCCTCCTCCACCTCCTGGGTTCAACCAATTCTCCTGCCTCAGCCTCTGGAGCAGCTGGGATTACAGGCGCGTGCCACCACACCTGCTAATTTTTTGTATTTTAGTAGAGATGAGGTTTCACCATGTTGGCCAGGCCGGTCTCAAACTCCTGACCTCAAGTGATCTGCCCACCTCAGCCTCCCAAAGTTCTGAGATTACAGGTGTGAGCCACCGTGCCTGGCCCAGTCTTTAACTTTCAGGCCCCATGTGCCCCCAGCTGTAAGGGCTCACCCAGACTTTGCCATCTCCTTCCCCATATTCTTTTACCTAGTTTCCCCTAACAAAATCCTTGCATGCATGATCCCATCTTGTGGGGGCATCTGGGCACCCTGGCTAACACGTAACACTCCTCTGAGCTCCCTCTGAGGCTCTGGAATCCTAGGACTCTTGGGCCCCTCATGCTGAGCCCTGACTGGCCCTAGAATCAGGACTGAGCAAACCAAGGAGTGCTGGAGTCAGGAGGACACTCACCATGGACAAAAGAGCATCCTACCTACCCACGCTCCCCCGCGGCTGCCCGGGGCCTGGGACTTCATCGGGTCCTCTTCTCCCTGCTCTGTTGGGAGTCTCAGCCCTGCTTTTGTCTGGTCTGCCCTTTAGGGTATGTGAAGGGGGTGAGCATTTCTTGAAGGCCTCACAACACCCTCTGAGCAAAGTATTCTTCCCTGAATTTTACCCGCTTCACAGATGAGGCCCAGGGAGGAGCAGTGGGCTGTCCTCATGCAGTCTCACTGCTGGTGGGACCTGGGGTTCCTGTTCTCCCTGCCAGCCCCTCTCCCTCACCCCATCCTGCCTTCACCTCTCACAGGGACGATGAGAGGTGGCAAGGGAAGGTGGTGGCAGGTAAGGAAAGTGGGGAGGTGCCGGGGCCAGGAGGCGTCTTCTCAGGCCCATCTTGGGAGGCTGGGGGTTGCCATGGCACCCCTGGCCCGCCTTAGCCTCCCTGACCAAGCCCGGCTGCCTCTTCCCATAAAAGCTAAATTTACTCTTTTAACAAGTCCAGCACTGCATTAAAACACAATGGAATGTTTGGGAAAGGGAATGTTCTGTCATCTAGGGCCAGTGAGTCAGGAGGCCATGCTCAGCCTCTGTGGGGTCCAGCAGTGCCTCTGGAGTCAGGCAGAAGGCCCCCCCGCTCCGCCATGCCTCTTCTCCTCCTGGGAGGCAGGGCTGAGAGCCCCTACTGGAAGGCAGGAGGCCTGGGTGCTGTGCCCTGGGGCGGATCTCTCTGAGTCTGTTGCAGAACTTAAGTTCTTCTTTGGTCTCGGTGGCCCCCAAGGCCCTGTGGCTCGCCTCCATGGTGCTGGGTGTTCACCCGAGGCGCTCCCTCGAGGACAGTGCTTTCCCTGAAACCTTCCCAGTGGAGGTTGGTTTTCTCTACTCTGCATCTATCTCAGAACCAACACGTGGTTGGGTGCCATTTCTGCTCCCACTGGTACTTCCAGCATCTCTCCTCCCTCTTTTTTTGGAACCCCCAGCTCTTTCCGAAGCTCACCCACCACCCTGCCCCAGGCCACACACTCTCTCTGTCCCCTCCTTGCTGTTACTTCCTAACTTCCTGGCCACTCTCCTCCATCTCTTGGGAGGCTGGCTCTGTCACTAGCATCTTGGGACTTTCCACATAGGGGACTACTGTCCATGTCTCAGTCCCTTGGCGACCTCACTTCTGGCCACCTCATCCTGTCACACAGTCCCAGGGTCATACCGTACCCTCATCACCACCAGAAACTGCACCACCTCTGAACCCTGATGTCAAGCTTCTCTTTCTCTGACCACCCCTCCTTCCTTCCCAGGTCTCTAACTCTAGACATTGACTTTCAGTCGTGACAGTTTTCCAGCCTCACCATTTTTGGCTCCTCTTTCCTCCTTCTCCTGTGTCTATTTGGGGAATCTCAACCTTAGTTGAACTCAGCTATTTCCCCCAAGAGCTGAACTTTGCTGGAGAAACCCCTGTGGCCGGGCTGATCGGGTCCCCTTCTGTGCATGATCACAACCTCGAAGTGGGGTCCTTGCTGCCTGGCAAGGCTGGTGTGCGTGGCAGGGATCTGCTGTCCCTCAAGGCTTCACACTTTCCTGAAACCTCTCACCCCCTGCCACTCACTGTTGGCCAGGCCTCTGACTTCACCCAGGAAAGGGAAGCACAGCTTCCTTCTCTGGCCTCCAGAATACCCTCACAACTCCCTGGAGCCTCTGTCTTTCCACCATCCAAGTGGAAGCCTGCAGACCTTCACCCCTTCCCCCAGGCCCATTCCTGGCACTTATCAAAGGATGAGAGTGGCTTAGTGGGTTTATTTACTTGTTCATTATCACTAGAAAATTATTATCCTGGCACCTGGCACCAAATAGGCACTCAATACATACCTCTTCGTGCATAAATGAATATATATTAGGGACAGTTAGCTTTACTAAGTAATATTTTAAAATTACAACGTTAACAAGGTATGCACTCAATACAAAAACTTCTGACAATGGAAAAGCATAAAGAAAGAAAAGGCAGAAATTAACCATAATTCTATCACTTGTTAATAACTGCTGTCAACTTTTGATGTGTATGCATTTGAAGTTTCCTACACATATATTTTTTCTTCTCGAAATGATACTTGGATAGATACAGATCACTATCTAACAATTGGTGATGAACATTTTCCTACATCTTCAGATATTCTTCTAAATCTTTTTAATAATTGCACAGTGTTCCATTGTATGGATGATCTTAATTTACTTAACCACTTCCTTAATGTTGGACATCTGTATTCTTTCCATATTTTTTATCTTCCCTATTTAGTCAATATCCTTATACATAAATATATGTGTACATTGTTTTCCCTGTGGCTGAATTCCTAAGTGGACTTGTAGGTCAAAGAGTACACATATTTTAAGGCTTTTGATTTATATTATTAAATCACAAGAGACAATTTGTTTTGGAAACCAAATCAACACAAACACAATCTCCTACTTTTCCAAGCATAACAAATCCCCTTCTGAAGCTCCAGAAGGCTCCTCCCTCAGAAATCCTCATGGCTAGGATTATCCTTTCCATCAACATTTTGCTTAAATGCCCCCTTATAGGCAAGGTCTTGATGGCTCTTCCATATAAAGTGGCACCTCTCCTTTTTTTTTTTTTTTTTTTTTGAGATGGAGTTTTGCTCTGTCACCCAGGCTGGAGTGCAGTGGCATGATCTCGGCTCACTTGCAACCTCCGCCTCCTGGGTTCAAGCGATTCTCCTGTATCGGCCTCCTGAGTAGCTGGGACTATAGGCGCCCGCCACCACACCTGGCTAGTTTTTTGCATTTTTAGTAGATATGGGGTTTCACCATGTTGGCCAGGCTGGTCTCGAACTCCTGACTTCAGGTGATCCACCCACCTTGGCCTCCCAGAGTGCTGGGATTACAGGCGTGAGCCACCACACCTGGCCTCTCCTTCTTTTTCATCCTCTACATCCTTTTTGCAGTTGCCTAGCTGCACTCAGCACCCCCTGACAAGTCTAATGTTTGTTTATGTCTGTCTCTTCCAGATCTATGAGAGTAGAATGTTTGTCTGTTTTGTTCCTCCTGTAGCCCCAGTGTCTTCACCTCGCCTGGCACAGAGTACATGCTCAACAAGCATTTTGCGAGTGAATGACTGAGTGTTGGCACTTCTAGTCTCAAACTAATGGTGATGATAATATTCGGGGCTCTATAGGAGCTGTTTTAAGTAGCAGAGGCAATTCATAGAAGAGAGATAAGGAAACAAACAAATAAAATTACTGCTTAATGTAGTCATTGCTGTGAAGGGGGGATACACTAAACACAGGGTGCGATACATAAACTGAGACCTGAGGGCTGAGCAGAAGTAGGTGTGAGAAGGGCATGGACAAGTGCATCCAGGCACATGGAACAGTGTGTAAAAAGGCCTTGAAGCAGGAAAGAGATTAGCAGGTTAAGGAATGGAAAGAAGGCCAGGGCCTGATCATAGCAGTCAGTGGGGTGAGAGCCACAGCGGGGAATGGGAGATCACCCATGTGCCGTGGATCAAGGAGCATGAGGAAGAATCCACTACTCAGAGGCTCCTACTCACGTTTCAGATCAGGGCAGTGGCCTCCAAAGCCCATTCTCTCCCTGAGTCTCATACACCATGGAGTCTCATCAAATTTACATTTAATGCATGAAACTTCCAGCTCCTTATTTTTAATGTAATAATGCCATAAGTAAATTTGCATATGTAGTCTTTATTACATACTGTCCATTATCCCATATTATGCTCACATACAAACACTATACTATATTGTACATATGAAACCTTTTACTTTACTTTATTTTATTTTTGGATAGGGTCTTACTCTGTTGCCCAGGCTAGAGTGCAGTGGCACAGTCATGCTCACTGCAGCCTTGACCTCCTAGGCTTAGGTGATCCTTCCACCTTAGCCTTCCAAGTAGCTGGACTACAGGCATACACCACCATGCTTGGCTAATTTTTATGTTTTTTGTAGAGACAAGTGAGCCCAGACTAGTCTTGAACCCCTGGGCTCAAGTGATCAGCCTGCCTCAGCCTCCCAAAATGCTGGGATTACAGGTGTAAGCCATCGCACCCACCCCATACAAAACCATTTATACCGTGTTTTATGGGGGTAAATTAAGGGATTTAAAAATGTTATTCTCTTTTTGTGCCCGGATTTAATTAATTAATTAATTTATTTATTTATTAACACAGAATTTTGCTGTGTCACCTAGGCTGGAGTGCAATGGCACGATCTTGGCTCACTGTAACCTCCACCTCCCAGGTTCAAGTGATTCTCCTGCCTCAGCCTGCTGAGTAGTTGGGATTACAGGCACCTGCCTCCACACCTGGCTAATTTTTGTATTTTTAGTAGAGATGGGGTTTCACTATGTTGGCCAGGCTGGTCTCGAACTCCTGACCTCAGGTGATCCACCCGCCTCGGCCTCCCAAACTATTGGGACCACACGTGTGAGCCACCGTGCCTGGCCCCTGATTTTATTTTTTATCAGATTTTCTCATTGTGCTTCATTGCTCAATATTTTATACTGACCTGTTTTCCAGTTCACTAATCTTCTATTAGTGACATCTAATCTGCTGTTAAACCCATTCATTGCTTGTTAATTATGATGATGATTATTTTTTGTAGTATTTTGTATTTGCCTAGAACTTCCATTTGATAACCTTTAGGAGTTTCCAGTTCTCCTTAAATTATTTATCTCTCCAATTTTTTTGAACATATCAATCACAATTATTTTAAAGTCTGCTATTTTAAATAATAATATCTGGATCTCCTTCAGGTTTATTCCTATTAGCTGTGTTTTTTTTCCACCTCTTAGTTTCAGTCATATGATCTTATCTCCTGTCATGCCTGGTAAATGTTATTGACTTCCAGACATGGTATATGGAAGGATTGTAGAGATAATTTGAGGCTCTGAATAATCCAGAGAGGATTTACTCTTGACTCTGGAAGGGAGATAGAGTAGAGGCAGCGCACTTTAATCCCATGTGGGATTAAGTTTGTTTGAAGCTGCACTTCAACCTTTGTGAGGGCTGACCTATTTCTGATTTGTGCTTCAAGGGTCCTAACTGACAGTTTTTTTTTTTTCTAAACAAGCCATCTCTCCACTTGGAGATGCTTGAGTTCTCCCCTTTCCTCTTTCTCTAACTCCAGGAGGTTGCAAAAACCTCAGTCTCCACTTCCTGCTCACATTCTGAACTTCATGCTACTGCTTAGGGGAAAAGTAGGGCCAAATGTTAAGCTCATCTTTCTAGATTCAAATTTTAAAAATGTATTTTATCTCTTTTTTCGGTTGGTGGCAAAGTTGGTGTGATATATAAGCTAGTCTACTGTAGCCAGAAGTAGAAATTGGCACAGATCTTAAAACCCACCCCTGCTGAGAAGTCATTCCAGTCCCCTGCTTCAACTTGGCCATTCAAAGGGTCAGCTTTGGCCTCCTCCTACTCTGACCACTTGCTCCCCATTCATACAGGGCTTGGCTGCTGCCTAGTGATGTTCATGGCCTGGAGGCTGCCTCTAAAATGGCTACCCTTCCAGCCCCAGCATCCAGGCTGGTCAAGATGGTAGTGGCCTGGTTTTTGCCAAGGCTCTGCCATCACAGAGTGGCCAGGCTCACTTCTGTCTGCTGACCAGCCTCACTCACACGCCATGCCTTCTGTAGCTCCCTCTTGTGCAGGCTCCACGCTCAGTGCTTAACATAAGTGGTCTCATTTCATCCTCATAGAAAGACTAGCAAGTAACTATAGTTATCTTCATTTTATAGATGAGGAAACTGAAGCCCTAGGGGTTTAGTCATAATCCCTGGCCACTTCATAGAATTACATATGTACTTAGGTGTTCAATTAATTTTCTCGTTCACCCTAGACTATAAGCAACATGAAGGCAGAAAATGTGTCTATACATCTATTTTATATCCTCATCATATGGCCATGCCTGGCACAAAGTCTGTAGGCAGTAACAACCACTGAAGCCAGGTGTGGTAGTGCAGCCTGTAATCCCAGCCACTCAGGAGGCTAAGCCGGGAGGATGGCTGAAGCCCAGGAGTTCGAGGCTGTAGTGTGCTGTGGTCACATCTGTGAATAGCCACTGCACTCCAGCCTGGGCAACATCGTGAGATTCCCATCCCAGAAAAACAAAACACAAAAACAAAAACAACCCAACCAAAATCAAAACCAAAAAGAAGCATTGAGTGAATAAATAAAGCTTCAAGTCCCAAAGTTGTTTGTGGTGGAGGCCAGACTCCAGGGAGTCCTGCCTGCTCACCACTCACATCACAGCTGGTGGGGAACACGTTCATTCACCAGAATGTTCCCAGTATCTTCTATGTGTTGAGATTCTAGTGGAGTTTCCTGCTGCCAGGGCTATAATTTTGGCAATTTCAGCGCTTTGGTGTTGGGGGTTCCATTGCCCTTAACCAAGGTCTGAGGACCCATATGGAACTGAGGAATGGACTCAAAAGCTTCTGACATTACAGTAAAAATTTGTAGAGAATTTTTCTAGAGAAAGGATCTATTCAATTTCTCAGACTCTCAGAGAGGTCTGGGACCTCCCCAAAAGGTCAAGAATCTTGGGCATAGGGTTTGGTTGCCTTGTCGGTCTCCCAACATTACCTCGCCTGGCCAGGGAGGGGCTTCCTGAAGCCACCCACAGCTTGTTGGGGGCCGACTGGAGAAACCAGCCAGTGTGTGAAGGGGAAGCCTTTTCCAGCCTGAGCAGGGTACCCAGAGCCCTCCAGCCAGCATTCTCGAAAATCCCTCAAGGTTAGGGGGTGGGTGTCACTCACCGAAGGACCATGAATAATGGAGATCTGGCCCTCTCAGGGCAGCCGCTGACAGGAAAGCCGCCCCACCGGCTCGGCGGCATATTTGTGTGGCTTCTGGTTCTGAGGCAACCGCCAGGTGAGGCAGGGGTGGCGGGGGTGGGTGTGTGGGAATTCCCAGGCCCCGGCTCAGCACTTTGAAGCGAAGACCCTGAGTCCATGTTGGAGGGGGCAGGAAGGCGCCACCAGTCCCTCGAAAGGAGACAGGAGGCTGCCGGGGCAACTTCTCCCTGCTCAGGCTGCCCTGGGTGCCCCCGGCCTGAGGATGAGGAGATTCTTGTTTAGTTTCGGAATCAGCAAGTCCACCTACAAGAACATCCTCTCAGAATCAGAAAGGTCTCTCCGTGTACATATTCTACCCCACACACAAAATCCTTACAATTTTTTTTTTCTTAGACGCACACTCTCAAAAACACGAGCACTCTCTTGTCTCACACACCAAATTCCCTGTCGTGTGCACATTTGTTTTCTCTTTCTCTCACACACAGGCTCACACCCGTTCATGACCAGGTTCGGGGGTGCTCCTGCAGACCTGGAGTCTGACCTTGGCCTCTGCGTCCACCTCAGGGTTCCTGAGGTGACCGGGTGGCTTCCTGGCTCCGCCTTTCTCAGTATTGTTCCCCACTGGTCAGCCCTGACAAGGTCACTTCCTACACAGAGTGTAGCAGACCTTGCTGGCCTCGCCCACCCCGCTGCGCTGTGAGCCACCGTCCTGCCCCTTCATCCCACAGGTCCTCTGACCTAGCCTGGCCCTGGGCACAGCCTTTGACAGGGAGTCAGGGGCCAGACCCTCCTTGTCACCCAACCCCAGTTGAGTTCAATAATTCTGTCTCAGAACTTAGAGGAGTTTAAGAGGGAGAAAATGTTTAAGAAAAGTCAAGAAAACCAAATTGTAATTTTATGTCCAGCTGTGACATGACTCACTTAGTGCACATCCTCCAACCCCCAGACCAGAAGCCTCCCCTGAGCCCACCATGGCTCCGGGGGGAGGTAGGGGTGACAGGAGTGGGAGGGATTGTGTTCCTGGAAGGTCCTTGGCCAGGGTAGTCCCTGAGAGACTCTAATGTCCTCTGGGGCTGAGTATTCCCTGCTGTGGCTGGGCTCAGGGAAAGCCACATTGCCGGGTGTCTGGACTTGGAGAAGGTCCTGACATGATGCTGCCATGGTTGCCCCATCAATGTAGCTGGGTCATGGGCAAAGGTGGCCTAAGACAGGATGATATTTAAAATATTTAGGTCTGGGCACAGTGGCTCAAACCCATAATGCCAGCGCTTTGGGAGGCTGAGGTGAGAGGATTGCTTGAGGCCAGGAGTCCAAGACAAGCCTGGGCAACATAGGGAGCCCTCGCCTCTCCAACAAACAAACAAACAAACAAAAAATTAGCACTCAGCACCAACTATGAGAACTGAGCTGGAACAGGACCCCAGAGGCCACCCCTGCCAAGCTGTGCCCGCCTTTAACCCTGTAGTTCCTAGATGTGGGCAGTTGTGGTGAGGTTGGTCCTGGGGGGTAAGAGGGGCAGGGATGGGACAGTGGCTATTCAGCAGTTGCTCCTGAAGAAGCAGCTGTGGGGACATATGTTGAGATTCTAGCTGAGTTCCTGCCATCAGGGGTATAATTTCGGCAGTTTCCAGATTTTGATAACATGTACACACACGGTTAGCAAGACACGGAGTGGGCTGCCTTGAGCCCATATGAGCTTTTGAAACCCTGAGGGGCTAATGATGAAGAGAGCAGGGGTGGGGGTTGGTGGCAGGGGACATGAGAGAGTAACACCAGCATTTAATATTGATGTAGCTCTCACTGTGTGCCTGATGCCTACTGAGTGACTTCCGCATATTACCTCACACGATAATTTAAACAGTGCTGTTGGCCTAGCACTTTGGGAGTCTGAGGTGGGTGGATCATTTGAGATCAGGAGGAGTTCGAGACCAGCCTGGTCAACATGGCGTCTCTACTAAAAATACAAAAATTAGCTGGGCGTGGTGGCAGACGCCTGTAGTCCCAGCTGCTCGGGAGGCTGAGGCAGGAGAATCACTTGAACCCAGCGGGTGGAGGTTGCAATGAGCAGAGATCGCGCCATTGCACTCCAGTCTAGGCAACAGAGCAAGACTCCATCTCAAAATAAATAAATAAATAAACAGTGCTGTTGAGATATATTTAAAGCCAAAGTGTACAATGTGCTATGTTTTGATACATGTATGTACCCACGAAATCATCACTACAAATAAGATAACGAACAAACCCATTGCCCCTCAACGTTTCCTCGGAACCCTTGGTAATTTCTCCATCCGGACCCTTCCTTTTGTCCTCAGGCAACCACTGACCTGCTTTCTGATGTTACAGAGTAGTTTTCGTTTTCTATAACTGTTTACAGAAGTAGCTCATTTAATATTTACAACGACCCTCTGAAGTGGCTACTACTTTTCTTGCCATCACCCCCATTTTACAGATGAGAAAATAGAGGCACAGGGAGGTTAAATGACTTGTCTGCAGTCACACCACATGGCCTGGGAGGGGTGGAGGCCAGGTGTGTGGCTTTGGAGCCTGGCCTACTGACCACAATACCGTACTGCCCCTCACTCGGGTGGAAGGACCCAAGCACAGGGGGGTGTCAGAGGCCAGAGGGAAGCAAGGAGGTCTCCTGTTTCAGAGGCCAGAGGGAAGCAAGGAGGTACCCTGTTTCAGAGGCCAGAGAGAAGCAAGGAGGTTCTCTGTTTCAGAGGCCAGAGGGAAGCAAGGAGGTTTTTGGGAGAGGGGTCAGAAAACGTCAGGATGTGAAGCTGGTGTGGGTAGCGTTAGGGGTCACGGCCAGGCTGGGCTTGGCTGCGGTGAGCTGTGGGCAGTAGGCAATGAACTGGCTCACAGCTCGAGTCAGGGTCTGGTGATCTTAGCAGGCCTGTGGAGCTTGTTCCCGCCACAGGAGGGGCCAGTGAGGGTGGCTGTCTCCCGCAAGCTTTTCCCTGTCTGTCCCTGGAGGCACCTTTGCTCCGCAGCGGCTTTCTGTCCTGTTATGGAGAAAAGCACTGATGGCCGGCTCTTCCCCTGCAGCCTGGCCTGGGGGCTGCAGCCAACCTGGGAAGGAGCTGCAGTCTGAGGATCCCTCTGGGTTCCCTCTGGCTGGGAACCCTGGGCAGACCTCGAGCCCTGGACCGAGACACCGTGGTCATGTGGTGCCTCCAGAGCAGCTGGCCAGGGCTGGGCACAGGGCACGATGTCTCCAAGGCTGCCAAAACATCTGCAGAAGACCCCAGATGCTTTCCAAATGCCCCTGCCACAGCGGAGCTTGGATGAGCAAAAGAGGAAGTGGAGCATCTGAACTCTTCTAGGGGCCACTCAAGGAAGGGGTTTCTGGAGAAGGCCGGTTTGGAGCAAGGCTTTGAGAGGGAGAACTTCAGGCACCATGACCAGCGATTTGGCCAGGATGACACTGGGCTCCCTCTCGCTAGCCTCTCTGTGATGATCACCAGTAGTAACTGATAAACCTGAAACAATGAATACTGACAAGAGGGCAGTAATCACTGTGATTTTACATTCGGCTAACTCGCTGCTGCAGAGATGGAGACTAGATGGTAAATAACGGGCAAAGACTGTAAATCACCCCGAAAACTGATCGATCCAGCAGCAGATTGACCCAACGTCCTCGCCCCGGTGCCTGGGTCTCGGGGGCCATCATAGGGGACAGCGCTGGGAGTCCCAGGGTTGCTCCGGTGCAGGAGTAGGGGTATCCCCACCCCGGGAGACTGGGCCTGAGTTCCAGTCCAGCTCTGCCAACTGCTTGCTGTGCTACTCTGGGCTGGTTGTTCGCCCACTCTGGGCTCGTCTTCCTTCAGCTGTGAAATGGTGGGCTCCGATATTCTACAATTCCAAGTCTCCTCTGCCCCACCCAGATACCTTAAGACTCCTGGACCCTTTTAGGAAGGGGCCAGTCCTGTCCAGACTCCTAGGAGGGCTCAGGCACCGGGAGGGAATAGAGTGGATGAGGGTCCTGCCAAGGCCCCTGCCTGGCCAGTGACAGGAAAGCAGTGGATCATGGCACAGGGAGCGATTTTACTGGAAAGATGAAAGGAAATTGCATCTTTAATAATTCACCGGCCGGTTTGAAGGGAGGCAGGTTGGCGGGGCTGTGGAGCCGCCAGGCGATCCCAGCCTCTGTTCCTGGAAATCCTCCGGCTCCAGAGCTTGCCCGAGAGACCCGGGGCCCTCCATCTCCTCCTGGCCCAGGGACAGCGGGAGCCGACAGAGTCTAGACCAGGGTGAGAGGTTAAAACACAGCCATCCTGGGAACCCACTAAATTGATATCCCCAGCAAAAAGGGAGCCAAAATAATCGATACAGCAGCGGCCCAGGAAAGTGGCCAAGCTCGAGCCCCAGCCCAGCCCGGTGGAGTCGCTGCAGAAAAGGAGGGCTTGGGCTCTAGCCAACTGCATGGGGCTTTGGCGAGCATACTGGCTTTGGGGGCTCTGCCTGGGGTCACCAAGAATGGAAAGGGACCTGGAGGCAGGCAGGGGTCACCAATGCTGAGTAGCCTGTCCAGCTAGTGGGGTGGGTGCAGGGGCCACACTGCCTGGTGTCCTCCATGGGTCCTCGTTTTGTCCTTCCTTCCTGGTCTCTCTCAGGTGGGAATGCTTTGGCTCATGCTGAAGCATCAGGACCTTCAGCTTGGGAGCCCTGAGTGCCAGATAGAGAAAGAAACAACTGAAGCCAGGAAGATGTGGCCCAGGACACAGATGGAAGGTGCCAAAGACAAAGCTAGCTGAAGAGTCAAAAGTTCTGGAGTCCACACATGTTGGTTTGACTCCCAGCCCAGTCCCTCGGGCAAATCACTCCTGGGCCTGCAGCCGGTCCCTGTGAATGGGACCTCAAGGGACACGAAGAGGTGCAAGACCTTGTGCTCCCAGGAGGAGCTTTGCATCTGTAGGCTATCGTCATTATTAGGCCTTTTCCTCAAAGGCTGTAGAATTGTGGTTGACTCCACTGAAATTTCAAAGCTCTCCTGGGTGGGTTAGCCTAGGTAGAAACGGGATTAGAGGGGAGTGAACTCCATAAAGGAGAACAGACTAGGGGATGGAGGGAATCTGGGGGCCAAAATGGGCTCACGCAGAACAGCTGTTAAAATCTGTCTCTCCTCCCTCCGTTCCTGCCTCCCTCTCCTGCTAATTAACAAAGACAACTCAAGAATTACAGAGAAGGCCAGGCGCGGTGGCTCACACCTATAATCCCAGCACTTTGGGAGGCCGAGGCAGGCGGATCACATGAGGTCAAGAGTTTGAGACCAGCCTGGCCAACATGGTGAAACCCCGTCTGTACTGAAAATACAAAAATTACCTGAGTGTGGTGGCACGTGCCTGTAATCCCAGCTACTTGGGAGGCTGAGGCAGGAGAATTGCTTGAACCTGGGAGGTGGAGGTTGCAGTGAGCTGAGACCTCGCCATTGTACTCTAGCCTGGGCAACAAGAGCGAAACTCCGTCTCAAAATAAATAAATAAATAAATAAATAAATAAATAAATAAATAAATCACAGAGAACCCACCTTAAAATCTAACATACCCATCCTTCTTTTACAGATGGGGGAACTGAGGCCCAAAGAACACTTTCATGAGCACCTAGCTGGTTGGGGTGGAAGCAGGACTAGAATTCTCTGCCGACTCTCAATCCAGTGCCCTTTCCCTGAGAGCAGGGGCCTCCAGTTCCCTTCTGCCCAGCTCTGATGCTGGGACGTGTGGTGTGGCCTCGAGGCCGCATGACTCACCCTGACTCACTGTCTGATCTTGGCCCATTCTGATCCTCTGAGGCTCAGCCTTCCTCCCTGGAAAACTAGAATAAGTCCCATCCCCAACCCCAGCCAACCTCAGGGGCCCCTCAGGAGGACCCCAGGGACTAGCACAACTTTAATTCTAGGTCAGCAAAACATTTCTTATCTGGCAGGTCCCATACTTTTGAAAGTCACCGGGGATGAGAAAGCAGGCAAAGATGGTTTCTGAGCAGATCAATGGGTGGCTTCGAACCCCCATTCATGCAGGAAAGCTCATGCTTTTTGGTATGAAAATGCCCCTCAGGCCCTCACTCAGGGCCTATTTCCTCTTACTCGGCAAATAGTTTGGGTAAGTTTGGTGGTCTAGTTTCTCAGGCCACAACAGGTATACTGATAGTAGTAAGAAGAATTTTATGATGACAGAGAAGGGAGAACAATTGTAAAATGCAGATCCAGTAATTAAAAAAGCAAGGCAGACGGGGTCTACCTTGACAATCCTGAGGCTAACCCCGTGTTGCAGTCTAGTCTACTCATTAGCCTTGTCAGAAGGACCTGAGTCACCAAGGAAGTCAACACACGCTGACTTCTGAGAAATTTGGGATGTGGAGGATCCCCCGGGGAAAGATTGCTACCAAAAAATGAAAATAAAAAGTTTTGCTATTTAAAGAGGTAGATTACAGCTACAGAAAATGAAGGTCTGTGTCACGCCTCATTCTGCACCATGCCAGGCGCCCGCGATGGAGACAGCTGGCCTTGGCTGAACATCAGAGCCCGCAGAACCCTCTTTAGTTTTCCTCCCCCATGGAGGTGCCTCCCACCTGGCCAATTAACTGGTTTTCCTGCTGTTCCTCACCGTTCCTCTCCCCTTTAATCCATTCTGCATGCTGCAGGAAGATGTCTCCCTTAATTCTTCCTGTCTTCTTCTGATAAAGAGACTCTGACTTTGACCGTTGTCTGCCTGACCCCAGGCAGCACTTGTTTGCACACTGGCAGCCCACCCTGAGGCCGACCTCGTGTGCTGGGTCAGCTCCCCACCAGGAGACTGGGTCCCTACGCCACTGCCTCGCTGGGTGGCCCCCTCTCCAGGTATTAACGACTCCATCACCAGAAGGTGCAGCTGTGTGTGGTCAGCAGAACACCTCATTGTGGGCTTTTCTTTACATGCCGCCCTCTCCGCCGCCTGCCAGGTTCCCCACTGGGAACACAGGAAGGGACTGTGGCATTCACCTGGACAGCGACTGGCCTTAAATCTTCAATTAGAGTGGCAACACTCGGCTTGAGGGTAGGGCAGGTGTGTCTTCCTTCTGTATCTCCCAGGGCAGGGCTCAGCTCTGTCTTGCACCCAGCAGGTGTTCAGGGTCAGCTGATGGGTGCTTAGTGGGGCGTTTGGTGGGTGACTCTTTGGCTCATTTGTTAGTGCTTCACTGAGGATGGTGAGGCCAGCAACCTAAGTCTCAGCTTCAAAAGTGCTTAGAAGTTCAGCCAAACCCCACACCAACACCTGTCCACTGACCCCAGTCCCAGTGGGTCCTAGCGGGAGAGCAGATAGGCTTTACTGCACGCCCACTGCCCAAGAGAATCAGCAGCAGACAGACCCAGCAAGGCGGGCGAGTCTCGTGGTTAAGAGGGAAGAGAGCCGTAATTTGTGGAGGACTCAAAGCTCATGCACTGTTTCTCCAAACAGTCTAGCAAGATGGGATTGTGCATTCCCATTTTCAGCAGATGAACCGAGGCTCAAAGAAGCCGAGTGAGCTGCCTGGCCTCACTAAACCTCTTCCTACCTCTCTCTGTGGACGTATCTGATTCATCGCTGTGTGGGGGACACCGAGTGTGTGCGTCAGGGTCAGCAGCAGGGCCTTGGCAGCAGAGGGGACCCTGTGAGAATCCTGCCGTCTTTCTAGTGCTGTGACCTGGGCCATGTTGGCCTCTCTCAACCCCAGGCCAAGTCCTCCCCTGTGTAAGATGGAGAAGGTCCCACCTCGGGCGTGGCGTGAGGAGATGAGGGCGCTTAGGTGGGTGCCTGGTTCGAGGCGTGCCCGTGGTGTTAGCTGTACCTCTGTGACCTTGGGCGAGTCCCTTCCCTGTAAGGGCCGCAGGGTCTTCATCTGTAAAACGAGAGGGTGGCTTTAAAGTGCCTTCCACATCCTGGTATCCTGGAGTATTTGGAGGGGCCACTGGGGAAAAGCGATGGAGGAACTTCTGGGGAGGGGCAGCAGGTGCAATTGATGGAAGGAGGTGGCCCCGGCATCCCCACTGCTTCTATAGAACCCAGGAGGGTGAGGGGTCTGTGGGGTCGTGTTCTGACCCATGCCCTGCACCGTGAAGGGGAGATTCCTCCAACACCATGGCTGAGGGGGCCGCAGTGTTGCTGGAACTCATCAAGGGCATAGGGTGTGGGGCTTTGCTCCCTTAGGAAGCGGCCTCCTCCACCGTTGGGCAGTTCCGGTTTCCAGAACATCATCCTTGTGTGGACCCGGCATCTCCCCCAGATCTCTTCTGAGCCTCCGACCAGGCGCCTCAAGCTGAGGGCATCCCTTGACCAGGAATATTTTCCTCGGCTCAGTCTGTCCAGACCGTTCCCTCCCTAACTAAGGGATAGTCCAGAGTTCTGGAAGGAAGGGCCTTCGTGAGGGGAGGCCAGCTGTGCCTGCCCACTGAGGACCTTCAGCCCGTTCTCTGCCATTGCAGACCCCGTGCCGGCCCCACTCCCAGGGGCAGGCGAAGGCTTGGCCACTGAGACACCTGTGTTTCTGGCTCTAGGACGTGGCACCCTCACAGCTAGGCCTCCCAGCTCTCCCTGCACAGAGGCCACCCAGCCTGGGAGGCTTGCAAAGTGCAGCACAAATTCACACACCCCACATCACACACACCCACACACAGCACACACACATACACCACACGCATACCACACTAATTCTCCATTCTCACACCATGTACACACAACGCAACCCTCTCCAACCACACATACCCCGCTCCCTGCGTGCGTGCGTATATACCACATCCCCCACCCCCACACAACACACAACACAACCCTCTCCAACCACACATACCCCGCTCCCTGCACGTGTGCGTATATACCACATCCCGCACCCCACACAACACACAACGCAACCCTCTCCAACCACACATACCCCGCTCCCTGCATGTGTGCGTATATACCACATCCCGCACCCCACACAACACACAACGCAACCCTCTCCAACCACACATACCCCGCTCCCTGCACGTGTGCGTATATACCACATCCCCCACCCCCACACAACACACAACGCAACCCTCTCCAACCACACATACCCCACTCCCTGCATGTGTGCGTATATACTACATCCCGCACCCCACACAACACACAACGCAACCCTCTCCAACCACACATACCTCGCTCCCTGCGTGTGTGCGTATATACCACATCCCGCACCCCACACAACACACAACGCAACCCTCTCCAACCACACATACCCCGCTCCCTGCGTGTGTGCGTATATACCACATCCCGCACCCCCACACAACACAGTCACACTCCACACCCAGAGAGTCTCACATGCAGCGCCCAGGTTGTGTCCTACACAAGGGTGCCCAGCTGTGGGTCTGAGGCAGCTCCCAGGGTTCTGGGGCAGGGCTGGGCACCTGGAGGAAGGGCACCTCCTAACTGGCACGAAGGTGCCCTCCGCACTGGCTAAGACTCTGGCACCCATGACCACAGAGCACTCCCCACCCACCTCCAGGCCTCTCTAGACAGTGAGACATCAGGCCCCTGAGGACCCCCAGCCCTCCCCACTGGAAGGCCCTGCCCGTGCCCCACCCTGTATTCCTCCCTGGCCCTGAGTGCCCTGCCTCGAGTATGTGGCTCCAGGCACAGCTGGCTCTTCCCTCCCCAAGCCCCTCAGTCCCTTAGTACCTGGACCATTCCCTTCATCCCCCACATGCTTATGGGGCACCTGCTGGGGCCAGGCCCTGGCTTAGTGCTGGGGAGACAGAGGGGACGAAGTCACGCTCATCCTCAGCAGGCATCTGCCATCTACACACCAATGGCCATGCCCAGGGAGCAGGACTGTGGCAGAACATCCCTGGCAGCTGTGGGAGCCCCGAGGGGTGATCTGTAACCCTGACTAGGGAGCAGTCAGGGAGAGCTTCCTGAAAGAGGTGGCAGTAGACAGAGGCACGTGCTTTCTAACTTCTGTGACTCACTGCATGCTGAGCTCTGCCCCTTCTCACCAGAAAGGGAGGCCATGGTGTGGATCAGAGACAGCCCATCTGCAGACCTGTGATCAGGAACAGTGAACCTCTGTGTTGCAGTTCCTGAGATTTGGGGCTTGTTAGTCACACAGTGACATGGCAGTAGCTAGGCAACACGGACCCTGAGCCCCCTTTCCAATCTGGCGACACACCTCATGAGTTACAGTCCCTCCCCACCTGCTCAGCCTCAGCACTTCTCCTTTTCCTCTAAGCTGCACCCGGCTGAGCCTTGCCCTGGCTGAACAGGACTGCACTGATGACGCGCCTGGGCCATGAGCCTCCCTCCCACCCATTTTGTTTGCCTTTGAGATGCCTTTGTGTCGTATGTTCTGCTGGGTCAGCAGGAGATTCAAGAGCCCTGACCTGAGCTCCCTGCACATTTCTGGGAACTGGAGGTGATGGAGTGGGCCGGGTGCCTTGTGTCTGATGTGTAGGTGGCATGATGTCAGGAATGGGGCAGAAAAAGGCTTCCAGGCTCCCGAGACACATTGAGTCCCATTGAGCATAGATGGCTATTAGGGACTTGTCTCTAGCACAGGGAGAAGGAGGCTGTGGCCCCTCTGAGAGGCCTTCTTTCAGTTCAGCTCCTAAGGATGGTCTTCCGGAAGCTCTCTGCATGATCTTTCACTTACCCAAGAAACATCAACATTTGCCCCCGAATGACACAGAATCACACTGGTGGTTAGGCTGACACAGCGTTTACACGGATTTGAAACTCTGTAGGTGTGACTGCTGGCTGCAGAAACTCCACTGAGTGCTGAAACATTCTAAGCCACAAAAAGTAAGATTTTAGAGTGTGCAGAATTGCAAGGGTCTGTGTATGCATACAAGTGTTGTTAAAATTGGCTTCTCACCTGCTTTAATCACACTTTTGTTATTTGGGGGAAATGCTATAGAATAAGTCTCTTTTCACCTTGCTAGCCTGTCTTGGTTCCCACTGGAAGTTTTCTTCTTTTGGCCTAGGTGGGTATTTGGGTTTCACCTGATTTGTTCTGGGAAGGGAGGGGAATGGTGGTCCTTCCTCTCTGGGGCTGGAAAGTGAAGCTTCGTCAAGCCCTGAATGGTCCCCATTGGAAGGCCTGGGCCAGGTGTTGGCTCTCTGTAGCACAGCAGATGCCACAGGCAGGGACCCTGCACCAGGACCTACCCAGAGTTGGGCTAGGCCTATGAGAGGTTGTCTGTTGTCTGGAAATTCCAGCTCCCAGGAGACTGACCATGCCAAGGTGGTTAAGGCATTGTCTCCTTTGCTTATTTCCTTATAGCACCCCCAGCACAAGGTGGGACCCAAGTAGGGGTTCACTTGAAAGACGTGGGCACAGGTGATGAGACTAGGAGACAGAGCATCACCCTTGAACCATCTCTGCTTCAGGTCAGCTGTGGGATCCTGGCCATATTATTATTATTATTATTATTATTATTATTATTATTATTATTATTATTATTATTTGAGATTAAGTCTCGCTCTGTCACCCAGGGTGGAGTGCAATGGCACGGTCTTGGCTCACTGCAATCTCTGCCTCCTGGGTTTAAGCGATTCTCCTGTCTCAGCCTCTCGAGTAGCTGGGATTACAGGCTGCGCCACCATGCCCGGCTAATTTTTTTGTATTTTTGTAGAGATGGGGTTTCACCATGTTGGCCAGGCTGGTCTTGAACTACTGACCTCAAGTGATCCACCCACCTTGGCCTCCCAAAGTGTTGGGATTACAGGCGTGAGCCACCATGCCTGGCCTCCTGGCCATATTATTTATTATTTTTTTTTAGAGACAGGTCTTGCTCTGTCACCCAGCCTGGAGTGCAGTGGTGCGACCACAGCTCACTGCAGCCTTGATTTCCTGGGCTCGAGTGATCCTCCTGCCTCAGCCCCCTGAGTAGCTGGGACTACAGGTGTGTGCCATCACGACCAGCTAGTTAAAAATATATATATTTTTTTGTAGAGATGGGGTCTTGTCATGTTGCTCAGGCTGGTCTCAAACTCCTGGGCTCAAGTGATCCTCCTGCCTCAGCTTCACGACGTGCTGGGATTACAGGCTTGAGCCACTGTGCCTGGCCTGGCCATATTGTAAGACTTAATCTGTCACCTGGGACTGATTCCACCCATGGAATGGATGCCCCCATGGGTTGCAGGAGACTCAGGACTCTGCCTGGGAGCCAGGGGATGCCCAGTGAATGGGGAGGCTGAAGATGGAGACCAGTTAGAATTATGGGACACTGAGCAGGAAGCACAGACCTGCACTCCACAGGCCTGGATCAGGGGACTCAGGCACAAAGGTGGCCTGGGTCCTCAGCCTGGTCCCCATACCCACCCACCAGTCCCATCTTAGGACTAAGAAGGCAGCAATTCGAGGCCTGGTCTTTGTGCCTACAGGTCCCATGACATGGGATTGTTACTCTGCTTCTGTGAGCCTGTCTCCCTTCTTTACAATGGTGTCAAAAACATGTCACCTGGCAGCGCTGTCGTAAGGATCGAACATAGTCATATATTTAAAGACTATAAAGCCCCATTCAAACCTATGGGATGGCTCTGTAAGCCTCAGTTTCCCCAGATTTGAAATGGATATAAGCATTGTATTTACTTCTTTCACGGGGCTCTGGTGAGACCGTAACCAGATAATGTGTGCTAAAGGGCTGCAGAGGGGAGAAAGTGCTGTGTGATGAATCGGGCTCTCAGGGGCCAGCCTCCTTAGCGCGGCAAACACAGCTGCTCTGGCTGGCGCTTGGAGCTGTCTGGCTGGCAGCCAGTCCAGGGCAGAGGCAGCTACTGCATCTGCTTCCAGCACGGGCCAACTGCTTCCTTGGAAGACTGCTTTTGAACCACTCCCCCTCCCCAGCCCTGAGTCACCCAGAGATCAGGTGGGCAGCAGAGAAAGGTGGGACTCCCAGCTCAGATGACACTCAGGTAGGGCCAATACACCTGTTAGGCATATACAAAGGGTGCTGCTATGGATGGCATGTTTTTGTGTCCCCTAAATGCATATGTTGAAATCCTAATCCCCAATATGATGGTATTAGGAGGTGCCTTTGGGAGGTGAGGAGGTCAGAGGGATGGAGCCCTTATCAATGGGGTTAGTGCCCTTATAAGGGAGACCCCAGCAAAGTCTCTTACTCTCTTTCTGCCATGAAGATCCAATAAATTAGCCACTGGGAAGTAGGCCCTCACCAGACCATGACTATGCTGGCACCCTGATTTGGGACATCCAACTTCTAGTATTTTAAGAAATAAATGTCTGTTGTTCATAAGCCACCAAGTCTATGGTACTTTGTTACAGATGCCTGAATGGACTAAGACAGGAGCCCACAAAATGTTTTTTAGGGGCCCACAAAGTGTTTTAATTTTTTTAAAATCAGGGGTAAAAAAATGAACTTCTAGGTGGGAGAAAATGTTTTAATAAAAATAATATATTTGTCTCTATTACCAATGTAGTCATAATATTTCCATTTTTTTTTTAAATGGAAGAAGGGGCCTATGAAGGCAAAAGTACCTAAGGCCCATAGGAGTGAGAATGCAGCCCGAGTCCATGGTATGGATTCTGTTCCACATTCAAGCAACTTGCCAGAGCCCCTGCCCCATGTTGCAGATGTGCCAGCCAGTGTTGTTTCAGCCAAGATGGCAGACCCTGAGATTGCAAAAGAGCACAGCAGCATGGCCTGCTGTCCCCAGACAATAATTCTGCACTACTTATGACAGCTCTCCATGGCCATCATCGTACTGTGTTCCAGGAGTGATGGATGGCGGCTCTCAACCATCTTTTCTCTTGCACCCATCCAAGGCATAGCACACATGTACCAGTAAGAAGAGGGGCTCCCCAAGGCCCAAATTCTGAAAATATTGGTGTGTATGTGTGTGCTGTTTTAGTATGTAGTTTGAAAATGTTCCCAGGCAATTCGGGTATTGACCCTGATGCTTGATATGTCCCCCTATCAGGGTCCCCCTCACTGGCCTGGGGGAAACTGGGATCCAGCAACACACACTGCACATATGATAATGGGTCCTTTTATAGAACGGCACCAAATTCTGCACCATCGCTCCTTCTGCCCACTCCACTGAAATCTCCTGATCTGAGGTATTTCATCATGGTCCTAGTTTCCACCAATGAAGCGGGAAGCCCACGTGGCCTGCCCGCAGCCTGCCGAGTCCCGGGGGCAGCTGGCTGCTCCTTTTGTCTGGCTGGTGTGACTGGCTGGCTCCCTGGGGCGCTGCAGGGATGAGGAGTCTGAAGGACCCACTCACTTTCTGGGCTCACCCTCGCCTTGGCTCTTCTGGTGATCAGCCTTTGGCGCATCTATAAAATGGGAATCGAAAACACTCACCTGCCTACTTCACGGGACCAGCTGAGACCGTGTAAGGAAGCCGCTGCGGAACTGCAGGAATGAGGGAGATCAGTAAGGCAGGACCACTTCTTTCCCATTTCAACTGCTCAACCCTTTATTTTTCTGCTATCATCATCTTTGCCTTGGTCCTTAAAAGGCCCTTATAAGTTACGCTGTGAGCATCCCAGTACAAATGTAAACAAACACTCTAAAATGACAAGAGAATGCCTACAAGCAGAAAGATGGTGGTGAAATCAGGATTGAAACATGTATTATTTCGATGCTGTGTCTCGTAGTATTCAGTAACTTAGGGCCTTCTGGAAGCAGGACTAGCCCATCCAGGAAAATCTCCTTTCTCTTTTGCAGGGTGTGATAAGGCTCTCTGTTCCTCATCGTCGCCCTACCTTTGATCTTGACCTCCAATGTCTGCTTCTACTGCTTTGCATTTTTATAAAAATAAATTTGGGCCTGGCACGGTGGCTCACGCCTGTAATCCCAACACCCTGGGAGGCCGAGGTGGGTGGATCACTTGAGGTCAGGAGTTTGAGACTAGCCTGGCCAACATGGCGAAAACTTGTCTCTACTAAAAATACAAAAATTAGGACTGGAAGCGGTGGTTCATGCCTGTAATCCCAGCACTTTCGGAGGCCAAGGCAGGCAGATTGCCTGAGCTCAGGAGTTCAAGACCGGCCTGGGCAACATGGTGAAACCCCACCTCTACTAAAATACAAAAAAAATTAGCCAGGCGTGGTGGTGTGTGCCTGTAATCCCAGCTACTTGGGAGGCTGAGGCAGGAAAATTGCTTGAACCTGGGAAGCAGAGGTTGCAATGAGCTGAGATCGTGCCATTGCACTCCAGGCTGAGTGACAGAGCGAGAGTCCATCATCATCTCAAAAAAAAAAAAAAAAAAAAAAAAAAAAAAATTGGCCCGCCACATACCTCAGTTGTTTAATTAAAATGTTCTCTCTCTCTACCCAGTCTGTGGACTTCTGGCTGTCCCTGTCAGTGTCATGGTGGGTGTGTGACTCAGTGAAGGGCAAGGCCCGAATCTCAACATGCCTTCACCCGGCTCCTGGGAGGCCCTGGCCGCCATTGTAGCCAGGCCAGGGAAGGAGGAAGGGAGTTGGTGCTCTGGTGCGACCCCTGCAAGGAGCTGAAGGACCAGCAAGTTCTAGCCAGAAAGAATCCCCAAGGAAAGGGGAGCGTTACCAGGAAACAGTGTCCCCAGTGCCTTGCCATAGACAAGATTGTGCAAAACAAGAGACATGTCATCACAGGAAAAGAAATCACTGGGCCCTTTGGGGACTCGTTGATGAAAGACTCATTTGACCAACTGGGACTGGACAGCCACTCGCTGTTGACTTTTGAAAGCCACTGGGCCCAAATCTCAGCCCTCTTGAAATGACTCATTGCCAAATGCCACAGTGACATTTCCAGGGAAGGGGTAGGTTTGGGGGGGGTTGGTTAAACCAAACCTTTAGTGCAAAAGCCATTTTGTCCAGGACTGGCTTGATCCTGGACAGGTCCAGGTCACTTTGGATAGGTCATAGTTAGTTCCCAGTTTTGGGGGATGTAAGTAAGTCTCCTTCACCCATGGTCTCCTGGACCAACTTCTTGCAAGAATCTTCCCCTCAGCTCATCTCCTGGGCCAGCTCCTGGAGGCCCTGCTAGTATAGCTGAGGCACATGAGCTTGGGGAAAAGGTTTCTTTTGCTGAACACACAAAGAGCACAGACTCTGGGCATTTTGTTTTTGGTGGTGGTGTTTATTTTTTTAAACCCACTTGTAGTTTGGGTTCAGCTGGAAAGCAGGACATACCGACGGAGGGAGGGTGGTCGCACTAGCGGGGTTCCGCGGCAGCTTTGGCGGGAAGCCCCAGGCCCTTGCTCTGGGGAGGTAGGTCCTGTCGTCCACTCCCAGCCGGCTCAGGGAGGCGGCCAGCCCTTCCGTGTGAGTGTTCCGCGCAGAGGAAAGTTGTCTTTCTTTCTTCTGATCTGTGTCCTCAAAGGCCCAGCCAATGGTTTCCCAACACAGTGCCCTGCAGCTGAGGGACACGACTCCCCAGGCAGGCCTGAGAGTCTGTCTGTCTGACAAGGAACACGGGCCGGTGTCTGATGCCAGAAAACAGACTGGGACTTGGCTTCTTGGAGGCCCGCGTCTGGGGCACCCCATGGGGCTGCTCTGGTGGCGGCCTGGCTGTCTGGGCCCCCGCCCCTACAGCTGCCCCGGCCTGATCTGTGGTACCCTTCCCACACCCCCCACCCTCATCCCTCGGAGAAAATAATAGAATAAAATAAAAATCAATCAGAATAAATACCGACTCGGCCAACATTTACATTTACATGGATGGACAGGACGATCCCCAAACAGTGAAGGTTTACAGACTGGTCAAGGAAGGACGAACAGAGAGAATGGGGTCTGAGGGTGCACATCCCGTGGAGGGTGGCGGGGCTCCTGGCCTCGTCTGGGTGAGGTTGGGGGCCTCGCTGGGGCTGCGGTCCCAGAGCTTCGGCAAAGCCACCAGGCCTTGGGGAGCAGGGCTGTGGCAAGCAGGCCGCCTCGGAGAAAAACAATGACTAACTCATCCTGACAGGCAGTGGGGAGACTGAGACAGGATCAACATCAGATGGCTGGACCGCCTCTTCCATGCGCCAAGAACCGCGGGCGAGGGGAAAGCAATGCAAGCCTTAGAAATGCAATATCCAGCTCTGCCTCTCATCACATACATTCAGAGGTCAACTCGGACGCGGCCTTCCTCATGCCACAGAGAGGGGATGGACTTGGGGAGGGGGCCAGGGTCTGTGGGGCATCCACTTCTGTCCTGCAGTTCCTGTCTGAGCAGTCTCCCTCGGGAAGCTGCCTCGGGGTCTCAAATTTTAGGCTTGACTGTTGTTTCTTTAAAAAAAAAATAGTCTTAACGTTTTCCTTCCATATCTGAAAAAGGAGCAGCAACCTGCATTTAGAAAAACAGCTTAAAGTGTTGTTGTTCAGATTGGCTAGGAAGCGCTTTCAAGCAGTGGAATAAACTAGGCAAACAGTATGTCTGGAGCCACCGTGACACGACATGTAATTAAAAATATATTTATATATGTATACATATTTATATTTCACTTCTTCTTCACACTCTGGTCCTAACAGCCAATGGGGAGCTGCCCCTGTGGCCAGGCCATCAAGGAGCCCGTTCGGAGGAAGGAGAATCAGGCCCCAAGGTGCCCACAACACAGCCCCCTCCACACAGTGTTTCGGAGCGTCCTGCGTGAAGCTTGCTCTGAGCTCACCGTTGGGTCTGGGAGACCCCACTCCCCTGCCTCCTCCCTGACCTGAGCTCCCACTCCCAGGTCTCTCCTCTCTTCGGGGGCCTTGCCTCCTCCTAGCGGACAAACCCCACATGCTTCAGGGGGGCAGGGGCCACTGAAGCACAGGTGGAGGCTGCCTGGCCACGATGGCAAGCTCGCCCTGGGGCCTGCCCTGAGCAGCCCCGCATCAGCCCGGCTCCTCCCTCGAGGCCTCCTACCCGCGGGGCATCTGTGTTCCCAGGCTGGGCTGGGGAGGAAGGGCAGTGAGGAGGAGCTTGAGAAAGTCTGGGAAGAAACCGTGGAGGGAGGAAGAAGGCAGGGTTCAGGGCCAGGGACCAGAGGTGGCGTGCGCTTCTTGGGAGAGACCACTGACCTGTTTCAGGTAAACTTGTGCCCCCTACACCTTGTCGCCAACAGGCTCTTTTTAGAGACAGGCAAAGGCTCCACACCTGGGACCAGAGGGCAGGTTGCAGCTGCAGGGAAAGCTGGAGAGAACTGGGGAAGCCTCTCCCCACTCGCCACTCTCAGACTCAGAATCAATCAATCACGAGAACCTTCCCCGCCCATCACCTCCCGGCCAGTCCAGTGTGGACCAAGAGGGGCCTCCAAAGTGACCCAGGGCCTGCCCGGCCTCAATAAAAGAGCAAATAAGGAAGCGGCTAGGCTCTGACATCATTTCCGGGGGGGCTCATCAAAGTGTGTGCTCCAGCCCCCAGAGATGGAGCTATGTGGACACCTGTTCCACCCCACACCTTCCTCTCCAGCCAACAACAGGGCCTGCTCCCCAGGACCAGGGCCTGCCAAGAAACCCCGTCTTGTTTCCCGGCTGGGAAGCTTCATCTGGCGACCCCGCTGGTCACCTGACTGTCCCTTCCATGACCCAGTGAATTCACCCCTTTCCCAAGAGCTCACGGAGGGCTGGGCTTCTACGTCCGAGCTGGGGCAGTGACACAGCGCATTAGCTAAAATCGAGTCCTGGGGAGCCCCCACTCCCATCCTTTTCCCCAGTAAGACCTGCGTGTGGAGCGCAAGACACCATCTAGAATTTTGGTTTTAATTTGCCAGTCTCGTTCTGTGCCCTGTTTGCCACAAGGCCCCTGGGGCCAGGACCAGGTTTAACTTGGTCCCAGTGGTGACAGTATCAGCCCTTTGAGAAAACAGAGGCGCTGGAAGCCAGTGGCGAGGAACACAGGATTCCAGCGGGGACCCCCCGCCGGGGCAGAAGTTTCCAATTACCCTAATTGGCTACTGGCAAGCTGTCTGTGGCTCGAATCCTTCTTCTAGAGGGGAGCTGGGTTTGATCTCCCACTAATCCGGGGGTCCTCAACAGTGCTGACTGTGTGATCACATCACGGGCATTTTCATTGGCCAAAGAGACTTCAAAGCAACCGACTTTTGAAAAATAAAACACAATAAACAAAAGAGTGCAAGTGGAACTGCAAACTCCATCTCCCCCGCTGCGCCTGACCCCCTAGGCCTGAGGCTGTGGGGGCTGCAGTGAGGAGGACTTGGAGGTGGGAGGTGGAGCGTCAGCTCTGCCATGGCTGACAAAGGCCGTCAATTACGGGCGGCTGGTGGGGACCGTGCCTGCCTTTGTCCTCCCGGACATCTGCTACACGTCGCCTGCTGCCAGTTGGCGACTGCGGCTGACAGCATGCGGGAACAATGCGAGCCCGTCTCCGACCCACTTTTTCAGCCTTCCGAGGTCCTTTCTGACCCAAGCGGTGCCCCGGCGTGCGAGGCTGCCAAGGTCTCCGAGGAGTCACAGCGATGAGATCCCTCACACAAAGCTCCGTGGGGGATGGGTCTGATGGGGAGGGGAGAGGCGGGAGTGAGGAAGGGGAGGGCCAGGGCCACCAGGAAAAAGAAACATGCTTCCCTTATTGGTGTGAGCTTGCATGCTCGGGCTGGGGGGCTTGTGCGGGGGCACTCCTCTCAGGGATTTGCTCCCTTCCCCGTCTGGCTCCAGACTGGCCACCGACTCTGCCTGCCCTCCTCCCCATTTCTTTCTCCCGCCAGGGCCACCCCTGTCCTCCCGCCTGTCCATCTGGCCCTGTGCACCAGGGCCCCAGCTGCCCGTGGGCCGCCTGCCAGGCCCCCTGGCTGTCAGGCTGTCAGTTTCTGGATGGTTCTGTTGTAGTACTGCGTGATGGGGGGCGTCAGAGGGTTCCAGCTGTTAGCGTGGAGCTCGATGACCTCTAGGAGCAGCGACCGGGTCAGCATGGACTCCGAGGGGCACAGCATCTTGTCCCGTGCGCTGGCCAGGAGCTCTGTCATCATCTCAGGCAGCTGTTCCTCCAGCAGCCGGCCTGTACTCTGCAGCTGCAGACAGAGATGTGGGGTTAGGATGGCCTCGGGTCCCACAGTGGCCCACTGGCCACCCTGATTAGGTGGGCAGGGATAGGAAATAGCTGGGTTGTCTTAAGGACACACAGGCCCAGACCCCTGTGCCACAGCTGGAATGAGGACAGGGAGAGTGGAAGGTGGAGTAGCCAAGAGTGAGAGCTCACATTTACCAACCAATCTGCCAGCAGGATCCAGAGGGATCCGAATATTGCCTACTGCCCAGGGCTGAAAGAGCTGTCACCAGGAACATGCCTCTTGTCCCTTTTACCCAAGAGCCTCCCTCTTCCAGGAAGCCTTCCCTGACTACATCCGCACCCTCAAATGGCTCCATGATCTGTGCCCCTTGGTGATCAGGGGGCCCTGTGGTCATTTTCACTTGCTGGGGCGTCTCTCTGGCAATGAGCTTAGTCATTATTACATGTGTCCATTGGAACTTGAGAGCAGGGGTGATGCCTCCTGTTTCTCTCGCTCTCCTTTTCTCCTGATCCTGATCCCATCTCCCAGCCCCCAGAAGTGACCTCTGCTCATGCTTGTGACAGGAAGTGGGGGAGAGAAATACAAACTGGGGAAGAAGGCCAGCCAGAGGCCGTCAGGAGAGCCCTAGATAATCTTGAAAAGCCCACTGGGAAGGAGCCCCTATTCCTGGACCAGCACACCCCTGGCCAGTGCCCCCCAGGCCCTCTCTATAGAATCTCAGTCCCCGTCTCGGTCCCCAGCCTTGTCCCATTCATTTTTCTAGTCTCTGCCTTCTTCACAAAGCCTCCCTTGAACCCCTGAGCCCTTCCTGACCTCTCTCCCCTGACTCTTCAGGGATGTCTCTGTACTTACACTTATTCTATCTACTCTCTGAGAGCTATTCCTAACCAGACTGGAAGCTGCCTGAGGGCAAGGACCAGGCTTTCTCCTTCTCCCTAATTCCCCCCTAATCCCAAGCCCCCTGTAGGGTGCCCAGCTGGAGGCCAACAAACAAACTGAGTCCCACAGACCCAAGACTGCCATCTGGCTCCCAGTGCTTCTGGCCTCTGAGCTCCTCAGTGAGGCCTTTGCAGCCAGGCGGAAGCCACCTGAGTATGCTTATGACAGCTGCCAGGCCCAGGTCCTCGTCTGGAAGCCCCTCTCCTGCCTGCATCCCACTCTGAGTGACTCTGGACCATCTGCAGAGGGCAGAGATCTGCCCAGGGACTGGGCCAAAGCCAGGCGCTAAAGGGAGAGCCCAGAGGAAGAGTCTCCATTAGCAGGGGCCACAGCTTAGGGACAGGAGTGGCACCTCCCAAGAGGTGTGCTTTCGGGTGGGCTGTGCCAGCACTGCATTGCCAAGCATTAGCAAAGCAAAGGGAAATATTTGAGGGCAGAGGTAATCAGGAACTTCTTAAGTCATTTGTGTGGCATGCCTGAGCTGGGGCGCAGGGGGTCTTTGGGGGACAGGGAAGTAGGCAATGCCACTGGGAATCACTTCTCTCTCCCTTCAGTCAGGGGTGAGCTGCTCTCACCATCAGTGTTCACTCTGGCTTGGGGTGGATAATTCTGGATGCAGAAGTCCATGCCCACTCCTGAAGCCATCCACCTACCTTCCCCTGGACTTGTAAATGCCTCCAACAACCCTCGTGCCCCTAGAACTGTTAAGGCATGAGAGATGCACCGGCTTTGAGGTTGGGGATGTCGAAGCCCCAAAGCTTACCTCCATAGAGCAGCAAAGGACAGCATCTTCCTTCACATCCTGAGATTGCAAGAGCTGTGGAAGAGAGGGGCAGAGAGCACCACTGAAGGAGACATGCCGGCTACTGGGCCCTGTAGCTCCCTGCAGCCCCCGCCGACCTGCAGCCCCAGCCCTGATGCGGCCTGTAACAAACATCTCCAAGGTTCAGGCTAGAGTGAGAGCCCACAAAAGTCAGAGAGCAGAAAGTCAGTTGCGCCGGGTGGCCGTGATTTCTCCGACAGGGTTAGAGCAGCTGGAGGTCAGTGTGATGGTGCGATGTGGAGCCCCTGGGCCAGGTCTGAACACCGTGATTCAAGAGGCCACTGAAGAGAAAGCCTGCAGCAGTGAGTGCGCTGGGATCATCCAGTGTTAACAACTGGTCAGCAGAAGTCCTCAGGGAAATGAAATTAGCTTAGAGACGTATAATTGGTAACTCCTCTATGGGTGAGGAGGTTCAGCCATTGACTCAGGCACCCCTGGGCCCTGGCCACAGGAGGAAGTCCAGGAGTCAAAGCCCTCTTCTCCACTGGCCCAGTGCTGTAGACTTTCAAACCCACAAACCTGTGGACTTACTCAGGGGCTGGAACTGTTTCCTAACTAGGGCCATGGCTGGGCTGCTCAGCGCTCAGTCCTGCCGTGCTACAGTCCATGCTTCCCCCGACTTGCCTGGCTCATTCTCTCAATCTCTCTGTCTCTTTTAAATTGAGATACCATTCACATAACACAAAATCCACCATTTTAAAGTATATAATGCAGTGCTTTTTAGGATATCCCCAGAATTGTGCAACCATCACCACTATTTAAGTTCTGAACATTTTCATCACTCCCCATACAAACCCATACCCACTAGCAGCCATTCCCTGTTCCTCCTCACTCCAGCCTCTGGCAACTCCCCCCGATTCTATGTCTCTATGGAGTTGCCCGTGCTGGACATTTTATAGAAATAGAATCACACAATATGTGGCCTTTTGTGATTGACTTCTTTCACTTAATGTTTTCAGGGTTCATTCATGTTGTAGCATATACCAGTATCTCATTCCTTTCTGTGGCTGACTAATATTCCATTGTAAGGATATGTCACATTTTGTTTATCCATTCATCTGTTAATGGACTTTTGCGTTGTTTCCACCTTTTAGCTATTAGGAATAGTGCTGCTATGAACCTTCGTGTACCAGGCTTTTCCTGGATGCATGTTTTCAATTCTCCTGGATATTACATAGGATTAGAATTTCTGGGTCATGTGGTAACTCTATGTTCAGCTTTTTGAGTAGCTGCAAGACTGTTTTCCCACAATGGCTCCATCATTTTACACTCTCACTAGCAATGCATGAGGGTTCTGGTTTCTCTACAGCCTCACCAATGCTTGCTATGTCCCAGTTTTCTGATTCACTCTCTCTTGAAGCCCCAGCAGCACTGGTGTGCTGACACCGAGTGCCTGAAACCCTCTCTGGGCGTGGCTTCCGAGAAGCTCACCAAGCCCCACGGACCACTCCTACCACAGCCCTCTTTGCTGGCTAATGCTTTTTCTCTCAGTTCCTAAAACAGGCATTCCTCCAATATTTTCCTCCCCAAATAGTTATTGTCAAGCTTCTGCTCTTCTCAATGCCGTCCCCTCCTGCCATGTCGATCATCACGACTCTCAGGGACCCCACATCTAGCTCGTCTGCACGAACCTTCCCACACTCATTGGGCTTCACTTTCTGGATGACACTATGGCTTTATCATCTTTGCCTCAAAGCAGCTCCATGTCACCTCCAGCTCAAAACCTCAGTCATTTTGCTCTCCCCTTACCATCCATAACCAAGAAGGTACCAGGTTCTGGTAGTTTTCCTGGTAAAACGTCCTGGAGACATTTTAGTCCCACTTTTCCAGGTCCCTGGCCTTACTCAAAGGTGAGGTTTTGTTGCTTCCCTCATGGAGGACTGTCCCGCGTCCTGATGCGTCATCCTGGTCCCCACTTCCTTCCCCTGCAATTTATCTTGTACACAACTGGCCAGAGTGATCTTCCTAGCATGCCACAGCCCACGCTACTGTCCCGCTTAGGAGATGTTGGACGCAGAGACGGTTCTGTTGCTGGCAAACTCGAGAGCATCACCTAGTCACAGGGATCCAGGTCAGGCCACAGTTAACTCCTAACCCACAACTCAAGGGAGCCCAGTAACCAACATCTAACTCAATTCATGCAAAGGTGATTCACTGCTTTTATGGAGAAGCATTTTGGCACATTTCATGTACAGAAATCCTTGAACTATGTCTAGTAGGTACTCAAATATTGAGTGGAATGTGGAATGAATGAAAATATACTACATGCTGTATAAACCATAACAACAACCTTCCTACAACTTCCATAACCTCAAAGTCAGTAGAGATCAATCAGACTACAGACTGGGTCTCTCTGATCTCAACACAGTCCTGTTCCAGATGCCAGGTCTCCTTGATCACACTGTAGAGAGATGCCGAGGTGGCACTTCGAAAGCAGCACAGATCTACCAAAACAAAAGAGACAAAGTCACAAGTACCTGCCGAGCGCCTGCGCCAGGCCAGCACAGTTCACTGCAGAGAACAAGACAGACCAGGCCCTGCTCCAGGGCGGTGGAAATGCAGCTCCGGGGCGGTGGAAATGCAGAAAACAAACCAATAAACATCTCTATCAGATGGCGGTAAGCACTGTGATGCAAAGCAGCACTTGTGAGGTGATGAATATGTCAATGAGTGTGGTTGAATCACTCCACATTGTATACATCTTGATCACAGCTCACTGTAACCTCAAACTCTTAGGCTCGAGCAATCCTCTGTCCTCAGCCTCCTGCGTAGATGGGACCACAGGTGCAGGCCATCATGCCCTGCTAATTTTTTTTTATTTTTTGTAGAGACAGGGTCTCTCTATGTTGCCCAGGCTGATCTTGAACTCCTGGCCTCAAGTGATCCTCCTGCCTTGGCCTCCCAAAGCACTGAGATTATAGGTGTGAGCCACCATGCTTGGCCTGGTTTATGTCTTAAGGGGACCATTCTGCCTGCTGTAGGAGGGAAGGGTGGACATTGAGGGACCTGGCCAGGCATGGTGGCAGTGTGGCCTAGGGCAGCAGCAGGGGCAGAGAGCAAGACGGGTCAGGCCTGCACACGTTTGCCTCTAGAGTGGATGGGGAAGGTGAGAGCTTGGGGCCAGGGAGAAATCATTTCTACTTCAGGCCCCTCTTTGGTTAAAGCCATGGGTTTCCATGACTTCTTCCCATGCAGGTTAAAGGGCCGCACTCCATAGCTGGTGTTTAGACTCCAAATGACTTTGTATCTTTGGGGCTCTCCATCCTCTCTCCATCCTTTAAGGCTGGGTCACTTCCCAGCTGTTCCTCGGACCCTTCCTGACCACCCCAGTCCCTGCCCTCCCTGCTTCTCACTCCCAGGCACTCCTGCTTTCCCCCCCATGCACATTCCACACAAGTTAAGACATTTTCCAGGGTGAACTGTCGGCTTCTTGAAGTCAGGGACAGTGCCAAATTCATCTCTGCTGCCCTTTAACCCCAAGCAAAGCCCCTGGCAACAGTGGGGATTCATGAACTGTTGGTCAACATGATTTATGCATTTCTTTTTTGCATTTTTAAAAGGAAGGGTAGAAGGTGAGAAGAGGGTAAAAGATGGCATTCTGAGGGCACATCCTCATTTACTCACGGAGAGCTGGAGCCAAAGTTTTAATCTGGGCATGATATAGTCAAGAAGGAGAGGCAAAATCATGCCCAGCCAACCCTGGGGACTGGTCATGTTGCTGGCTCAAAATCTGCATTCTGCACATCCTTAATTCTTCCTGTCTCCTGTCACGTTGCATCCATCCACCCAGCCTAGGGGCCCCGCAGCAGGAGCTACAGCATTCACCACAGGAGCTGAGGACCCACGGCAGGCTTGGCTGCAGGCCAAACTAGGGTGCAGGCTCCAGGGCCGTAGGAGTGCTTGATTGGCCAGAGCCACTTTCAGGGACCAGACCTCATTCTCCTTGGTAACTTGGTCAGAACTGGCCTGAGAACTGGGTTTGCAGCAGATACACAGAAAAGAAATCGTTTTGGGATGAGTGAGCAGAGGTGGGCCTTAAACTGCTCAAATGATGAGCAGGTGGAGAGCAACGGTCAACCCAGGGGAGGGAACAGTATGGGCTGCACACGTGACAGGCACTGAGGACCCTCGGGGTCTCGCATCCCACCCACATATTTCCAACTCTGGGCCTCTGCATACTTGTCGCTGGAAATTCTTGGCCACCGCAGATCCACAGACCTCACTCCCTCATCCTATGCAGGGCTCTGCCCAAACATCCCCAGGGCAGACAGGCCTTCCCTGAGCAGCCACCATCCCCCACCTACCTCCCAGCTCACCCTTTTCTGCGGCCCCTGACATATTATATACTTGTTTGCCTATTGCCCGTCTCCCCGCTCTAGAAGGCAAGCTCCATGAGGGTAGGGCGATGTCGGTCCACTGCTCTCCCCAACATCTGGCACACACTGGAAAATATTTGCTCAGAAACATGCTTTGGGAGGCAGGGAGAAAACTCGCCCAGCTGAGAGTCTGTGACAGGAAAGGAAAATGCTCACCCAGAGAGACTGCTTGCAAGGCCCTCTGATGCACGTACCTTTGAAAAGATGAGAGTGAGGGGGATGTGGTTACCTACCCCTCCCCATACCCCTGTCACCAGAAGGGACATGGCACAGAATTATTATCGATGCGTCTGCAAACATAGAGTGCTTGTAGAAATACAAGCTGGTATCACTCTATAGATGGCAATTTGGTGATAATCATCAACAACAGAAGTGTCCAAAACCCTCTGACCCAGCAATATTACTTCTAGGAATTTATCCCACACATATAACCACACACATGCCATACAACACGTGTACACTAGTTGCTATACTATTTTTAGAGCAAAAGATTGAAAGTAACCTGGACCTCTCCCAACAAGGGGACTGGTTAAGTAGTTACAGTATGCCCATGTGGGCTACTCTGGGGCAGTGACCCCTCTCCCGCACTGGGGTCTGCGGATCCCCAAGGAGAGCCAAGGGAGGCTTCCACCAGTCAGTGCCTGGGGGACTTTCTTGGGCCACAGGCAACGGTCTCCCTCATCTAGAGGACCCAAGAGGCCGGGATAAAGATTAGTAAGCAGGTTCTAGAAAAAGTTGGAGGTGGGGGGTGTGACTCATCCTGCAGCAAGCCTACCTGAGTCATGGGGTCCAACATCCAACTGCGAGGGGCTGGTTCAGGGCCTGGGAGGGTCCTGTGACTGTCTGGGACTGGGATCGGAGGGAAAGGTGGGCCTAGCCACACTTACTCAGCAGGGAAAATGGGGATTAACATCAGGAGAATTCTGTGTGGTCTTGCTGGAACTTTTTTTTTTTTTTTTTTTTTTTTTTTTTAAGACAGGGTCTCACTCTGTCCCCCAGGGCAGAGTGCAGTGATACAATCATAGCTCACTATAGCCTCAACCTGCTGGGCTTAAGCAATCTTCCAGCCTCAGCCTCCCAAGTAACTGGGAGCAGGGGTGCACCACCATGTCTGGCTAATTTTTAAAAAATTTTTTACTAGAGACGAGATCTCACTATGTTGCCCAGGCTGGTTTTGAACTCCTGAGCTCAAGTGATCCTCCCACCTTGGCCTTCCAAAGTGCTAGGTAAATTATAGGCATGAACCACCCCACCTAGGCTGGAACTTCTTTCTTATAGTAAATTTCCCTCATATGCTTCCCTAGGGTGCTTAGCAGGAAAAAAAAATCCTTAAAATAAAAATTGCTGGTAGAAATCACAGGAAAGGGGGAAGGTAAGTATCTGGTGGGAATGAAACTCCAGACAGAGTGGGTGGTGGCCCTGGGTGGGGAAGAGGCAGAACCCGGGAGCTGATGCGAAGGAAGGGAGGGCAGCTGGGGAAGCAGCCGCAGGCGGATGTCGCTGGCTGACACAGTGGGGCTGCTCAGTCAATGCTTCTCCCGGGGAGGGAAGTGCGCCTGGGGCCCTGGTGTGTCCTGAGACTAGCTTCTCAGGGGGCTCTGGTCCCTTGCCTGTGCCTGCCAGGTTCTGAGGTTTAGGGACAAGTGAAGTAATAATATGAGAAATTTCGAGAAGAGCCAGGGCCTGCCAGGCACTAGAGGCTCTCAATGTGGCTGCATCTCCCTCCGAGGAGAGAGGGAGACGCTGACAGGGCTGCGTGGAAGCCTCCCGGAGTCCCAGGGGTGTTGACAGTGAGCGCTTTGCCCTGACAATCAAGGGTCTCCTCCTCGTCTCTTCTGCAGCCCACAGCCTGCGTGCCTTCCACTTTCTGTGATGGGGCTGCTTGGGCCTGCAGAGCGGTTCCACAGTCTCCCTGCTCTTTTTCTTCCCTTCTCGTATCTTTGTGACTTCCCCTTCCCATGCCTTCTTCCCTGGGCACGCCCAAACTCCCCGCAGGCAGGCTCCTGGGGCCACTGCCCCTGCTCCCCCTACTCCCCCAACTCCTGTCAGGGCAGAGGACAGACTGCCCAGGGCCCTAAGGCAGAGCTGGGGGCGGGTTCTCAACCCTAGAGCCCCCCCTTCCAACCTTATCTTTCTCTGGGTTGTTTGGGAAAGTCTGCATGAAGCCAAAAACCACATTGTGCGAGAGGCCCTCTTGCAAACGGCCTGCTGGGTTTTCTCAAGGAAGTCAGGGAAGGAGTTTCTCATCTTACTTGTCCCTCCCAGTTGCTGGAACGCAGAGAGCACAGGAAGGGCCTTGGTGGCTGCAGACCATGTCCTGTCCTCCCCACACACACCTGCTTGGTTGCTGGCTTTTGAGAGTGGATTCTCAGACCCTTCGGGGTGAAGGGATGGTGGAGGATGCTCCCTCAGCCTCCCTTGGATGGGGCACACAGCTGAAGGCCCCACCTGCTGCTCTGTGTCAGAACAAGGGTCTGGCCTGCCTCTTCCAGGGGGCCCTTGGCACAACTCCACAGGCTTCCTCCCTGGGGCCCCGTCAGTGCCATTGCCCTCCCGGGCTCTCCATGCTTCAGGGTGACCAATGGCTGCCCAGAAATCCCTACTGAACTTGCCTTTAGTGGGTATCATCCCAAGGGAAGAACCTTTCCAGTCTTGTCTATCTTGGCCTAAATGACCTGTCCTATGTCCCATTTCTTCAGGGCTCTGATTTCCTAAGAGACAGCTCATTTTGGGGATAAACGAATCCCTGCCAGTACGGAGAGGGCCGACTAGCTCTCTCATTTATGTATGTTCTATTTGGGATCGCCAGGAGACAACAGCTTCACTTAGCTCAAACACAGATCTCAAAAATTAGCGGCATCTTGAACAGTGACTTGGACACTCATGTTCCCAGCAGCATTACTGACAATAGCAAGAGGCGGAACAACCCAAGTGTTCACTGAAAGATGAATAAATAAACAAGTGGTAAATCCATACAAGGGGAATATCACCCAGTCTTAAAAAGGAAGGCCATTGAGACACATGCCACAACACGGACGAGCCCCGAAGACATTATGCTAAGTGAAATAAGTCAGGCACAGAAGAACAAACACTGTATGATTCCACTTCTATGAGGTCCCTAGAGTAGTCAAATTCATACAGACAGGGAGCAGAATGGTGGGTGCCAGGAACTGGGAAGAGGGAGGATGGGGAGTGTTTCATGGGGACAGAGTTTCAGCTGGGGAAGGTGAAACAGTTCTGGAGATGGACGGTGGGGATGGTTGCCCAACAGTGTGAATACGCTTAATGCCAAAGAAGTGCACCCTTAAAAATGGTTAAAATGGGCCGGGCACGGTGGCTCACGCCTGTAATCCCAGCACTTTGGGAGGTCGAGACGGGTGGATCACGATGTCAAGAGATCAAGATCAACCTGGCCAACATGGTGAAACCCCGTCTCTATTAAAAATACAAAAATTAGCTGGGTGTGGTGGTGCGGGCCTGTAGTCCCAGCTACTCGGGAGGCTGAGGCAGGAGAATTGCTTGAACCCAGGAGGCAGAGGTTGCAGTGAGCTGAGATCGTGCCACTGCATTCCAGCCTGGCGATAGAGTGAAACTCTGTCTCAAAAAAAAAAAAAAAAAAAAAAGTTTAAAATGGTAAGCTTTACATAATGTTATATGTATATGTATGTATTTATTAACCAATAAAAAATGGTTTTTAAAAAAATGGCAGGCTGAGCGGGGTGGCTCATGCCTGTAATCCTAGCACTTTGGGAGGCCAAGGTGGGTGGATCACTTGAGTCCAGGAGTTTAAGACCAGCCTGGACAACATGGCAAAACCCCATCTCTACTAAAAATACAAAAATTTGCCAGGCATGGTGGCAGACGCCTGTAATTCTAGCTACTTGGGATGCTGAGGCAGGAGAATCGCTTGAACCCAGGTCGCAGAGGTTGCAGTGAGCCGAGATCTCACGACTGCACTCCTGCCTGACCGACAGAGTAAGACTCTGTCTCAAAAAAAAAAAAAAAAAAAAAAAAGGCATTGGTAGGAGCAGGCACCCTCTGTGTGGGCAGGACTGTCCCTCTCCTCTGCTGTCACCTCTGGAAGACGAGCTGCATCCATGAAGGAGACCAGCCTGCTCTACCTGGGGGTCAGAGGCCCTGGGGTCGGGGGAGGAGCAGCCCACTCATCAGAGTCTCTGGCACTGACGGGGATGTGGGCGGGCTGGGGCAGGCAAGCCTCCCGTGCCCTCGAACGGCAAAATGTGTTTCTTGGACAAGAATCCAAGGCAATTGTGCGAGCCCACACAGTGTTTGTTCGGAAGCGAATGCATTCCTGTCCTATTGTCTCTGGCGGAGACTTGTTGTGGGCACGCCCATCATATCCTCCCTCAGGGAGAAACCAAGGTGCTCCAGTCAGGCTGTGGCTGTGGGAGGCCCCACAGCAGCCAGGGAGAAAGGCAGCCTGGTGGGAGTCTCCTGGAGTCCCTGGGGGAAGGGCCACGGGCACAGGCAGGCTGCCCAAGGCATGCCCAGGATGTAACCAGGCTGGTAGCTTGGGATGCCACCCTGCAGGGAGGGAAAGGGGGTGCTGAGAACTCATGGGGCAGCCTCGCTGTGCAGGGAGGGATGAGCACTGGCAATCCCAACATCTTGCCTTGCTAGTGAGGGGTGCAGTGTCCATCCAAGCCGGGCTGGCCAGCCCACCTTGACCACCTCAGCTCACCCACAGCACAGCCTTCTACTGTGGGAGAGCAAACCCAAGCCACCTAATGCAGCTGCAGAAAAAGCTCAGCCCAGCCCCTGCCTGGAGGAGCCTCCTTCCTTTGGTAGCGACTGGAGGTGGCCACAGGGGCAGCCATGAGGGAGCCAAAGTGGGAGGTTTGCAGAGGGCTGTGATTGGCGGGAGAACAAAGCCAGCCTGGGAGCTGAGGTTGGCTGGCTGGGCCGGTGGATGAGCCAGGGCTGTGGGGGGACAAGCTGAAGGTGTGGAAAGAATTGTAGGGCAGGAGAGAGGGAAACAAAGAAGAAAAGATAGTGACGGGTAAAGGCCGTGGTGGCGGAGGAAGCCACAGAAATGGGCACACATGCTGACAGTGGAGACAAAGGGGACAGGGGGAAGAATGAGGCAGAGTCAGAAGAACCACACCTGCAGGGCTCTAGGATGGTTGCCACCTACACGTCAGGAGTACCCTCCGGGACAGCTGGCCCATCCACCCTGTGCCTCTGCGGGACCTGGACCTGTACCTACAGCCAAACCTGGAGGACAGCCCAGGGACTGTGCCTATGGTAATGACGAGTCATCAAGAAAAGGGCCAATTATGTCTAGGTCTCCGTTCAGGGAGGCAGGGAAGTAGATAATCTATCCAAGAAAGGCTATCATCAAAAATGGGCATCAGGCTTGGAGTCAGAAGACCTGCTACACACTAAGACCAGCCCCTGGCATGCCACTTAATCACTCTGCATCTCAGCTTCCTCACCTGAGAACAGGGATAGTATCTGCCTAGGATTGTTTGGAGAGTCAATTGAAATAACGTATGTGAAAGAGCTTTGATAAGTGCAAAGCTTGATTCAAACGTAAGGTGTTATTATTGTTATGATGTTTCTATCTTTATAAACATGTATCTTCCCTGAAGATCTCAACATGCTTTGTATGCACCATTCCTTTTACCCTCATGACACTCCTGTGGAGACAGGGAAAGGCCACAGGTATTATCATATCTGCTTAATTGGTAGAGAAACTGAGGCTCAGTAGTTAAGTGGCTTGCACAACCCAGACAGACAGCAGGTCTAAGTGGAAATGGAAGGTGCTGGAGAGTCCTGGATCTGTGCTCTCTCCTTTACGGAATGATATTAATTTCCCACATTAGCTAATTCTTATTTTGCTGGTTGGAGCTCATAATTTTTTTTTTTTTTTTTTTTTGAGACGGAGTCTTGCTCTGTCACCAGGCTGGAATGCAGTAGCGTGATCTCGGCTCACTGCAACCTCTGCTTCCCGGGTTCAAGCGATTCTCCTGCCTCAGCCTCCTGAGGAGCTGGGACTACAGGCACGCACCACCACGACCAGCTAATTTTTGTATTTTTAGTAGAGATGGGGTTTCACCATGTTGGCCGGGATGGTCTCCATCTCTTGACCTCGTGATTTGCCTGCCTCAGCCTCCCAAAGTGCTGGTATTACAGGTGTGAGCCACCATGTCCGGCTGGAGCTCATAATTTTTAATTGTGTTGACTGGTGACAGGTCAACCTGAGCCTTCACAAAATTGAACTGATTTTACCTATTCTTTGTCTGTATTGGCCACTACCTATCCCTCCATCCACTCATCCACCCTTTTATCCATCTGTCTACTTGCCTACTCATCCATCCATCCATCCATCCACCCATCCATTCTTTCATTCATCTATCTATCCATCCATCCATCCTTTCATCCATGTATCTATCCATCCATCCATCCATTCATCCTTTCATCCATCTACTCACCTACTCATCCATCCATCCATCCATCCATCCGCCCATCTATCCATCCTTTCATCCATCTATCTACTCACCTATTCATCCATCCATCCATCCACCCACCCATCCATTCTTTCATCCATCTATCTACTCACCTACTCATCCATCCATCCATCCATTCATCCACCCACCCACCCACCTACCCATCCATCCTTTCATTCATCTGTCTATTCACCTATCCATCCATCCATCCATCCATCCATCCATCCATCCATCCATCTATCCTTTCATCCATCTATCTACCCATCTACTCATCTATCCATCCATCCATCCACTCGGCAACATTTATGAAATATCTATGGTGTGTTAAATGCTACGTAAGTACAGGGATAACAAGAGGAACAATAAGACTTATAATTTATAGTCTAGTAGGGGGAAAGCAAGAGACTTGCTAGGTATATGGCATTGCAGCATAAGAAGGAATAGCGGTGGTGGAGAACTCCAGGCATATGGCATGAGAAAGATGTAAAAAAGCAAAAAATGTGCACTAGCAGAGTACAATGATGAATAAGTATTTCAAGATGCCTAAAATATATGGTGCTGGGGGTGGAATGTGCTTATAAAGAAGGCAAAGGCCACATATTTAAGGGCTCTAGATGCCATGGTACTGAGTTTGGATTTTATCCCAAGGGACTGGAGAGCCACTGAAAGATTTTAAACTGGAGAGTAGCATAGTAATACCTGTAGTTTAGAAAGATCCTATCTTGCATAGCATGGAGATGTAGGTAGGGTGGTGTTTGGACTGGAGGCAGGGGGACCGTTAGAAGGTTGCTGTGCAAAATTGGGGTGGCTTGAATTAAGGCTGGCAGGAAGGGAGGAGGATATTTAAGAGGCAGAATATGTTAAGAGGCAGAAGTGAGAGTGAGGAAAAGGATGAGGTAGAAGATGGCCAGCCCCCAGGTTTGGGGTTTGGTCAACTGCGTAAGTGATGATGCCATCAACAATATTGGGAAGGCAGGTGGAGGTGGTTTTAGGGAAAGTGAATGAGTTCAGTGTTAGAAATACTGAGTCCAGGGTCCTTGGGGATGACCAGGGAAGATGACTAATGGGAGAATGGTAATCTGGGATCATCAGCACCCAGGGATTAGTCAAGCCGTTGGTGTGAGTGAGGTGACCTGGAGAACACATGGAATGAGAAGAGAAGACGGCAGGGGCTCCCAACCTGAACACAGCAATGCCTAAAGGGTGAGAGAGGAGGAAGAGGAATCCCCAAAGAAGGAAGAAAAGGGTGGTCAGAGAGTTAAGCAGAACAGGAGGAAATGGCGTCATGAGGGCCAAGAGTTCCAAGAAGTACAAGGTCACCAGTGTCAAAGCTCAGAGAGGTCAAGTAAAACGAACAATGACCAAGGTCCCCTGGATTTGGTGATTAGAAGAGCATGGGTGACCTTTGCCATGATGACTTCAGTGCTGCTACTGGGGCAGTGGAAGCCTGGGCTGGGCCCCGCAGGGTTGGAGAGTGTGAAGGAGGTCCAGAAGTGCAGACAGAAAGAGCACACCATTTCTTTCTTTTTCTTTGGAATGAATTTCTGTACTTTCTTCTCTCTCTCTCTCCCCCACCCCCAACCCCAACCCCCTTCTTCTCTTCCTTCCTTTCCCTCTTTTCTTTGTTTTTGGAACTTGCCTATGGAAGAAGAAAAGGGGAGGATGCTAGGGGAAAGACACTGGCACAGGGTCACCTAGAATGGTCTGGGAATCTGGTGTGGTTAAAGTAGGAGAGTCTTGAGCCAGTTTAAAGGTAGAGGTGAGGTGCCAGAGTGCAGGAGAAGAGGATAATCAGAAAGGAGGAAAGGATCAAGTACATAGATCTGCCTTAAAGAAGAGTAGTGTCGCCCTCTGAAGTGGGAGGAAGGGCTGGTGTGGCCATGGATATAGGTGCTTGTGTAGATGCTAATGTTGCCTAGCCTGGCACCAAAGCTACAAAATTAGTGCTGTTTTATGTTAATCGCTCTTGCCTGCCCACAGTGCAGACACCTTCAGCAGAGGGGAATGGGCCCCCATGCCACTTTTCCACCAGTCTAACATGGAGCCTTGGTATGGTGGTTATGGTCAGATGTCAGGAAATTTGTGGTTCTGACCTGGCCTTCAGTCCAAGCTTGTGCCCTGTGGTCTGGCTGCCAGCCCTCCTAACTAAGGCGGGCGGGCACCCTAGCTGCGGACCAGGCGCCCCAGAGGGAATAATTAGCCTCCTTCCTGCCGGGCTTGCAAACCACCCCGTACAAAGTAGCGACAGTGGATGTCACATGGGGGATGCTTCATCCCACAGCTGGCCCGGGGGCTGGAAATATAATTTGGGGCTCAGGGTAGACACCAAATTCTTCTGGAGACATTGGATCCAGAAGGCAGGGCTACAACTCCAGCGGCTTCTCCTGTGGACCAAGCTCCAGCTAGTGGCCTAGACAGGGGCTAGTTCTGTTCACAGTGCCTGCAGCCAGGAATCCCCAGGACCCTGGGGTGGGTTTGAGACTCCAGGGAAGCAGCTGTGCCTGCAGCCAGTGCCTCCCAGCTTCCCCTTTAGGCCCTCCCCATCCCTTCTGGAAGCTTCTTCTGTGCTCACTGCCCCCAGTCCAAGATCCCTCCTGAGGAGTGAACAGGAAATGCCTAAGGCAGCTCTGAGGTTCCCCTTTTGAGAGGGGGCCTCTGAGGGTGAACAGCACCTTCGGAATCCTCATGCTCACCTGGCTTACATATTTTGAGTGGTTGTTCTATGTGCTCTGTGTGTTTTTAAAGATCCATTTGATCTTTCTACCAGATGATCTGAGTTAGGCACCACTGCAACGCTCTTCATGTCACAGCTACAGAAACTGAGGCACAGGGAAGGAAATGATTTCTCCAAGAGCACACAAGTAGGTAGAAAAATAGCTTCACTCCTGCTCCCCAGTGAGTGCCCACATAAATAGGCTGATGGGGAGAGGCCGGCCAAAGGTGGGGTGATGGCACATCTCGTTTGCCTGGAATAGTTCCAGTTTTCACCTGTCATCTCAAAGTCATTAGTAAAAGCATCCTTTCCACTCTCCAAACTGCCCTGATGTGGATCATATACGGTCACCTAGATAAGGGAGGGGTGCTGGGAGGTTGGGAGTTTTTCCCAGGCCTCCCAGATCCCCTGGGTAGTCCACAGCCCTCTGGCCTATTCCATTTCCCTTCCCCGTGCCTCAGGGCCCCCATTATAAATGGGGCCTCAGGGCCATCTAGGGGCTGGGTAGCTGGGGTGGGGAGGAGGGCTCGAGAGGCTACCGAGTGTCCCATGGCCTAGAGATGGGTGGTTATCATCACAGGAGATCAGAACTCCTGGCTCGCAGGCGGCACCTGAGCCTGCAAGCCCTCCCCACTCCGCAGGGAACAGGATGGAGTTATGGTCACTGGGAACACTGGGCACAGCTCCCTGCTGGAGCGCAGGGCCCTGGGGAGGGCAGATGGAGGAGAGAAGGGTAGAAGAGCAGTTACGCCCAGCCCCGCACTGGGCAGCCCAGTCAGCAGTGCCTGGCCTAGGGGGAAATCTCTGACCCTCCCCACTGAGGCCACCCTCTCCAGGAAGGACTGCACTGTATGTCTGACTCTGCACAACAGAGCTCCTTGAGACAGGGGATAGTTTGGGCAGCCAGGGGCCAGTCCTGGGGCTTGGGGTGGGTGGGAGGCTCCCCTCAAAGGCTCACAGGTCTCTGAAATCACAGGTCCCTCCACAGCCCCGACATCCACCAGGCTGGGACCCCGGGCAAGCAGAAGGGTAGGGCAGGGGGCTCAGGCTGCCATCTGCTTCTGGCTGAGCCTCCTCCCTGCCCCCAGCTCCAGCCCCTTCCCCCAGTCCCTGCCCCTGCTTCTGGCCCCTACCTCCACCCACCTGAGGCCTGGACTTGACCTTGCTGGCTGTGGGGGCAGGGTGTGATAAGTGTCTCCGTGGAGGGAGCTAGCTGCCTGCAAAGGCATTTTCCGCTCTCTAAAGTAAACAATCAAACAGGAAATTAATCGAGAAACCCACATCAACGGAAGGTTCAGGTTGTGATTTTCACAGCCCCAGAGCCAGGAAATTCAAAGTTATAGTTCCCATAGTAACTTGCCTGTAGAATCAGCGACTGCTGGGCTGGAACAAGGCCCTGTGGGGTCACCTAGGCCAGCCCTGGCCTCTGGAAAGCATTGCCCAGCAGTAAGTCTGAGAGTCTTGGGGGTAGGCTGCTCTTCTGAGGCGGAACATTAATCCTGGGAACACTGTGAGGCCAGGGCTCTCCCTTCCGCGCTAACAGGAATGGGCGCTCGGCTGACCTCTCAAGGATTCCGTTGACCCATCTTCTATAATATATTCCCGTATTCCCTCTAGCACTCCCACCCACAGGCCTGCGTTCTATGAAACGGGAATAATACTCACCAGGCCTCCTGCCTCACAGGCTTCAAGGCAGCCAAGAGCGGGGCTGAGCGAGGCCTGGTTTTTCACACTCAGGCCCCACCACCCTCGTTCTACTCAGTCCCATGAGGCCTGACCTCCCCATCCCCGCAGCCCCTGAATCTTGTAATTGGCATTGGCCCATCCCCTGGTTGTTTCTCTTCCAAGAGACGTTTCAGTTGACTGACAAGTCCAGGAGCTTCGAAAACAGCCACCAAGGCAGCTCCATTACTTGAACGTCCCCGTCTCTCCAACCCTCCCACCCCCTGGCAGGACCAAATACATTGATATTAGCTGAGTGCACACTTAACTGCCCCCGATTGAGAACCAGGTAGATTTAATGAAACCGGAGGCAAAGCCTCCTCCACCTTCCAGTAGGTAGGGGCTGTGCGTCTTGGGTGGAGTTCTCTTTTGTGTGTGAGCGCTGAGGAGTCCCTGCCTGGCAGGAAAGGAGATAAGGGCGTTGGAGCTCAGCCCCAGAAGGAAACAGTCTGGAATCCTTCCCTGAGAGCCACCCTGCCCTCCCACCCGAGATGGCCACTGATAGCCGCCTGGCCTTATCAGCCAGGTGCGGGACCCCTGGGATAACACCGGCTGAGGAGACAGTGAGCGCTTCCCAGGCACCGGGCTGGTGGGAGAGGGGCCTGCCCGCCTGCCCGCCTGCCTGCCCACCAGCCTGGCCCCCGAGCCAGCGTCTTGAATCGAGCAAAGCAGTGGCAAGACAGAAGTGGCGCCTGCTGGAAAGAGACAGAGCGTCTCCTTGATTTCCTAACAGGCCCAGCCATATGCCAGGGGCGGACAGGCCAGCTCAGAACGCCGGGCCTGGCTTGCGAAACAGTCCTTTCCTCCTCTGGGTAAGCTTCCCTGGGGGCGACTAAACCACAGTCCAGCCACTCAATTCCCTAGAGGAGCTGGGCTGAGCCGGGGCCACGAGGGCGCTGCCCTAGGCAGAGAGGTTGAGTTCTCTGCTGTCCCAGAGGGAAGCTCAGGGAGGGCCCGGCTGCAGAGGCCACCCATCAGCTCAGAAGGAGGGCCTCCCCATGCCCAGAGCCCAGGGGCCGCTCCAGCCACTGGCCCCTGCTTGCTCACCAACTGGGCACAAGATTATCTGCAAGGCTATGCCAACCTACAGTTCCCTGAGACTGGGAAGAAGCTTCTTAGAAGATTGTTTATGGGATGCCTACATTAACCAGGTGCCCTCTTAAATGTAGGGGGCTTTTACCAACCTCAGACTTTACAGAGCATGAGTCAGGGAGGGCATAAATAACGAGCAAGGGTCATTGGAGGACTTAGAAAAGGGACACACTGGCCCACTCCTCTGCCACCAAGCACGGAATTTTGAAGAAACCTTTGCTTAAACCATGTTCTTTTTTGCATGATAATCTTGGCATGCTGTATTGAAGAAGGATCAACACTTGTAGTAGCCTGGTTTCCAGACAGAGGTGCCCATCTTCTGGGGTGGGGGTGGGGGTGGGGGTGGAGTGAAGCCTTGTGGCAGGAGCTGGGTTGGAGGGCTATCCTTTGGGTGAGGGAGTGCAGCTGGTTCTGCAGTGGGTTTGGGCAGAATGCAGTAACCAAGGACCAACTGGGTAGGGACAGCTGGGCCGGAGACAATTAAGCTCTGTTACTGTTCAGAGAAGAATCGGGCTGTGCTAAGGGCATAATTAGCATTGTGCTCAGAGGAGCAGCCACCCATTGGAGGAGCAGACAGGCCTGGGCTGAGAAAAGGGCCTGGGGCTGCCCAGGGTGTCAGTAGGGATTTGGTAAGTACTCTTTGCCAAGTCTAAGAGACTCGGAGATAAGAGAAGTTAATTGGCACCTGGAAGTTTGTTTGGCTTTAGAGCCTTACCCTTAGCAGAATATAAATTTTAATAATGGGGCAACTCTTTTTCTAAGTCGAGATGATCTTTTTGGATGAATGAGCATGTGAGTCAATATTCTGTTATCACCTGTGCATTCTCACTGTGTTCAACTGACCAGGCTGCATGGGGATGAGGGCTTAGCCTGGCATTCAGGCGGCTCGCTGGGCCACTTCTGCTCTGGGCCCTACAGTCTTCCCACCTTGCCCCCTTCACAGACCTCCAATCCACCCAAACTCGTCTGTTCACAGGTCTAAGGATGCATCCTGCCCTTATCTGCCTCTGGGTTTTGCTGACAATTCTCTTGGCTGAGCATGCCTTTTCTGATCTTGGCTCCATTGACCAGATCCCTTAAGAACAATGGTAAGAGCCTCATCCAGGAAGCCTTCCCTGATCTTCTCTGACCTCCGTAGCCAGAAGACTCACCACTCCCAGCCTGGGAGCAACTGTTGCTTCTACCTAGTTCTAGGTCTAGTCTAGCATCTACCTAGACTAGCTTTTCTTCACACTGCTCACACAGGCACTTGAGTCCACCTGGGCCTCTCGGAAGACCTGAAGATTGGATTTGAAAGAAAGCATGGCTTTCTGCTGGCTGGGGTGAGGCCATTCGGAAGGGCCTCTGTTCCCTGGGATGCAGCCCCCCAGTGACATAAAGCCTTGGAGCACAACAAGTCCAACTTCTCCAGGGTGTCTGAAGGGGGTAGTAACAACTTTTCATTCATTCACTCATTCAACAAGGAGGCACAGATCCTGGCCTTATAGATTTATGAGTCTAGGAGGGAAGACAGATGTTGCATAAGCAGATCAGCATTTGGAACTAAGGCTGTAAAGTGAGACTGCCTGGATTCTAATCCTGATTCAGCCGCCCCACCAGTCATGTTGTGCAATACAGGCAACCCCTCTGTGTCTCAGTTTCCTTACCTGTAAAGTGGTGATACTAATATTACCTCCCGCCAAGGGTAGTTGCAAGGATTAAAGAAGAGGATGTGGGGTGTTTAGGATAGTATCTGGCACACAGTGAGCTCGGTCAGTGGTGGCTCTTAGAACTGAGTGGGCTGCAAGTGGCACAGTGTAGAGTGTGCTGTGGGGTCAGTGACGGGAAGAACTGTTCTCACCTGGGTCAGGAGAGGAGGCTCAGGGACAGCTTCCTGGGAAGAAACCTTTGAAGCTACAGCCAGGAGAGTGGGGTGAGGAGAGGAAGAGAGGGAAGGACACCACAGGCAGGGAGAAAAGTGAGTCAGGAGTGCTCAGAGAGAGGGTGGCAGGGTGAGACTGAGAACAGGAGGGGTGAGCCAGTGAGAGGGCTGGTGGGGTAATTCAGGGGAAAGGAAACAGTGGCCTAGCCGAGCCGTGGAGAGGCAGAAAAGTGGTGGCCAGATTCAAGAAAATCTGCAAGAGCTGCTGCTCACAGACCCTGGGAACTGGCAGCAGGGTGGCGGTTGGTGGTGAGTCAGGGATGGCCTCGGGGCTGTAGCCGGCACAGCCTGGAGGTCCTTCTCCGGGAGGAGGTGCAGGCTTGGGGAGCAGAAGACAGGTTCCACTAGGACACTTAGAGATTGAGGGGCTGGTGGGCAGGCCCGGGGAGGTGTCAGGGAGATGTGCCTGGGCCTGAGATGCAGATCTAGAGTTTGGGGGCTGCTGCTGCCCTTGAATCTGCCTGTGACCAACACAGGCTTCAGGGCCTGCCCTGGCAAATCACTATTGCTGCCTGTCCCTTGGCAAATCCCTCAACTTCTCCATATGCTTCTGGTTAAGGGGCCACCAAATAAATGAAGTGTTGGAGAAGGCTGTAAAGGTGAACACAGTGCCTAAGTGAAGGCTCCTACACTAAACTCTGTGTTGGCCCCGAGGGAGACAAAGGTTGTGCAGTAATGCATATACTTTGAGCCCACCCAAGTGTGCACAGCCACAGCCTCAAGCACAGACATGCTGTCTGTGTTGTGCTTTCTATGAAGTGTGACTATAAAGGGGACTCGTTTCAGGGGGGCGGACAAAAATCAATCTATATATTTCCTCAGATTTTCTCCAGTATCTGCCTGTGCAAGGACCCAGGTGAGACATCTTCCAGGCGGCCACTGCACCGAGAGGCTCACGTGAGGCGTGGGCAGCCCAGCACGCTCAACTCTAGGAGGGCACTGGCTTGGGAAGGCAGCGCACCTGCCTTCTGATAGGCATTTCGCCTGGGATGAAAGTTCAGTGTAGGCTCCAGCTCCTATGTGAGTCTACCCACAAGCTGACGGGCTGTTGATGTGCCGGGGTGTTGGGAGAAAAGCAGGAAGAAAAAGCAGGTGCTTTGTTGCTGTCATTTCTGGATTTTAATTAATGCCAAGACTACACACTTGGAGAAGTGAGAACTCTTCCTACTTTAGGGACACTGATAGGGAGCAAGTTTGGGGGAAAGTAGAAAAAAAAAAATCAGTTCTTCTATTTTCCAAGGTAAAATAAAACCCCAGGGAAGACGGACTTTGTTTTTAAAAGTCTCTCTTCCTCAGTGTGCCCCCGTTCTGGCATTGGACAGCAAAACCAAATCAGAGTTCCAGAGACAGCCCCACTCCCTTCCCACCAGGGAGGGTGTGGGTGTGGGGGATTCTTAGCCTCGCAGTCACCCAGTTGCCCAGGGCTGCTGGGACAGGTTGGTGGGGGGCAGGGGCTCAGGGCATCTGGGAGCAGGGAGAGGGATGCATCCAGTGGGTAGTTCCCAGCCCTGTGTTTGTACTGGATCCACCTAGGAGAGAAACAGATCCAGCCCTCACTCTTTGATTTTAGGGCTATGTAGGGCTGTGGGGGCCTAGGAATCTGTATAGTAAGATCTCTGGGTGTTTCTGGTGCAGTCAGAGTGGGCACCACTGAGAAAAATGTCTCTTCAGGTGGATGGGAGTGGCAGAGGCTCCATAAATGACTGAGACCCTCTTCTTAGCTCTAATCGCCTTTGTTCAGTTTGGGCTGGGCTCACCCAGGCTCAGGTGCCCCTAGGCCCATAGCTTCCACCCCTGCCTTCAGGTGCTTCCCCCAGCCCAGACCTCAGCCCTCCCCAGCTCCCAGGCCACTCCTCCTCCTCTGAGTTCCTGCAGCACTGAGAATTTGAACCCCGGATGTGACATGAACAGTGGTCTCGGTGTCCTCTGAGTGGGGATGTGTGCCAGGCCCCTGCTAAATGCTTGATGGGCCTTAGACAGCCCCCTTCTCGCCCCCACCCTGTGAGGCAGGCACCAGTGCTCCCTTGCTCTAGGGAGGGGCTCTCGTGAGCACAGGGATGAGGATTTGGATCCGAGACCATGAGGCTGTTGTTCCTCCCTTTACCAATGTGTGTATGGGAGGCCCCGGGAAAGGAGACCCCCCAGCCCCTGGGCATTGGATGGGAGCCAGGAGGAGAAAGATGAGGTCCCCAGTCCTTGGCAGCTCGTAACCTCTGGACCTCACTCCTTTGCCCCCAGGCCAGGCAGTGCAGGCTTTGCTGTCAAACCCTGGCTGCCTCAGTTTCCTGCCCTTCCCCGCTCCTTATGCGATGGGAAGGGACAAACAGCCCAAATGTGGGCAGGGATGCAGGACTAGTAGCTGACAATTTCCCAGGGTGTCCCACTGGGCCCCGGCGCCCTCTCAGCAGGCTGATGGCAGGTGATGTGGACTAAGCAGGGGACACACTCACAGATGGCATCTATGTGCGGTGCCCAGGAGGAAACCAGAGGCACAGCTTGGGTGGCAGCAGAGCCAGCACCAGAACTCAGATTTCCTGACTCCTAGCTGGTTGTTCCTGCACCAGGCAAAGAGGAGAGGAGTGGAGGAGGAAGGCCTGGCTAATCCTTACCTGGGCATGACCAACGGCAGTCTCCTGGGGCTTCCCACCCTGCTTCCTTGCCCCTCTAGGGGAATGGCAGGTGCTGGCAGTCCAGGGGGACCTGGTGGGATGTTGGGACCTGGAGGGCTGAAGTGATGGGGTTGGTTGGGGATCTCACTCACTGGTGCCTCATAATCGCCCAGGCCTTTGGAGTTGAGGTGTGAGAAGCTGGAGGGCCTGCCCCATACGCATCTTAGGGGGCAGCAGGGTGGTGGAGGGGTCCCCTAGATGCCAGTGGTGACCCCACTGTCCTCCAGGCAGAGCAAGCAGGGCCCACACAGCCCTTAGAATCAGGCCTTGAAAAAGACCAGGCTGAGCATGGGGACCCTGAAGGGCAGCCCAGGGCCTCTCTGGGGGCTGCTGGCTGTGCTCAAGAGGGGGCACCTGATGGGACCACGTCAGCTCCAGGAGAAGCACAGAATATACTTTTTAACTCTGACTTTGTTGCTGGGATCTTGAATGCTCCAGAGCACAGTGGGAGCTGCCTCTTTAGAGAAGCAGCTGCTGGGGGAGGAGGGAGGTGGGGCCTGGAGGTGGGTGGGCTCCAAGGCAGTGGCTCCTAGGGCGGGGGTATGCATTTGTGCCTTCCTGCAGCAAATGTTCATGGGCTAGAGGGCCTGGGGCCATGGGGACCAAACAGCCCGGTGCCTGTCCCCAGGCCACCTACAGTGGGGGGCAGAGGGGTAGAATGACAAATGCAAACAGGGAGCTGGGAGGGAGCCCCCTTTGGATGGATGAGGTGATCAGGGCAGGCTTCTCTGCAGAGGAAACCCAAAGGTTGAGTAGGGGGCAGCCAAGTCAGGGGTGAGGGCAGGTGGGGGGCTTGGTGGGAAGGGACCATGACCGACAGCTCCCACACAGTCCCCTCTCCACACCTGGCCTGACATGTCCTACTTGATCCTCACATAGTCCCATCACTGCTTTATGGACCACGCCAGAGGGGGGAGATCAGATGATCTCCAGTGTGCCCAAGGCCACTCATGGGGGTCAGGGAGCTGATTCTCAAATCCAGGAATATGCCTTGAAAGTCTGGGGCTCCCTTCTGCACTGTGCTTATAGATGTGGGATCCTTAGCTTTCTTGGGAGCATGGATCCCTTTGAGGATCTCGATGAAAAATCTGCACCTCTCCCAGAAAAATGCACCTCTGCACAGGTTCACAGATGTCTGCATACAATTTCAGGGTTCTCAGACCCTGAAGGCCACCAAGGGACCCAAGTACATGAGCCTTACACAGCACAACCTAAATCGTCAATGGCAATGTCTCAGGAGTGTAGGACAGTGACTGCCTCTGTAAGACCATCAGCACAGCCATGGCCACACATGTTGTCTGGAGGATCAGGTGGCCTTTTTCTGTGGCTTTTGAGGTTGAGGCTGGGTACCCTTGTGGCTAATGCATAATGCCAGGATGGCCAATAAAGACACCATAAAAATTCCCTGCCGTGTGCCTGACACTGGACAGATTTAATCTCCAGGTCTTCTGGGAACCCCGCAGAGGCAGGGGCTGTTTTCTCATTTTACTGATGGAAACTGAGGCTCAAGGAAGTGAAGGAATTTGTTTCAAGTCCCAGGCAGTACCACGAACATGGGATTTGAAATCACGCAAGTCTGACACGCAAACCTTGGTTCTTTCCTTTTTCCCTTCTCACAGAGGGTGCTTTTCGCTTCCCGGAAGCTGGCAGGGAGTTCCTCTAAAGCGCAGGTTGGAGTGGTCAGAAGGGAGCGAACTGACAGCACGAGGAAGGCTCAGCGCATGCCAGCTCCACTCACGGGAAATGACTCACTGCAGCCCTGCTGCTCTCGGGCTCCGGGGGACACATCCACATTTCCTGTATCTCGGCTAGAGCCTTGGGCAGTGTGAGCTGGCAGGGCAGATCGCTGAAGGCGGCTAGAGATAGAAAACCACCCAGCTCTGCATCCTGAGACAAAGAAGCCTTTCCCTGGGCTCATATGATAGAGGTACGTTGCCTCTGGGCCTCAGTTTTGCCATCTGTAAAATAGGGTGAAGGTCAGACTAGATTGGGCATATTCAGTGTGGGATCCCCCTAATGACGGCATCAGCATCACCTGGGAAACTGCAAATTCTCCTTTATGACAGTGGCTCTCAAACTTTAATGTGCATTGAAACCATCTGGAGGAGAGGAGCGTTTCCCACTTGAGAACCACACAGCGGGATCAGGGAGGGGCGAACTATAGTCCACCGGCCAAATCTGGCCATGGCCTGCTTTTTATGGCCCATGAGCTAAGAATAGTTTTTTCCATTTTTCAGTAGTTGGGGAAAAAAATCAAAGAATATTTTGTGACATATACAAATTATATGAAATTCAAATCTCAGTGTCCATAAATAAGGTTTCGTTGGCACACAGTCACTCTCAGTCATTTGCATATCGTCTACGGCTGCTTTTTCCGCTATGAAGACAGAGTGGAGGCGCTTGCTCTCCTGGTTACATGCTGCTGCTCACGCCCTACACCTCGCAGGGATGTGGTTAAACTCGGCTTTGCCTCTTGGCCTGCAGAGCCTAAAATATTTACTATCTGGCCCTTCATACCAGACATTTGCCGACCCTCATCTACAGAGAGAAGGGAAAGGAAGAGAACGGGAGGGGAGGGGAGGGGAAAGGAGGGGGAAGGGGAGAGAAGGGGTTTGTGCAAGAGCTGGGGTCCCTTCTGGGGAAAAAATGAGCTGTCAGGGGCTTTTGGAATCTGAGAGAGTCCTGCTCTGCGCTGGGCCAACATTTGGAATCTTTTGCACAGTTGCTTTGAGGGTGATCTGGAAGGCCCCTCTGACCAATAAAGACCTTCCCTCTTGCCTGTATGAAAACCTAACATTCCACTTCTAGAGCAGGGGCTCTTACCTGGGAAGCCCCCCATCCAGAGGCCAGGCTTCGGGGGTTCTAGGTAAGCTTTTAAGCATGCAGGTGTTTTCTGGGGAGAGTTTGGTGGCGCCAGTGACCTTCCCTACCCCTCCCAAATCCCAAGCACCCTTTTTGTTCCTTTGGGGCACACATTTTTCTCTCCCCACCCCTCCTTTCAAAATGTGAAAGTCCCCGGAAGGGGGACACTGTGCACCTACATCTTCCTACCTAGGAAAGGGGTGAGGTGATCTGATGGGACTAGGCAGGCTTTAGGAACGTCCAAGGAGTCTGAGGAGAGGTGGAGGGCGGCGGGGGCAGGGGGGCATTTAGAGAGAGGAAATGGGAAAGAGGGCATCTTTCCCAGAGGGCTGCAGGACCTCCGAGCCCACACTATCTGTACTCATCCACTTCTCCGCATCAGCAAGAGGCATCCAAGACTCGCAGCCCACACGGCTACCCTCCCACCCTCACTGGTGGGCACTTCCACTCCCCAGGCCCCACGAGGCCTCCCGCCTGCAGCGTTAGCCAAGCAAGTCTCAACTCTGGCCCTGGGATTCCAGGTATTTTCCCAGCCAGCCGCACCTCATCTAATTGCTTTCCAGTCAGCTAATCCCTGGCCCACGCCCTCCACTCCAGCCAGGCAAGCCACCTCTGTGTGGCCAGCAGGAGCTTCTGAGACTTCCCATGGCATGCATCCAAGCCTGGGGCAGCCTCTCGCCTCCCCTTGCCCAAACCACATCCTCTTTGCCCTTCCCCACACCTCAAACTCTCCTCTGACTAACATTTCCAAAAAAAGTAGAGCTTGGTCCAGTCCAGACCAAAAGCGGCAGACTAATTCATTCCCTACCACCTCCGCCCCCCAGACTCAGCACTTCCTGACTATCAGGAAAGAACAATCAGCAAAAAGTGGAGCTGTACCTACTGTTCAATTTCTAGAGCTAATTGTTTTCAGCAGGGTTTTGGCCTTAATTAAAGGATAATTAATTACTGAATGTGTGTTTGCATTTCCACAAGTGTGTTTGCGTTTCCTAAGTCTGGCTTTTAACCCTGGGAAACCAGATTCAGCAAATACTTTCATGTTTCAATACTTCTGAGTAAGGGAGAAGGTCTTAATTACAGAAATGGTAGTCCTGTGTAATCAAGGGGCAATGCAAGAATGAGCTAATTGTGCCTTCCACACACTCGGCCACGATTTCTGTCGAGCTGCTGTGAGGAGAGGGTGGCAGCTGCCCAGCCCTGCCCAGCACTGTGTCCCTATCCGTGGATTCTCTTATCCCTGTCACGCAACTGGCCACCCCTGCCACAGCCCTTCTCTTCCCTTTCTATGTGTTTCTTCTTTCCTACCTTTTCCCCCTCTTTAGCACTTTGGGAGGCTGAGGCGGGATTGCTTGAGCCCAGGAGTTTGAGACCAGCCTGGGCCACATGGCAAACCCCGTCTCTACTAAAAATACAAAAAATTAGCCGGGGGTGGTGGTGCACACCTGGAGTCCCAACTACTTGGGGGGCTGAGGTGGGATGATTGTTTGAGCCTGGGAGGTTGAGGCTGCAGTGAGTCCTGATTGTGCCACTGCATTCCAGCCTAGGTGACAAAGGGAGACCCTGTCTTAAAAAAAAAAAAAAAAGAAGGACCACGTTTTCCAGACCCTGCAGGGAGCTCTCCAGCCAGGCAGCCCCCACACGCACACTGGCTGTGAGCTTGAGGTTTTAGTATTCATGGTGCCCCTTTGCTGCCTGGTGCTATGAGAGGCTATGAAAAGTACTTTTGAGACTTTGGGAATCCAGTTACTTTAGGGGTCCAGAACTGCTCCAAAAGCCTGAGGATTCCAGAAGCTGCCTCCAGACCGCCTGGTCCAGCGTAATAGCCACAGGCCACATGTGGTCTTGGGCACTTCAAATGTGCCTGAGTCCAAATTGAGAGCTGCTTTCAGTGTAAACTACAGACTGGATTTCAAAGACTTCGTACCAAAAGAGAAGAACGTAAAAAATATCTCATTGGTACTTTTTAATATTGATTACACGTTAAAATGGTGATTATTTGGATATATTAGACAGCATAAAATTAATTTCACCTGTTCCCTTTTCAGTTTTTTAAAATGTGGCTACTAGGCCATGTAAAATTACACGTGGCTCACGTTATATTGTTACTGGCCATGTTGCTCCATAGGTGAATTCTGCTGTAATTGTCAAGGTTTCCGTCATCTTCAAGGTCTGTGACTGTGGGTGTCCTTTCCCACCCACTCCATTCTCCCACCCTTCGTGCCCCCTGCACATACTCCTAACTTCCTCCGTTCCTCATGGGAGGGGCAGTGAGGAGGGCCCTGCTGAGCGCTGTCACAGTGTACAGCAGGTGCCCAGGCCCCCACAACAATCCCTTCCCCATGGGCTCTTGGTCCAGGGAGCTTTGCTAGAAGCTCCTCCTGACTTCTCCTAAAGATTGTGGTTTGTGGGATTCTGACTTTGGACAGACTGAATCTCATATGAAGCTCGGTGGAGGGTTGTTGAGAAAAGGCCACTTAACCAAAGGCAGGGACAGAACAGAGGCAGCTTCGCAGGCTGAGAGCACTGTTTGCACTGGTTCACTCACAGTGTGGGCACAAATGCCCCTTTTGGGCTTGCTTGCTGGGGTGATGGGGGGTGTTTCTTTTCCCTTTCCCGTTCTGAGCTCATCTCCAGGGACCACTACCAGCCAGCCCCACTCTGCTCACTCACATTGCCCCTTCAAGGGTTCTGGATTTATCTCCACTGAGAAATCATTCCAGATGAATTCTAGAAGGGCTGACTATTGTCTCTGGCTTTGCTCAGTCTAGGCACTCTACTTCCTTAATTCAGTCAATAAGTATCTACTGAGGACCTGCTATATACCAGGCACTATTCTAGGCACAGGGATACAGCTGTGAATAGACACGTTCCCTGCCTTGAGAGAGTTTCCATGCTAGTTGAGAGACAGAAAATAAGCGATTAACAAAGAAAACTCCAAGCCAGGCACTAGTAGGGCAATGAAGAGAAGGCAGTCAGGCTGGGGACAGTGGTGGGGGGACAGGCTGGGGCGTGGTCGGGGGGGGGTCTGAGAAACTGACTTCTGAGCAGAGCCCTGGACAGGCACCTAGAAGAAGGGCCTTCTCCCAGAGAGTGAACCAAGGTCCTGAGCCTTATTCTACTGTGTTCTTCCACATTTTTTCCCAGTAAGCAGCACTTCAGTTTATACAATATAAAATATGCTGTGAACCCATCCTTTTATTTCATGTCTTTGTTTTTTGGGGGTGGTGTACCTCTCAGACAGTGAGCTACAGGGAAGGGAGGAAGTCAATTTATAATCAACAAATCTGGCCGGGCGCGGTGGTTCACGCCTGTAGCCTGTAATCCCAGCACCTTGGGAGGCCAAGGTGGGCGGATCACCTGAGGTCAGGAGTTTGAGATCAGCCTGGCCAACATAGTGAAACCCCGTCTCTACTAAAAATACTAAAATTAGCTGGGTGTGGTGGCACACGCCTGTAATCCCGGCTACTCAGGAGGCTGAGGCAGGAGAATCCTTGACTCTGGCAGGCGGAGGTTGTAGTGAGCCAAGATCACATCACTGCACTCCAGCCTGGGTGACAGAGCGAGACACTGTCTCAAAACACAAACAAACAAACAAAAATAATTAACACATCTACCCAAGGGCCAGAGAGGGTAAGCTGCAGAAGACTGTCTGCCTCCGAAACCCACCTTCTTCCCCTAGCATTCCCCTCCTCTTCCTGGCTACAAGAGAAGGCTGATCCTGGAGGTTCTTTCTCAAAAGGCCTGGCCCCGCCCACACTCTGACCTACAGTTCAGTGCTGGCGGCAATGAGAGCAGAGCCATCAAGAAGGAGCTGGAGCCTGGCTTGGTCTTGAGGTGGACAGAAGGGAGGAGAAAAGTTAGTTCCCTAAACATCATTCACATCTGAAGGCAAGAATGGCAGCAGGTGGATATCATCAATGCTAATTTGAGCTACAGGTCCTGAGAGCTGGAGTCGGTTGGAGAAAGATCCACAGGGGTCCTGGAGAGCTGTGTGTGCTTTATTCACCCTCGGCTCTTAGTGCAGGGCACCGTTTGCTCCTCCTCTCCCCAGGAGACAGCAGCTCTGTGAGGACAGGGACCCCAGCGTGCTTATGCCCAGGGCCTAGCAGTGGGTCCAGCACTCGGCACCCCAACTGCTAGATGGAGGGCACCTGTGCTGGAGCACGGAGGCTGGGCAAGGCGGGGGCCCACTCTGGGAAGCACGGAGGTCGGGGGGCTCTGCAGACGTCTGCAGAGTTGCCTGGATCCTCCCTTAAGGTGGGAAACAGGCAGGCTTATATTTTGACTTCTGAGTTACCTGGAGTAACTGATGGCCATTTTTTGCACCCCCAGTGCCCGGTTTATGATCTCTGAAATGTGTAAGTCACTGTCCCTCCCTCCCAACCAGTCCTCCCAACCAGACCTGCACTCAGAAAGTCCCCCAGCCTGGCTCCCCTAGTGTTTGCTGCCATCCACCTGCTGGGAAACTGCTAAGGGACGGTGAGGGTGTGTGAGCAGGAGGGCATCCTACTGTGTGATTTTAACCCCAAAGGATTACCCCAAAGGATTTAAAAATCTAGACGGATGCTTGTGCCTGTGTACATATACATCTTGTACCCACAACTCTGGCAAGGTACGATTCTATCCTCCCCAGTCCCGTCCATTAAACAGCTCAGAAAAAATAATCTGCACCCCCTCCCTCCTCCAAGCCTTCAGCAGCTGCCGGTCCCCTCCCACCTTCAGCTCAGCTCTGCAGATAGCAGGGGCCTCTTGAAGTTCAGACATTAATTACCCAGTCAGAAGATTTTTCAAAATTACAAGGCATGGCCCCAGGAGATAAGAGGGAGGAGGAGGAGCAGGCGGGGGAAGGAGATGGGAGGGCAAGCCGTCCAGGGCTGCGAAGGCGGGGCTGGGGGCTGGGAAGGTGCCCCTCCCCTGGGGAGAGTCCCCCTACTGCCCTCACTGCCCCCACTCGCCAGGCTTGTGCCCTCTGCAGGGAACGCAGAGAACAGGGATTTATAGCTCGTGCTGGGCCCATGCCCGAGGGTGCGTCTGTGGGGAGAGAAAGGGCTGGGGACAGGGATGTAGGACTTTTCTTGTTGGTCCTGAGCAGAAAAGTTTTGACATCACCATCTCTTACCTCCCTACCTAAGCCTTAAAGTAGAATTCCGGCTGGAAAATGGTTTTGTGAATTTAAATTGTTTTCAAGCAAGGGGAGATAGGCGAAATCATTCTCTCTCCCTAATTAGGAGGATGGATGGAGCTGAGGACTCCCCGGGAGGGAACTGGAAGGAAGATTTCACTGGGGGTCAGCAGGGCAGCTCAATCTATGAAAAAATGCCAAATAGTTGATGTTTATTAGGAAAAACTGCTCCCTGCTATATACCCTTCATAAGGCTAGTTAATTCCCCCGTGAGCACATGCATTCTGAATCTCTGTATTTCAGAGAAAATACCCAAAGCTTGCACCCACACCACCTTCCAAAACAGGATTAAAGAGATGTCCTCCTGAGCCATGTTGAGATTGGTTTAGAAATCTCTTGAGTTTTAAGACTGTTTAAAAACGGTTCTGGCTTGGAGACTGGTTTCCCTTTGGAAACCAGTGTCTGGTGGAAGCTGGTATTTTTATAACTCTAGGCTCTCTATCAGATCCTGTGTTACCATGGTTGCTAAGGGGAACACTGGCTTCAAATTTCACATTTCAGTTTGCAGAGTCTGGCTAAGGAAGCAGAACAGTCAAAGGGTGGGGGCTGGGGAGAGGGTCGGGAGTGGAGGTGGGGTGGGTGGGAGACTCCAGTTCTATCTTGAGGAGGTCAAGGATCCAGGCAGCTTCAGATGGGGCCGCTTCCGTGTGTTTATGTGTGTATGTTTGGGGCGTGGGGGTCTGGGTAGGTCGGCGTCACCCCGCTGAGTTAACTTCACTGTGTGTGCTGAGCGGAAGAGGGGAACGAAAGCTCTGGAGGGGACAAAGCGGGTGGGAAGTTATTTCGGCGGAGGTTACAGGAATGGTCGCTTAAGCTGGGGTATTCATAGCAGCAGCTGCTGGCCCTGCAGGGACTCCGATGCTAAGCCAGTGCCCAGGGGCTGGGTACCTGGCCCTAGGAAGGCTACATTCTCAGAGGAACATTCCAGGCGGGGTCTGTGCCTAAGATTAGGGCTGGAATAAACTGTTCATGCAGAAAGGTTCTCCTGATTTTTCAAGCTGCATTCTAGCCCTTCACTTCCTGCTAAGTCTTTTTGTTTGACCGTTACAGTCAGAACAAATTTAAAGGCAATCAGGAGCTGGGGAGTTGCTCTCTGCCGGGATGCCCTTTGAGGTGGCTCTCCTGCCTCCTCGCCTCTTCCTCCATCTGGGCTCCCACCTTCCCTCTCCTGCCCACGCTTTATTTGGAGCACTGCACTCCTCCGGGCACTGAGTTACCCGTGGGCTCCTCTGGCTAGAGACTGCTCCAGATTTAGTTGACTTTGTTATCTCAGCACATTTCTAGCAAGCAATGTGTCCAGGAGACTTTCCAGTTTAATAAGGAAGTAGCATTTTTCTCATTGTTTGTTGAATGAATAAAGGAATGCTCCTTTGTTCCTTCCATGGTGTTGCTTTCTGGCTTAAAACCTTTCCAAGGTTCTTGGAGTCATCCTGCATTCACTAGAACACCTCTGGTGAGAGCCGGAGCTGGCCACGGCTCGCTCATCGGGCCCTCTCTTTACCACCCAGATGGGCCATGCTTATTCTGGCCCCCACGCCTTGGCTCAAAGGCTCCTTCCTGGAGGCTTTCCCCATTTCCCCCATGCCTGTCCACAATCCACTTTCCCTTAAGCCCCAGCTCCCCTGCCCTTTGTCCCCGGCGGCTCCCCACCTCCTTCCCCATTCCATTTCCCCACATTCATCCAGCTTACAATCCATCATAAGTGTTCATGGCTGCTTAATTTCAGGAGGATTGCAAGCTCTTCGCTGAAGGATCACAACTTATATCCCTCCTTCTGGTACTACTAGGAAACTTCGCAGTTCAATAAGAAGCATTGTCTCAAACTAAATCATTGCTTGTTGAATGAGCACAGACTCCGAGCAACATGCAGCCGGGGTTCCATGACAGATGAGACCTAGCCTGTCCCCAGGTAGCAACGAAAGACTGAAATGATTTAAAAGCAACCAAGAAAGGGTCACAAGGCATTAATACAGCCACCTGGCAAAGAGCATATCTGGAGACAGACGTTGACAGCCCCGGGTGGACATTAGTTCTATAGGATGTTGTAAGAGGAATGAATCCAGGCAGGGTGAGGAGGCGGTGGGAAGTGAGCCCGGCCCTGAAGGTGGGCAAGAGCCAGGCAAGAAGAGGAGAAAGATTGTTCTCATGGTGGGAGGAATGCAAGGCCACCTATGGAAATACAAGTGGAGCAGTTTGGCTGGAGAAAGGGGTTGTGTTTGCTTATGGAGGCCTTGGATGCCCCGTTGGGAGAATGGACCTCACTTTCTGGGGCTGACTGTGTTGCGATTTTTTTTCTCTTGAGCCATGCCTGGAACACGGTTTGTATTCAACAGCAACACACAAACTGACAGTTCCCTGCAAGGCTGTCATATGCCACTTGCTTCACAGAAACACCTCGCTTATTTTAAGCCTGAAAACAAAGCCACAGGATGAGTATTATTCTCATTCCTATGCTACAGATAAGAAAATCGAGGTTTCAAAAGACGGAAGAATGAGGTTAAAGTCCCACGGCTAGTAAGTGGCACAGCTGGGATTCAAACTCAGGTCTCTCTGGCTCCTAAGGCTATGCCCCTCACCCAAGGGTTTTTGGCTGGTCAGTGGATGCTCACTGAATGCACCTAGGATGCTGAGACTATGTTCCTTAACCTTGGCCGGACATTAGAATCATTTGGAAAGCTTACATATCCCTGCCGAGCAAACCCCATTTTCAGGAAGTTTGGTTTAATTGGTTGAAGAAGGGGTCTGAGAGTTTGTAATGTAGTAAAAGCTTCTCAAGTTGCAGGGCTGAAGATAATTCCCCATGGATCCAGCCAGCAAATCTCTGCTCCCCATCAGAGTTCATTGTTACCCCTGGGGAACAGACTATCTTGGTCACTTCTGGCCAAAGTGGGTCCTGCCCTGGCCTCTGCTGGGTAGCTGAATGCCCTGCTCTTGGGAAAGGAGGAATGGTCCGCCTGGAAAGGTGCCTCTGAAGAATGTGTTGCTTGACTCTGTGAAATAGCAGAGGCTCTCCACCCACACCCGCTTCATCTCAGCCTTTTCCGAGGTCAGATTTCCCCTGGAGCCAAAACAATGTGAGCAATTGAATGCACACTCACGCAAAAAGTTTAAAAAGTGGCTCTCTCATTGTTGCACAGAGCAATTTCATTTCCTGAGAAGCCTGACTTGCTGGCCTCTGTGTTCTCCTCCCTGGCCTGTGCCTGCCCACCTCCTCTAGGAGCGCAGCCAGTTGTGTCCCTTGGGGGCACCCCTCAGAGACACCCCTCAGAGGCATCTGCCCTCTCCCTGCCCTTCCCTTGGAAAGGGCAGGGAGGGGCAGATGGGATTTCTGGGGCCTGGAGGGGAGAAGAGCCAGGGGGCAACCAGAGGGAGAGGTTGGTGGGGATCAGGAGGTGGGTACAGAGAGATGGGAGATTCCTGGCAGAAAGCGCCCTGCCTTCCTCCTTTACTCCACTCCTGACCTCTGGCTATGGCTGCTGGACTCCAAAGAGACAGGAGGGTTGGAATTATGGGTAGGGATGAGCTGGGGGGATTGGATGGAGAGAAGAAAGGTGGGATGTTCAGGGGAGAGAGAGGATGAGAGGAAGTGGAGGAAAACAGGCGCATGGAACTTTGTTGAAAATTCCCCTGCTTGGCTGGGTGCAGTGGCTCACGCCTGTAATCTCAGCACTTTGGGAGGCCGAGGTGGCCAGATCACCTGAGGTCAGGAGTTTGAGACTAGCCTGGCCAACATGGCGAAACCCCGTCTCTACCAAAAATACAAAAAATTAGCTGGGCGTGGTGGCGGACGTCTGTAATCCCAGCTCCTTGAGAGGCTGAGGCAGAAGAATCGCTTGAACCCGGGAGGCGAAGAAGGTTGCAGTGGGCAGAGGTTGCACCACTGCACTCCAGCCTGGGCGACAAGAGTGAAACTCTGTCTCAGAAAAAATCAAAAAACAAAACAAAAAAAAAAAGGAGAGAAAAGAAAATTCCCCTGCCAGAGAAATTTTCAACAAAGGACTTTAAGTAAGGGGCTCAGAGAGAGGCATTCAATGATAACCTAGAAGAGCCTCACAACAACACCACGGGATCACAGAGGCACGGAGAGGCGGAGGAGGTGGAGAGCATTGTAGGGTCAGGGAATGAAGGCTCTAGACAAGCCAGACCCACAGCCTGGCATGTTGGCTCAGAGATACCAGCTGATGGGGAGATGACAACCCTTTGCTCAGGCCATAAACAATAATTGCACCCCTCCTGTGTGTGCAGCCCTCATAGTCACAGTTAGGCTGAGGACCTGGGCAGGAGAAAGAGGTCCTTAGAATGCTATTATAAAATGCTCATGGGATGTTTTTCCATTTGTTTGTGTCTTTTTTCATGTCTTAAAATAATATGTTATAGTTTTCAGTGTACAAGTTTTTTACTTCTTTGGTTGACTCTATTCCTAAGTATTTCTTTTGGATGCAATTGTAAGATTGTTTTCCTAATTTCCTCTTCAGATAGTGCACAGAAATAGAAAGGATTTTTGTATGTTGATTATGTTTTTTGCAAATTTACTGAATTCATTTATTAGTTCTAGCAGTTTGTGTGTGTGTGTGTGTGTGTGTGTGTGTGTGTGTGTGGAGTCTTTAGGATTTTCTATATATAAGATCATGTCATCTACAAACAGAGACAATTTTATGTCTTCC